>NC_000006.12:165385865-165700940 GCF_000001405.40 Homo sapiens | reverse complement strand
AACAATTTCCCAACCACTGCTGCCAACCAATCTGCATCAATAAACACTTCAAATGGCTTACTTTTGCTCATTGGTACCTATAAAATCACCCGCATGATAACTTCATCCCAGATCTGAGACAAAAAGTCACATAAATGTTAAGTGTCAACTTCTTCTCTGGAGGACCGCCTAGTGATATGAAGAATCTAGTAAATTGCATAAATGCTATTCAAAAATGGAAGGTAGCCTTGTGGTGCAATACTTCTGTAACAAATCTTTAGTTCAAATGTGACTACCTCTCTCCAATCCCCAAATTACACAATGTATTGGGTGATAAATGGCATTTCAATTTCCTTTCCCCCAAACTCTCTTATTTTATATAACATTACCTGCAAAACGGTAAAAAGAAATGCGTGCACGACATAGGTGCTACTGTCAGAAGCCTCCAAGTGACAAGATCATTTTTGAAAAAAAGATTTATTGAGATATCATTCACACACCATGTAATTCGCCTGTGTGAAATGTGCAATTTAATAGTTTTTGACATATTCATGGATATATGCAACCATCACCACAATCAATTTAGAACTGTTTCATTACTTTGAAAAGACACCCCATGCTCTTTACCTCTCATTCCTTGTATCCCTACCCTGCCCCCTACCCCATCCCCTTCCTCTCATCCCTACACAACCATCTTCTGTCTTTATAGATTTTCCTCTTCTGGACTTTCACATTAATGGGCTCATCCAGTATGTGGTCTCTTGTGACTGGTTTCTTTCACTGAGCATAATGTTTTCAAGGTTTATCCACATTGTAGTGTGTATCAGTACTTCATTTTGTCTCTCCATTCATCCATTGATGGACATCTGGGTTACTTCTACCTTTAGCTATTATAAATATGCTGCTATAAACATTTGTGTACCAGTGTTTTGTTTCATTATTTTTTCTCTAATTTTTAATTTTCTCTATTTCATTAATTTCCACTCTATAATTTCCTTCTTTTTGCTTGATTTAGGTTTTGTTTGCTCTTCTTCTTCCTGTGTCTTAAGGTGAAAAGTTAGGTTATTGATTTGAGATCTTTCTTCTTTACTAATATAAGTATTTACAGCTGTAAATTTCCCTTTAAGCACTGTTTTAGCTGCGTCCCATAAGTTTTGGTATGCTATGTCTTCATTTTTATGTATCTCAAAGTATTTTCTGATTTTCTTTTTGATTTTTGACCCATTGGTTGTTTAAGAATGTGTTTAATTTCCACATATTTGTGGATTTCCCAAATTTTTCCATTAGTAATTTCCAATTTTATTCCATTGTTGCTGGAGAAAATATTTTGTACTATTTTGCTCCTTTTAAATTTATTGGGATTATTTTTATGGCCTAGCATATAGTCTATCCTGGAGAATGTCCCCAGTGCTCTTGAGGATGTATACTCTGTTATTAGTTGGAGTGTTCTATTGCAATCTGTTAGGTCCAGTTTGTTTACGGTGTTATCCAAGTCTTCTATTTCCCTGTTGATCTGATCTTCTGTCTCATTTTTCTACTCATTATTAAAATTGGGGTATTGAAGCCTGCATATTTTTGTTGAATTTTCTATTTCTCCTTTTATGTTCATTAGGTTTTGTTTCCTATATTTTGGTGCTCTGTTGTTAAATGCATATCTTTATAAATGTCAAATATTTCTGTTGGATTAACCACTTATCATTATAAAATGCCCCCTCTTTATCCCTACTAACATTTTTTGTATTAAAGTTTATTTTGTCTGATATTAATCCAGCCACTTCACCTTTCCTGTGGTTAATATTTACTATGATATATCTTTTTCATCCTTTTACCTTAAATCTATTTGTATCTTTAAATCTAAAGTGTATCTCTTGTATGCAACACATAGTTAGACCATGTTTTTTATTCAGTCTGACAATCTCTGCCTTTTGATGAATTGTTAACCCATTTACTTTTAATGTTATTATTAACATAGTTGAATTTATGTTTGCCATTTTACATTTTGCTTTCTATATATCTCATGTCTCTTTTATCCTTCTACTTCTCCTTTACTACTTTCTTTAGAATTGAGTGAATATTTTATTTATTTATTTGTTTTTGTTTTTTTGTTTGGTTGGATTTTTTGAGACAAAGTCTCACTCTGTCACCCCTGCTGGAGTGCGGTGGAGTGATCTCAGCTCACTGCAACCTCCACCTCCTGGGTTCAAACAATTCAGCCTCTTGAGTAGCTGGGACTACAAGCAAATGCCGCCACGTCTGGCTAATTTTTGTATTTTTAGTAGAGATGGGGTTTCAACATGTTGGCCAGGCTGGTCTTGAACTGCTGACCTCAGGTGATCCACCCACCTCAGCCTCCCAAAGTCCTGGGATTACAGGCATGATCTACCACATCTGGCCAAGAATTGAGTGGTTATTTTCTAATGTAGCATTTTAATTTCATTAATTATTTTTTCGCTCTATTTTTTTATTTGTCTGATTTCAAACCCTTGCTCTTTCCACTATACTAGGCCACATCTCACATTTACGATTACAAGTAGTGTTCCCTATGTAAGACTCCAGCTTGCGTTGCCTGTTCTTTTCTTATGTGTTAGCCTTTATTAGGGTTATTTATTCCAGTTTTCATATTTTATAACTAGAAAAAGGATTAGAATGTAAGGCTTACCATAGTATTTCTGTAGAGACAGAGGAGACTGCTAACCTGAGTCAAGGAGGTCCTGCTTTTCCTGTAACTGCCTCAACTCAAGCAGCCTTGAGCAGTATTCAGTATAATTCAGTATTATTACTGAATAGTCTCCCTAGGGTTTATGGGAGATGTTTATAGCATTTAAAATTCAGGAAACATGGCTTGTTTATTTGTTTTAATAATAGGAAGATGAGAAGTTGAAGAGAAAGGAGAGATTCACTTCATGGTATTGATTTCATAAATCCAAAGCCTGAGGAATAAAATAACATTCTGAGGTGCTCATTCTAGGGGTTGGCAGGAATTCATACTACTGTCAGAGGGACAGTGACGGCGTAACAGGAATAAACCAGGGATGCTCTTTCTTCTTTTCTCCTGTAGTTGCAATTGATATTTAAAATTGTAGTTAAATATACGTAGTATAAAATTTTCCATTTTACCTATATTTAACTGCACAGTTCTGTGGCCTTAAGTACTTCATATTTTTGTGCAACCATCACCATCATCCATCTCCAGAGCTTTTTCAATTTCCCAAACTGAAACTCACCCATTAAGTACTTCCAATCGCCCCATCTACCCAGTCCCTGAAAGCCTCCATTCTACTTTCTATCTTGATGAATTCGACTACTCTAGGAACCTCATATAAATGAACTTGTATAGTACTTTTCTATTTATAACTGGCTTGTTTCATTTAACACAAGGTCTTCAAGTTTCATATATGTTGTGGTCTGTGTTTGTTCATATGAACTCAAATTGCAGTCTTGCCTTTCCTTTCAGCTTGAAAAACTTCCTTTAGTATTTTTCATAAGACAGGTCAGATAGCACCAAATGGAATGTTTTTCTTTGTCTGAAAAGGTATTTATTTTGCCTTTAGTTTTTTATTACAGCTTTGCTAGACGTTAACAGCTTTCCTTTTCTTTCAACACTTTGTATATGTCATCCCACTTGGCTTTCTGGCCTCCATTGTTTCTGCTGGGAAGTCAGCTGTTCCTTTTCTTGATGCATCATTTTTCTCCTCTCCTTTTAAAATGTTCCCTTGTCTTTGACTTTCAGCATTTTTCTATGGCATGTCTTTTCCTGATTCTCTTTCAGTTTATTCTACTTGGGGTTCATTAAGCTTCCTGGATGGTTACCATTTTTCAGTAAATTTGGGAAGTTTCAGCCATTATTTATTTGAATACTTTTTTCCTCATTTCTGGTACTTCCATGATATGTATTTGGGTATGTTTAATGGCACCTCTCTTTCCTCTGAGGCTCTGTTCATTTTTCTTTTTTCTATTCTTCTCTCTGTTCTTCAGCTAGCATCATCTCTATCAATCAGGTTTGAGCATTCTTTCCTCTGCCAGTTCATATTTACTGATGAGTCCTTCTGCTGAATTTTTTATTTTAGTTATTGTGCTTTGTACTTGAATAATTTCCTCTTGGCTCTTTTTCATAGTTTATCTTTCTTTATTGATATTCTCTACTTGATGCAACATTACCTTTTTTACTTCTTTAATCATGGTTTCGTTTAGTTGTGTGAACATATTTACAACGACTAGTTTGAAATATGTTAAATCTGACATTTGGTCATTCTCACATGCAATTTTCTGTTGCCGTTTTGTTTTTTGCCTTTTTCTCCCCAGTATATGGGTCATACTTTCCTGTTTCCTTACATATCTCATAGTTGTTCACTTGAAACTGAACATTTCAGATAGAGTAGTCCCCCATTTCTTGTAGGGGACACATTCCAAGACCCCCCCAGTGGATCCCTAAAACTACAGATTGTACCAAACCCTACATATACTATGTTTTTTAAATCTGACAACAGAGAGGGGCTACTAAGCAACTAATGGGCAGGTAGTGTCCATCGATATGCTGGACAAAGGGGTGATTCACATCCTGGGCAGGACAGAGCAGGATGGTTCAAGATTTCATCACACTAGTCAGAATGGTGTGAGATTTAAAATTTACGATTCATTTATTCCTGGGATTTTTCATTCGGTATTTTCAGAATGAGGTTGACCATAAGTAAACAAAACTGTGAAAAGTAAAACCTGGGATAAAAAAGGACCACTGTAATATATTGTAGCAGCTCTGGATACTGGTCTTCTTCTCCCCGGGGCTTCTTATTGCTTTGTTTATTCACTTAGTTACTGGCTGGATTATTTTAGTGACATCCATCTTCCTTCCCCCTCCCCAACACCAACACACAGTGTCATGTCTCTGATGTTGCTGCTTGAGAGGCATAGCTTTGGGTGTGGCCAGTTACCCTGGGGTGACATTAGTACTGGTGGGACTCTCTTCCTCTCTTTTCTTGACTTCACACAGAGGTTCAACCCCACTAACTGCCTTGCTGGCTGATTGCCCTGGGTGTTTTCAACAGTGCCCTGGAGCATAAATTGCATTACAAACATCAAATTCTGGCTCCTTGGAAGGAACAGTTTCTAAGGTCAACGTTCGATATTTTTTCTGACCTCAAGAGGACTCCTGCCAGATGTCTCATTCCCCGATTCTCCCTTGTGCACTAGCGAGCCTACCATCTAGGCTGTCTTTACAGTAGATGCACAAATCTCTGCCCAGTTGCCTTTCACCACAACTCCACTGTTCTTGAGAGTGCCCTCAGGTTTAACCTCCTCCAGACTGTGTTGCACATCAAGTCAGTTCCTCTGCGAAGATACAGGAGCTATCTGTTTTACAGCCTGCACCTCTCCCCCACTCCCAACTTTTTCACCACACTCATCTGGTACTTAGCCTCAGCAACAGGCGGCAGGGCATGAGGGGTTAGGGGACAAGATGAGAAGCCCTGAAGTCCTGCCCCTCCCAAGGAGGAAAGTCCTCCAGCTGGGTGCTGGGGAGGGCCCTGTGTTCTTGGCTGCAGTCTTTGGCATGGACTCCCCACCTCCCTGAGCTGGGAGAAGGGAACAGAGGTGCATTCTTAGCTCAAATAGCACAGACTCTCACCATTCCTACCAGATTTTGATAGATTGTCTTGAAAAGAGATTTTGTCATTTGCTGTTTGCTCCTTCTACCATTTCCAGAGGCTATATGTTTTTTTGTTTTTGGTTTTTGCTTTTCTTTCTTTTTTTTTTTTTTGGTAGTTTTCACCAGGCTCACTGGGGAGCAACTTCAAGGAGCTCCTTACACTGCCATGCTGGAAGTTGGTCTCTAATTTACTCACTGTTAATATTATGCATATTGTTTGTCTTAGGGAAAATAAGTCTTATGTCTCTATATAGAAAATTGTTTACTTCCGGGGGAAATGTGTTAGAGAAATGTGGCTATAAAATAAATGTAATTTTCCATTGACTTCATTTTCACATAAGAGACTTATTCCTGGGGCGGGAGAGAGGAGAAATCCTGTAATGGCCTGAATTGAAGGCTACGGAAGACATGAGGAAGCTGAAAACTTGTTACTATCCTGTTTTTAGGGAGGTAACACTCTTGATCAGTTGCTTTTGTTTTTTGTTTCTGTTTCGTTTGGGAGCCTGATTTTGTTCTAATTTTGCATTTTCTCTTTACCATCAACATTCCCTTCTCATCTATCCTCTGTCCCAGATAATTTAAAAATAAAACAAAAGCTACTGGGTGAATTTTTTTGACACATAGGAGCTTACAGCTGGACAGAAATTTAAGAGAGCATGGCATGTGATATCTGCCTTCTTTATAAACGAGGCAGCAGCGTCCACTGTGGTAAGCAGCTCAGCTCAGGTAGCAGAGAGATGGGGGGAGTCCCGGTCTCCCGACACCGCCCGCTGCTCTCCTGCCCCACCTGTGGCTGTGATAAGACACTTAGGGACTCAGAGTTGAGGAGCAGTGAATGCAAACGCTAGCCCTGCAGGATTCCACGCCATGCTTGTGCATCTGACCGCTGCTCTGCCCCATGCCAAATGGTTCGTCCTTGTCTCACTGTTGCTGGCTGTGCCCGCAGCCCACTTCAGTTACAGCAGTGCTAATTGAGGCAGGCTGCCCTCTCTCATGGTCCCGTGCCTGTGGCCACTGCAGTTAAACGTGGTGCATAATGGCCTGAGAATTGTTTAATTATAAGGCTGAGGGTGATGTTAAACAAAATAAAGGATTCTCTGTCTTTGATTTTGTAAATTTGTCTCTGCATCTAATTAACTTATGATGAGATATACGTGTGCACGGCCCCCAAAGAAAGGAAGCTTGGTATAGAACCAATGCCAAATTATGTTACACTTACAGTCCCTTGAATTATATATTAGCTAACATTTTTGCACATAAGTGTTGAGTGGTTTTGTGAGATGTTTCAACTTGTACCCATTAAAAGTAAAATATTTACTTCAAAGTAGACATGATGAAATCCAGAATAAATTTTATAAAAAGAAAATAAGTTGATTTCCTATCATTGCATATTAACTGGAAAAAAAACTTCTAAAACTGTGTATGAGCATTTATGGGAACACCAGGTACTATTTGAAGCCTGAGAACTGTTTCAGGAAGGCCCCGTGAATGAGTTAGATTATGACCTTTTTGCCTGAAATGAATTGGCCCCAGAAAACAAATGAACCCGGAGATGAATGTAACTGGTGCCAAGATATGGGAAGCACAGTACTGTTCTTTCAGATTGGGGAACATCGTTCAAGTAAATCAGGTTCTCAACACCAATTACTAAACAGCTCTTAAACAATAGTTGTAGGTTTTAAAATAATAGTGTAGAAAGCATCATGATGATAACATGGAGAATTATGCTTGTCTGCTATTTATATTTTTTAAAATTCAGTGCACTCGGTTTTTTTTTTTTTTTTTTTTTTTTGGTGGAGCCTCCCTCTGCCGCCCAAGCTGGAGTGCAGTGGTGCCATCTCAGCTCACTGCAACCTCTGCCTCCTGGGTTCAAGCCATTCTCCTGCCTTAGCCTCCCAAGTAGATGAGACTACAGGCATCCACCACCACGCCCAGCAAATTTTTGTATTTTTAGTAGAGACAGAGTTTCACCATGTTGGCCAGGCTGATCTTGAACTCCTGACCTCAGATGATCCACCCACCTAGGCCTCCCAAAGTGCTGGGATTACAGGCGTGAGCCACCGTGCCCGGCCTCAGTGCACTTTTAAATGTTTCACTCAACTAATGATTTCACATCCTATTCATCTGAAACAATGCAGATGAGTATCTGATATAAACATTGCACAGCATCCAGAGTGAAACCCAAATCACTACATCCAGGAAATGGATTCATAGATTCAATGTTTCAAACAAATTGGAGGACATCATGATTTTTTTTAAATTAAAATGTGACACCTAGCACTGATATATCTTTTAAGCTGTTAATGGTTATCCAGACTGATTCTATCCTCTCTTTGATGTTAAAAAATAAGGGAGGGACAGTTTTCTGCAAAATCTAAAAATGATGTAGGATTATCTCTGCCGTACAGACACTGCGGATTTAGTCAGAATTTGGAAATAAAGTGCAGTATTCCGCTTCTCCTGTTTGTATTAGACAATACTTTCCCTAATGTATTCCCTAGTGTAAGAGTGTTTATTCCATTAGGAAAGAAGGGAAAGGTGGATACAATATGATTTAAAATGCATAAGTAATTTCTAAATACACATTTTCTCCCTACACATAAAACCTGCTGTCTAAGGTTAGCAGGGCATGTCTGTGTACAGCATGCGTTACTGCCGAGAAAATGCTTTCTGACTGAGGGTTTGAGGAGAAACTCTTCTCTTGATATATTTAACCAGTAGGCTTTAGCCACAGGACAGGCACGAAGACCAGCAGGAGAGAGGGGGCCTGGAATTCTGTGACTGTGGGAGTAAAATGGGCCCAATGTGGACAGACAGGCTTCCTGGGCCAGAGTCCCAGAGGCTGAGAGCCCAGCGCTGCCAGAACAAGCAAGTCCCGGTAGTGACCAAATGATGACGATGGTAGGGCAGAGGCTGGAGGGCCCAATGTGTGATGCTGAAGACGTGGGAAACCCTGCAGCTCCTCCTGCTTCACCCACCCCTCTCATCTGATCTGCTGATCTGAACACAGTGAGAATTTAGCACGCTTGATCCCAGCCTCAGGCTCCTTTATAATCTCACCATGGAGGATAGGACTTATCAGCGCTCCCCTTAGGTGTGGATAGAGCAGAGAGGCTGAGCAAGGTATAAGCCCACGCCTTCCTGTGGCGTCCCCACCCTCCCTGTCACGCTGCATGGCCTCCCTGCACTCACCGGCCCAGGAACCAGGTCTATATTTGAGGATTAACCCTGTGACTAATTAGGTACTTTTAAAAATCAAATGTTTTAACTTAAAATGACAAAGAGATAGGGGCCTACTCAAGAGATGATTCATGGTAAGGAATTCAAGGGGTGACATAAGCTGCCTGCTTATCAGTTCATTCAGTGCACATCCAGAAAGTGTCAAGGGTCTAACACAGTTCATCAATTCCACAAGGATGTACCGAGTGCTTGGGTGAAAAGCGTAAGATGAAATGGTTAACAGGACCAGCACTTCCACCCACTCAGAGTTTATTATCTGATGGGGACACAGGACACGCAGCCAGGCTGCCTCAGGGCTGAGTGGTGCCTGCTGAGCTGAGAGGCGAAGGCATGGCCACCTGGGAGGAACAGGCTTGGAGGCTCCAAGAAGGTCTCCTGAGGACATCTGCACTGAGGCACCAGCAGGAGTTGGCCAGTGAATTAGTCAGGACTCTCCAGAGAAACAGAACCGATGCTGTGTGTGTGTGTGTGTGTGTGTGTGTGTGTGTGCGCGCGCGTGCATGCGTGCGCATGGGCACGTGTACAGTCACACATCACTTAATGATGAAGATGCATTCTGAGAAATGTGTTATCAGGCGATTTTGTTGTCTAAGAACATCACAGAGTATGCTGACACACGGCTGGATGGCACAGCCCACTACACACACAGGGTCTATGGTATGGCCTGTTGCTCTTAGGTTACAAACTTGGACGGCATGTGACTTTACTGAATCTGTAGGCAACTAGGATATGGAAATACAGAAAATGTACAGTAAAAATATGGTATCATAAACTTATGAGGTCACTGTTGTATATGTGGCTCATCAGTGACTCAAATGTGGTTATGTGATGCCTGACTCTGTGTGTGTGTGTGTGTGTGTGTGTGTGTGTGTGTGTGGGGAGAGAGAGAGAGGGAGAGAGAGAGAGAGAAAGAAAGAGAGAATATTACTGTAAGGAATTGGCTTATGTGACCACAGGCACTGATGGGGGGGGGGAGAGAGAAAGAGAGAGAGAGAGAGAGAGAGAAAGAGAGAGAGAGTATTACTGTAAGGAATTGGCTTACGTGACCACAGGCACTGAGGAGTCCCAAGATCTGCAGTCAGTGAGCTGGAAAGCCAGGAAAGCTGGTGTTGTAGGTTCCAGTCCAAGTCTGGAGGCTTGAGAAGCAGGAGAGCAGTGGCCCCCACCAGGGATGCCAACCACTTTACTCAATCTACAGAGTCAAATATTAGTCTCTCCAGAAGCACCCTCATGTACCTACCCAGAATAAAGTTTGATGAAATATCTGGGCATCCCGTGGCTCAGTCAAGTTAACACATGAAATTAACCTTCATGCCAGATAGAAATGGGGTGTGGGTGGAACAGAAGCACCTGGTAAGAGCTTGTGTGAATGCCTTGGAGGCAAGAAGTACCAGCACATTCAAGGGACTGAGAGCATTCTGTGCACTGGGGAGTCTGCAGGTGTGGGAGAGGAGGCTGGAAGCCCCATGAACATCCTATCACCATCCTACCAACCCATCATCAAGTTTGGACCTGCCTCCAAGAGCAGAGAGAGTCATTGCAGGGTTTTGAGCAAGGGAGGGGCATGACCAGAGTTGCCATTTCCAGAGGCCAGTCTGCTTTATAAAGGAAAAGGAACTGGAGGAGAGCCAGGCTGAAGGCAGGGAGACCAGATGTTAGGCAGGGAGAGTAATAGAATCCATCAAAACATTTGCCGTAAGAATTTGAGAGAAATGTACCAGAAGAAAGGTGATGAGCAGCCCAAAGCTGAAGGCTATTTCTTTTTCATTGAAAGAAAACCATGGAGAGGACTGGAGTGGAGACCATGGGATGAGTTCCAAACTTATGGGGAAATTAATAACAGTCCCCGCAGAGTTGACTGAGCGGAGTTCGGGCTGAAACTATTTCATGCTGAAGTGGATGGAGGTGGCACACGGAAGAAGAATCATAAGCTATGGCATGAGACAGCCCTGGATTCAAATCCTACTTCTTCCTATTCTCTGTGTGACCAAAGAGAATGACAGAGCCTTACCTAATAAGACACTCGATATTCTATAGTTAACTAGCCCAGCAAGTAAATCATAAATTGCATTAAAAATGTCTTGTTAAAAAAAAATGGTGAAATTAAAGTATCTTACTTATTTGGGAAAGCTATGAGTGACTCACGGATACATGCTGAGTGCTCACATTGTACTCACCCGGTGGCAGAACTGGACATTGCATCAGGGTATGAACATTCTCTGAGTCTGTATCTTCATGTATTGAGCTCGTACCATGGGCTGGACACTTTAGCGATTGTCTTAGTCCATTTTGTGTTGCTACGAAAGGAATACCCACGACTGGGTAAGAGGTTTATTTGGCTCATGGTTCTGGAGGCTGTACAAGAAGCCTGGCACCAGCATCCGCTTCTGGTGAGACCTCAGGAAGCTTCCGCTCACGGCGGAAGAGGAAGGGGGACTGGTGCATCGCATAGTGAGAGAGGGAGAAAGAGGGAAGGGGAGGAAGGTGCCAGGCTCCTTTTAACAATCAGATCTCACGTGAACTAACAGAACGAGAACTCACTTACCACCACAGGGACAGCACCAAGCTGTTCATGCGGGATCTGTCCCCATGACCCAAACACTTCCCATTAGGCCCCACCTTCAACACTGGGGATCACATTTCCTCATGAGATCTGGGGGAACAGACATCCAAACTGTATCAGGGACATTTCTCCATTTAACCTCATTTAACCCTGGGAACCAAATGACTGACGTATTTTGCACTCTCTAGGGGATTCATAAAAAGCACTCACACAAAAATGTTGGAAACAAAAGAACATTTAACCCTTGAAACAACACTGGGAGTTAGTGTCGTTTTATCCACTTTAAAGATACTGAAGCTGAACTATCACTTAACCCCACAACGGTTATGTGACTTAACCAAAGTCACACAGCTAACAAGAGGCAAAGCCTACATTGTAACTGGACCTATATTGAACTTAGGGAAAGCCTAGGTCTGAGACATTTTAATGCCAAGGTTAATTCTACATGAATTCCATTTATATCCTGCATAAGCCGTGCCAATGGAGGGTGTTGCTTTCCTTTTTGCTTCTGTTTTTCACTGAACACATCACTTAAAATATTTGAAGAAAAATTTTAATTTATATGACTTGAAATAAAAACAATATAACAAGGCATGCTTTGAGAGGACTCATTCCTCCCCTGCCACATTTCACCACAGTTCCATCTGTACACACTCACACACTCACACAGATACACACACTCATACAGTCACAGACACAGTCACGAAGGGAGGAGGAGGAGAGAGGGCTATTTTTTGGATGGCTTTTTAGAGTTTCTTTATACAATGCCTATAAAGTTTGGCTATATATTGTTCTTCTCTTTGCTCACCTGAAAGGTAGCATAACATAGTCACTGTTCTTCCCCTTGCTTTCTTCCACTGATGATGTGTCCTGGAGATCTTTCTAGATCCATTCCACTACGTATCCAATGCGTGTCCATTCCACTGCCCATCACACCAACAGTTGCGAATCAGAATATGATCCCTGAGCACCATGTCATGAAGCCCCACTGGGCCCATGGAGATTGCTCCTAGCTGGAATTTCCTACTCTGGCTTCAAGTCCAGGGAAGCCCCCTGAGTTGCCCACTACATACCCTGAGGCTTCGTCAATTATACCACGAAACCATTTCAGTACCGGTCCAATATTAGAAGGGGTGGAGATGAACCTTCGGATTTGAAATTAGGTTCAAGTGAATTCCTCAGTTTGCGTTTTTGCTCTCTTGACTTGGTCTGAAAGGCATGTAAACCAATCATCTCTTGACTTGGTCTCAAAGGCATGTAAACCAATCAATCATCTCTTGACTTGGTCTCAAAGGCGTGTAAACCAATTCTCTTTAGATTTTTTAAACTGTATCATTATAGGAGGAGGAAGAGATAGAGGGTGGACATAACTCCTTGAATTCTCCCTTTTACCATAGGAAAATGTGTATCTCTACGTGGCACCTGTGGCATGTTTTCCATGTCTCAGGTGAGAAAACACCACGTGGTCCCTCCATTTGGGGTGTGCGTGTGCTGGCCTCGGGTAGGAGTTCTGGGCGTGAGCCGTGGAGTCACACAGTTGAGCCGTCCTCGTTCACATCTAACTTTGCCACTGACCACTGTGACCACAGCACATCAACCTCTGCGTGCTCAAGCTTCCAGGCCCCACATTTCAAGCTTCCAGGCCCCACCTCACCAGGCTGTTTGAAGATTAAATGTGCGAAAGTTTGGGAAGGGCTTAAAATAATGTCTGGCAAAGAGTAAACACCATGTAGTGTTTGTTTAAAAAGTAAAAGCCTCTCTAGGAGCCTCTGCATCTACGGCTGTGCACTGGGGATGTGCAGCCAGTAGCAGTATTCCATAGGACTGGGTGAGAGGAAGTGCATAAAAACAGCGTAGAACAGGTAAGGCTTGGCACGTTATACAAATGTTAGTTGGTCTTCGTATTGTGTGCTTGTAGAAAGAATCGTTTTTCAGTTGCTCCTTTGGTAACACTATCCAAATACTGAGAGTCAGCATTGAAAGTCACCTTGCTAATGGAACTAGTGGAAGAGTCCAGTTGGTTAAACAATAGTTAAAGTCTGTCTCTGTAGATGGGGTGATAGTTCAGAGCTGAAACTTTTTTCTCACGGTGTTCTCAATGTTGCGACTCTGCAGTTCTTACCCGACTGGCATACAGTGTAGTGACCCTTTACCTTCATGTTAAGGAACCGTCTGTAGCTTCCTTCCCTTTGATAACATTGATTCCCTAGTTAAGAAACCTTCCCAAGCAATGTGGATATGAAACTTTCTCACGTGGATATGAAACTCCCAGTGCCTCTGGGTGCTGTGCTGCCAGCGGCTGTGGTGGTGACGTGGCTGGCATGACGCAGGCAGAGGGGCCCTTCCTGCCAGAGCGCAGTGGGGGTGTAGGCGGCCGCGTGGGCGGATGGAAACGAAGGCGAGGGAGATGGGAAGCAGCCATGCTCTCAGTTGTTTTCCATGTGCTGAAACTTACCACACTTTACCAGGTCTCTCCCCAGCTCTTCTGCAGAGCGATCTGAACAGAACACATTTGAAAAGTAATTTAAGAGAACTATTGTTTTAGCTAGTATAATTCATGTCACTCTCCTTAACATCAAGCTATTGTACATCTTCCCAAACATTACCGAAGCGTACATAATAGCATTTAGTGGAGAAGGTGGCTCTGCAGCTCACACGTTTAGGTAAGAGCCAGGGTCCCAAATGAGCCGCGGAGGTGCTGGCACGTGATGCCGCTCATGCCCGTAAGGACCGACCGGCTAATGAGGCGGTCACGCAGCTGCTCGTGTTTCTGCTCTCAACCAAATGGCTCATGGCTGTTGCACTCTCTGAGGGTTTTATAAAATGCACTTACCAAAAAATGTTGGAAGCAAAAGAACCCATACAAACATAATTCATGATTCGATTGAAAACACTGCTTATGGCCTTGTGGTTCTTTGTTTTAGAAAGTGTGCTCTGCTTTTCTTCTGTGTGATTTTAAACATTGCCCCTGCAAGACCTCTGTGCTCACCGTGGTGTTCAAATCAAAACCCATGAACTAGTCTCTGGGAGTGCGGCCACAGCTCCTGCCAGAGCAACAGCAACAGGATGTTACACCTGAAGGCGGAAAGTAAAAGAGACATCCAACAACAACAAGCGCTGCAAAGAGGAGAACGGGGAAGCCTAAGCAGAAGGTGTGTAGGGAGAGTCCGATGCACAGGGAAATCCAACCAGGAAAGACTTCCTGGGCACCCACAATTCCCCAGCACAAAAGACCGGAGAGTCTGAAGGTTGAGACTCTGAATGCATCACATCTCAGGACCCACACTTTGGAGTGTAGCGAGCGCTGTCATGGATGCACCTCATTGCATGCTAAAGACACAGCCTGTGTGTGTGTGTGTGTGTGTGTGTGTGTGTGTGTGTGTGTGTCCATGCACATTTAAGATTGGGAAGAATGGTTAAAAGGCAGCTAGCTCTGAATTCTACTGCAGTGATTTTCAACCCATCTCCCAGTGAGCCAATATTCACACTGAAGAGTGGCCATCTCTTTCCCCATTCACAAACACAATTAGGCTCATGGACGTAATTTCTTTATTATTAATTTTTTTCTTAATGGCTTCTGTTACCACTTGTCCATACAAATCTTGTATAACACTGAATCAGTCATGTCATCTTATAAATTCTACTTTTAAATTTTATATATCAAAATGTAAGAGTGTTCACAGAGAACATTGTGACCTTCGGTGCTTTGCCCATATAATGCATCTGAAAACATTCCTCCCTCCAGCATCCTCCAAGGACATGGATATATTTTGCCAGCATCTGGCTGGGCTCACCCCAGGTCAGGCATTGTGGATGGTCCTCTGTGGAGTTTCTTTTCTCATAGTGAGGAAGTGCACCTTCAATGGTTGGGTACACAGGTAAAAGAGGAGTGTGGGCTGTGATGGAGAAGCTGCCAGGAACATACACAAAACATTTCCTCCAAAGAAAAGGCAGGGATTCCTGGCTCTGAGCCAATGCAGAAGAACAGGCAGAATTTCCTGATTTAATTTCAATCACAGTTAACAGTGTGTCCGATTTTCTCTTGGTTTGCTTTGCAATCATAATCTGAAGCATACAGAAGAAGCATTTAGAAGAAGGCTGACCACCAAACACACACACACACACAGAATAAAGCCCCAAGCAGAAGGATGCATTTAATAGCCTTTCCATTTGACTCATCTGCACAAGCCACCATTTTGATCTGTTTTATGCTGCTGATGAAATTGTTCTCTTTTGGTGAATTTTCTGAAGTCTATGTTAATAGGCACCCATGAGTCAGTTGCTACAAGATTTAAACAGAGCAGGATTGTTTACTATATTCTTACCTGTGTTGATGAGTCAGGTATTCATAAAATTAAACCCCTGATGAAGAGGAAAATTGACTCTCCTAGAATTCTTAAAGGTATCTAAGGATTCTAAAGAGCAAGGTAGTTTATATCACATAGCGATTTTTTAAGTCTATTTCTTAAACTAGCAGATACATCTAATAAAAAATAATTTCAGAAATGACAGATGTATTACTTGGGGCTAACAAAGGCATTCTATTTCTAGATGGCCATTCATATAACTTTAAGGAAGTCAAGTCGACGTCTCACTGTCCACTTCCTGGTTTTCACAATTATTTTATTGGTTCAGTTGATCACAGTGTTATTCAAAATCTTGAGACCGTGCATGACAGAGGAGATTTTGAAAGAAATTTAAAATTATCAAACACTATATGGAACTTTCATTGTAATTTTCATAAGAAAATATGTTTTGTTAAAAGTCAAACTGCATGCATTCATTATATGCATGTAACCTTTGAATGTGGCCTGTGGGGAAATATCACAAAAATACCCAAATAGAGGTTCTTGAAGTTTCTCCTTCTCACACCACTGGAAGACCTAGTACAAGTAGCACAGTAAGGGGAGAGGCAGCTCAGCGCCTCGGCCACCGTGTGGTGACTCATAAATAATGGGTCGTGTTGCCCATGCATCCAATGAAATGCCAATGCAACTCACATAGCAGTGATGGCAGCCGCGACCATAGCTTGCCAAACAGGAAAGGAGCCACCCAGGAGATGGCGGCTTCATTGTGAGACCTGAGGCGTTATTTTGGAGACATCAATTCGTTCACTTATTCGATGAACAAATATTTATTTATCTCCAGGTGCATGGCTGGAATGGTGCCCATCCACAGTAGACACAAACATTTTTGGAACAATTATTGATTGTGTGTCCATATGGACCAGGCAGTCCTATGTTCTGGGGTATAGCAGTGAGCAAAATACAAATATCCCTGCCCTCTGGGATCTTAGCGAGAGGAGACCAAGGAAGTAAATAATTACACATAGAGCACGCCAGGTGCTGATAAGCATTACAGACAAGAAGGAGGCAGGGGAGGAAATAGGAAGAGTAGAGAGGAGAGAGCCTTGTACTTTTAAATAGTGTGGTCTGGGAAGGCCTCACTGCAAACATGAGTTTTGAGAAAAATCTGAAGGAGGAGGAGAATTTGGGACTCTAGGCAGAAAGCCTTCCAGACAGAGGGAACAGCAGGTGTTCAGGCCTCAAGGCTTCCGTCTCAGTACCTGGTATATCTGAGGAATAGCCAGGAGGTGGTGTGGCCAGAACTGAGAGGGCTAGGATGATGCCTGGGGGTTCCTAGGACACCGGTCATGGAAGTCGTGGAGAGGTGTGGGAAAGAGTAAGCAACAGAAACATAATGAAAAGCTTGATGAGTGACATTTTCAATCGGTGACGTACAAAGGTACCATCTTTGGTTCACTGCCCTGCACTGCTGCACTCTCCAGCCCTCCTGTGTGAGGCTCAGCCTGGCAGCTCAGGGGCCTCCAGGAGACTGTGGCTTGTATTGCAAGCCTACCTCACACGGTCAGGGAGGTTTATGATATGCTTTGGAAGGCATGCCATTTAGAAAGCTGTGATAAAACACGGCACTTAATATTCAGTTATTTGGAACAAAAATGACCTCACCAAGATCTCAAATGAAACACATCCCAGATGAACCCATCTCTCCCACACCCACAGCATATGTAGAGAAACGTGACTGCAAAGATAGCTTGTTGATGTCTTAGTCGTGTGTGAGCGCGTGTGTGTGTGTGCTTGAGCATCTGTGTATGTGTCTGCACACACACTTTTTGTTGTTGTTTAAATAAGTCCTTTCTGATTTCTCCTCCTGGGATTCTCGTTGGCTGGGCAGTTTCCTGGAAGCCCATGTCTCTGATGCCCACCCGAAGGCCTTTGGTATATTCTGAATAGTGTTCTTTTTGCCCATGCTGTTATTCAATGCATCCTTCCACTCCTCACTGGAGAGCGCTGCACAGGCCTCTGTAAGGTAATCCCTTTCAGAGAACTCAGCCTTTGAATTATTCTCTCCCTCTTCAGTCTTCTTTCCTTCCTGCTGTTCATTCATTCAACAAATAATTTTGTGAGTACGCACCATGTGCTAGGAGCTGTGCTGAATGTTGAAGGTGCAACCGTCTATGCAGGCCTGGCCTCTGCCCACACGCACTTTTACATTCCGGTGGGGGAACGACACAATGAACAGACAATTTTAACACAAGTTGAATGACATGATGGAGAGAAGTTTAGGTGTCTGTGGGGGCAAATGAAAGGGGTACCTAACCCAGACCTGAAGGTGCAGGTACAGTGTGCTGGAAGTGGGGATGTACAAACCGATGACCAGCAGATTCTAGATCTTTGTCAGTGATGATCTTCACGTTCCCTGTTGATGGTAAATATGGTCTATAGATGGCTAAGTCCATTCAGGCTGCTACAACAAAGTGCCATAAACTTGGCGAGTTATAAACAACAGACATTCATTTTTCACGGTTCTGGATGCTGGGAAGTCTGAGATCAAGGGGCTGGCAGATTTGGTGCCTGGTGAAGGCTGGCTTTCCGGTTCGTAGATAGCCGTCTTTTTATGGTATCCTCACATGGCAGAGAGGCAAAGGGGGCCTCTGGCGTCTCTTTATGAAGGCACTAATCCCATTTATGAGGGCTCCACCTTCACGACCTTATCACCTCCCAAAAGCCCTACCTCCTAATACCATCATGTATAGGGTTAGTATTTTAAGATATAAATTTGGGGCTGGGCACAACGGCTCACACCTGTAATCTCAGCACTTTGGGAAGCTGAGGCGGGTGGATTGCTTGAACTCAGGAGTTTGAGACCAACCAGGGCAACATGGCAAGACCCCAGCCCTACCAAAAAATGTAAAAAATTAGCTGTGTGTGGTGGTGCATGTCTGTGGTCCCAACTACCCAGGAGGCTGAGGCAGGAGGATCACCTGAACCCTGTGGTTGAGGCTGCAGTGAGCCGTGATCGCAGCCACTGCACTCCAGCCTGGGTGACAGAGTGAGACCGTAACTTAAAAAGACAACAAGATATAAATTTGGGGTTGGGGAATAAAAACCTTCAGTCTCAAGTAAGAGATACAGTTGGCTACTTTTATAGATTGGTGGGAAATCAGCATGTTAAAACCAGAACAAGGACGACTTAGAGGGCGTTCACGATAGCTATATGAAATATAGTCAACAAAATTTCACCCACTGTTCTGTGAGGCATCCTACCCTCCTTTGATGACGACACATAATTTCAGAAAAATTAAACTCATTTATCATTAATACAAATGGCCCTACCACCATCAGGTTGGCTTAGAATCTCAGTGAGCCTCTCTGAGCTTCTCACTTCCTCTAGTAGCCAGCTCACTTATTAGAAGGACTAGGAGCAGTTTGTAAAACCAACCCATTCAGGGTACAGTGCCTGTGACCTACAGACAAGAGGTGATTTTGAGTAAACAGCCAGTGTATTTCAAAACACTTCATTACAAATGCAGGCTTGGTTCACAATTTGCTTTTTTTAGAAAAAGGAAAAAACTATATAAAATAATTGTAGATTCCTTTATGGCTTCAAAGAAGTGGTAGCCTTGTGCTAGACCGGCAGCATCGGTATCCCCTGGGAGGTTGTTAGAAATGCAGGTTTTCAGCACTACTCCAGATCTACTGAATCAGAAACTCGGAGGAGGGGGAGGTCTGTTTTTAAGTTCTCCAGATGGTTCTGCACCATTGCTTTAAGGGAAAATGCACACAGACACACACACACACACACACACACACACACACACATTTTCCCAAGACAATTATTGAGGTTAGGGTTGATGCCTAAAAAGAGTAATTTTGAAATTTTCTTTTCAACTTGTCTGTTTTTCTATAGCCATACGAAACTAAGTATTAGGAAACAGGCTTCTTAAATTCCTTTTTGCACAGCAAATATATTTGTTGACCATCTGGAAAAGTGATTTAATCAGATGGATGCTGATACGTACCACACAGGCATCTTGGATGAGGTGAACTACCCCTTGCAGCGCTCTGTAAACACAGGCGTTGCCATCAAACAGGAAGATTGAAAAGTTGGTCTATACTGTGATAAGATGGACAGTCTCCTATACATACTTTCTAGGACGTCTTCATATGCAATTTACAAAGTAACTTGAGAGTCTTTGAAATTATGGGCTCTTCAGCAATGTAAAGATATTAGCACATAAAAGCATTTTTCTTCAAGCTGGCCACCCTAAAACATATAAGGGAAGTAGATGAATGCAGGCAGAAGGTAATGAGTATTTTTTGTTTGTTTGTTTAGATGGAGTCTCGCTCTGTCACCCAGGCTGGAGTGCAATGGCACAACCTCGGCTCCCTGCAACCTCCGCCTTCAGGGTTCGAGCGATAGTAGCTGGGATTACAGGTGCCCGCCACCACACCCGGCTAATTTTTGTATTTTTAGTAGAGATGGGGTTTCACCATGTTGGCCAGGCTGGTCTCGAACGCTTGACCTCAAGTGATCTGCCCGCCTCGGCCTCCCAAAGTGCTGGGATTACAGACCTGAGCCCCCGCTCCTGGCTGGTAATGAGTATTTTTAAAAGGATGCATTTTTGTGTATATGTGTTACACAGTGGTAGAAATTGTCCAAGATTCCTCTATCTTTACTTAAAAATTGTCTGTGGATTATGACTCAAGTTCAAGGTCAATTTATATAAACAAGACTCCATTTATCTTTTGTTCTCATTGCACTGGAGAGGTGCTTACCTGCAGAGAAAGTACCTCCGATTGTAGCTGGAAGTTTGCCTTCTGGCAGAATGGAGAACATCTCATTTCCTCTCTTGTTTCCTCCGTGGAGGTTGCTACAGCTGAATGGTGATCCTTCTTGCTTTTGTGGCAGCAACTCACTTGAATTATAGAACCTGCAACATATTGAATTCCGCCTTTAATCTCTTTTTGTGATATTACTCCCAAAATATTACAGAGGAATTTTCATGGTGATTTTTTTTTCACAACCTCCCAATTAGATGTTAAGTTCCTTAAGAGACAAACGAGAGCTCACGATCCATGGCTGTTTTCTTTTTCCATCTCAGTTGCAATGGTGTACCTAAAAATACCCAGTAGCACCCACATGGGTACCCCACAGTACCCAACAGTACCCAACAGTTCCCACCATGGGTACCCCATAGCACCCAACAGCACCTACCATGGGTGCCTCATAATAACCAGCAGCACCCACCATAGGTACCCCAAATACTCAACAATGTCCACCATGGGAGTCCCAGAGTACTCAACAGCACCCACCCCAGACACCCCACAGTAGCCAGCAGTGCCCACCATGGGGACCCACAGTATCCATGGTGACCATAAGATAAAGACTATTCCAGAAATGCCACTTTTCACACTCTTCTCCCCACATTCCTAAATTAGACCCAGGAAATCTTGTGGCCCTTTGTCTTACAAGGAGAGAGAAAGACATCACAGCGATGGATGAGGCTTGAACCGTTTCTGTAGGTCGCAAACACTTAAAAATCAGCAACTTCATGGGCTCAACTGTATCTATTTTTCCAAAGTGTAAGAGATCAGCCTTTGACCTGAAGGGGACTGTGAGGTGCTTCCCGGCGTTCCTGTGCTGTGACAGTGTGGGGCCAGGCACGCCTGACCGCAGCCTCTCCAGGAGGCCTGTCAGGAGGAGGGGGCGGTGCCACACCTCCTCAAGGGCTGGGAGGTAGCGGCCGGTGAGAATCCAGATTTCCCCTTTCCAGGCAGTCTTTCCAGTCCAGAATCCTTCTCTGGGCTTGGCAGGAAGTTTAGAAGAAGGTTCTTTCCAACTTCTTGGTATCCACTTTGAGAACCTACTGCTTTTCTGCCAGTATCCATTGTAGCATACAGAACATGAAGGAAATGATCTGGTTATCTGGGTTTAAACCAGCATTTATCTGCCGACATTAGTTCTTAAATAGAGCTATATTTTCTCATTCTTTTCTAATCACTTTACCTGATATGCAGATGAGCCCTGTCCTACCTACCTGATGAGGCTGTCCTGAAGATAAACTGAGATGATCCATGGGGCACCCCTTATCCTGAACACCCAATGCCACAATTACCTAAACTGACCACCTGTTGAGTACTTTAAATGTCTCTCATGTGTGGTATGTTTTCAAAATATCCTTAGGAGAATCCAGAACCTCCACATGAATTAAATCAATGGGATGATTTTTCTAGACAACGTCCCATCTCCTTTCATCTAATAATGCATTCCTTAACATACACGAATCGGAAGAGTCTGCCTGTTTCTAGTCTCTTTCCAGAAGCAAAGAGAGCAGAGATCCTTGCTGGATGACAGTTGATTTGGTGGCTGTTGCTAGGATAGAATTTCTGCCACATGTTAAAAAGAATGTGCATGCTCATTTATCATTCAAAAAGATATTTTTTTCTTTTTTGGTAAGAGCAAATGCACAAAACTTGTTAGTACAAAGAGAGAAAGAGAGGGAGATGCTGAGTGTGGGCGGAAGCGGGTTGTGATCCAGCGCAGGGAGAGGCTTGAGATGAATGCTGCCAGCGACACGGGCTGGGGACCGGGTGGCATGGGAAGTGGAAGGAGGGAAAACTGTTTCCAAGCGGCGGGCAGAATAGAAGCAGGGAGCGGGGTTAACAACTTTATTTTAAAATCCAATGAAGGGGTTATGAGGATTTGAGCCTTCACACTTCCAGTTTGAAATTTAAAAAGAAATGCCAAAATGTTATCGCTTCTTAAAATGATTTTTTTTTTCAAGAATACAGAAAAGAAGGTCTGAGTACAAAGGTGGTGGCTTCATAACGGGAAGAATCATAGGGAAGTATAGTAGCCAGGGTTATCCTGAGAAACAAACAGAAGGAAAGATATGCACACACATGCACACACAACTGCACACACACAGAGACACACACACATACACAGACACACCGATACACATTCACAGATACACACATACACACACACATATACACACACAGACACACATATACATACACAGACACACATGGACACACACATACATACACACAGAGAGACACACACATACACACGTACACAAACACAAACACACCCACACAAATACATACACATATTAATACACACACATAGCTATACAAACACACATACACAAACACACACATATACAAACACCCACACAAACAGCTACACATACACAAACACACATAAACACACATGGGTATACAAACACACACAAAACACATAGATATACAAACACACACACGGATATACAAATACAGATGTACAAAAACACATACACAAATACACATATATACCCATGCATATACACTCAAACACAAACATACACATACAAACACACACATACACAAACGCGCACACATCACACATATATACAAACACATGCATATACAAATATACCCGCATTTACACACACACACAAACACATTACGCATATGAACACAAATGCACATATATACAGTGTCCCTCATGGGGTAGAGCTCTGTAGGACCTCTCATGGATACCAGAGTCCACCGACGTTCAAGTCCCTGATATAAAATGATGTGGTATTTGCATGTAACCTATGCACATCCTCCTGTATACTTTAAATTGTCATTATAATTACTTATAATACCTAATACGATGTAAACGCTATGTAAATACTGCATTTTTTAGGAAATAATGACAAGAAAAAGGTCTTGAGGTGTTCAGTGCAGACATTTTATTTCTAAATATTTTAATCCAACAAGGCTGGTTGAATCCAGGGATGTGGAGTCCATGGATATGGAGGGCTCACTGTATGTGACTATATGTATCTAGAGAGACAGCTTTTAAGGAACCGGCTCACACAACTGTGCTGGCATGTGGAAAAGCTGCAGGGCAGGCAGGGCAGGCTGGAGGCCCAGGGAAGAGCTGGTGTTGCAGCTTGAGCCTGAAGGCTGTTGGGAAGCAGATTTCTTCTTCCTTAGAGGACCTCAGCCTTTTTCTCTTGAAGTCGTCCACTGATCGGATGAGGCCCAGCCACACCGTGGACAGGGTCTCTGCTTTCCTGAAAGTTGACGGATCTAACGTTAATCCTCATCTACAAAATGCCTTCACAGCAACATCTAGACTGGGATTTGGCCAAGCAACAGGCCATGTGGCCCAGCCAAGTTAACATAAAATTAACTATCACAGGAAGAAAGGAAGTGAATCATTCAAGCAAGATTTTGCACTTTTTCTTGGAAAGTCGTTATCAGAATAGTTTCATTTCTCGGGAATGAGTGAGGACCCGTCCTGCTGGAGGAGCTGGCCCTGGAGGCCCCAGCCATGCTGTGAGTGCGTGTGGTCCTTCAGTCCATGCACTCCTGCAGTTGCAAGTCCATGCCGACAGGCAGGAAGGGAGGCGCTCGCCAGTCCCACGGCACTCCGCCCTCCCAGAGCACATCAGGGAAAATAGCCGTGAAATGTGGGTGAGCTTTAAAAAAAAAAGTCAGATCGTGTGAGTCACTGATGTTTCCCATTTTGTGAAGACTGGAAGCCAAGTCAGTGGCCTAAACAGCCCGTGAGCTGGCCGGGTCACCCCCCACCTCCTAGTCCACTCCAGGCACATGGGCCTGGGTGCAAGTCCTTGGACCCCTCTCACGGCTATCCCCTCCTCCTGGAACCCCTTCCCTCACCACCTTCCAGCTGGGCTCACACATCAGCTTCTCAATGAGGCCCCAGCCGACCACGCCCTTTCCAACCTGCCCAGCACCCTGACCCACCTCTTCCTCTGCGGCACCTGTCCGGTTTCCCACATGGCCAGGTTAACTGATGCATGATATTTCTTACTGTTGAAAATGTTTACTTTTATAAATTGAAGGGCTACAAGTGCAGTTATGTTACATGGAAATGGTGCATAGTGGTGAAGTCTGGACTTTAGTGTGGCCATTGCCCAAATCGTGTATATTGTACCCAATCGGCAATTTTCTTATCCCCCACCTCCCTCCCACTTTCCCACCCTTCTGTGTCTCCAAAGTCTGTGATTCCACTCTGTACATCCATGTGTACACATTTTTCAGCTCACACTTCTGAGTGAGAATATGCAGTGCTTGACTTCTTGGTTTTGAGTTGTTTCAGTTAAGATAATGGCCTCCAGTTTCACCCCGGTTGCTGCAAAAAACATGATTTCCTTCTTTTTATGGCTAAGGAGTCTTCCATGTATACGACACTTTCCTTATCCAATCATTAGCTGACGGACACTTAGGGTGATTCCATATCTTTGCTATTGTGAATAGTCCTGCAATAAACATACAAGTTTAGGTATCTTCCTGATATAATGATGTTCTTTGGGTAGATACCCAGTAACTAGATCAAATATTAGTTATACTTTGGTTCTTTGAGAAACCTATTACCTTTTATTTTCCATTCTAGAATATATGTTTCATAGGAGCAGGAGTTTTTGTCTTTTTTGGTTGACTTACATATCCCAAGCACCCAGAATCCTGGTGCGTAGTAGACACTAAATATTTGTTAAATAAATGAATAATTTTCCAGTATGGCATGAGGCTTGGCATTGAGGTCACCCCAAAATCCCTCAGCAACAACAATTCTGTTTTGTTTCTCTAGCCTGATGTGATTTGGGAAGACTAGGAGTCCTTTTCCATTTTCAGATTTTCTCTGGAGGCCTCCACACACAAATACCATGACAGTATTTGTACGTCTATTTTAAATGATCTTACTTTAAATATAGAACACAAGTCTTCTATGAAAAATTTGAATTTAATATTTTAAAAGCTTTTTTCTCTTTCTCAATACCAAGAATATACTTAGAGAAAAATATACTTCATTTTTATCAAATAAAAATAAACTCTTGTATATAGACTCATGCATGTATAAACACTGTTGAGTCTTCCAGCATGCAGTCCAACGTTATTTACATTTTCCAAGGATGAAATGTAAAATTTTATGGTTTGGTCTTTCTGCTTAGCACATGTTCAACAAAAACAAACAAACAAAGCAGATACTTAAATCTCAGGCTGGGAAAAAGTAGATAAGATTTACCTATTTTCAGAATAACAATGTTACATTGTAAATGTAGCCAGACTTTTGGGACAGGCATAGGCATAGACAAAACTATTGATTTTCTAGTATTAAATTATTGCGATGTCTTCACCTCCTTCTCATCACTAAGATGACTTACTCTGAAAACTCAAGCTTGAAAACGTTGAGGCTTTCTCCCAGGAGAAAAGGTCTTGTTTGCAGTGGGTTGGTGTGTGCTGTGGGCACCTGGATGGACAAGGCAATGACTCAGAGAGAAGTGTGGAGTCTAAGAGTGAACGAGAAAGAGGCACTCAGAAAACAACAACAACAACAAAAACTTCCAGCTTTAAGAACTGGGGAAGGGATGAACCATAAAGCAGGAAAACTTCCTAACTGGAAGTTTATGCCGGAAGTGAGTGTTACAACTTTCAGAGGCAACTGACTATGTACACATTCTGCCTCCGTGCCCTTGTTTGGGAAAGTAATCCAAATTCAGGCATTTTGAGCTGCTAGCAGCTTCTCTCCTTCTGTGATAAGCCCATTGGCTTTCCTTTGTCCTGGCCAGTCCCTTAGGAATAGTGAGTTAGGCGAAAAGATCATTAGCGAGCCATTTTACGTTTTCTCATTTTATAGTCCTCATAAAAACACCAGGAGCCAGTCGTTGGCGGGCATTTGCTCTAAGCCAGGCAGTGGTCTCACGGTTCCCACGCACGCACGTCAATCTGAATCCCCACAGCCACTTCCGCTTTCTCCCCACTGCGCATCAGCAGGGAGCTCAGAATAGAAAGGAACTTCCATGGGCAGCTGGGATGTGGCGGATCTAGAATTTAAGGCCAGGTCTATTCTGACTGACAGAACCACACCTTTTTTTTTTTTTCTTTTCCTGCTGAGTGCCTGCTGCACGCCAGGGACCACTGGAGGCATTTCCATACACATAATCTTGGTCATCCTCACGGCAACACTAAGAGGGAGACACGGCTATTGTTTCCATGCTTCCATTTTAAAGATGGAAAATGAAGTTCGGCAAAAGTCTATATTTTGTCCAAGGGAACTGTGGAATGGGAAAGGGGTAAAGGCAAGATTTGAACCTGGGCAATGAGTCTCTAGAACAAAGGCTACAGTCTTTGTTTCTGTGTGCTTCTGACCAGCTCAGGTTTTTCTTTCCTGGGAAACATTTATAAAATATGATCGATCATATCTATGGACACGGAAACACTTTAAAAAATTTTAAATTAGAGATCTTTCAAGTCACATTATTTTATCGTAATCCAAAACTCAACTAAACTAATAATGTGGCTGATAATATTCTTTATTATTTGGAAATTCATAAACACGCTTCTATATAACCCGTGGATCAAAGAGAATATTAAAACTGAAATTTAAAACCATTTAGAAACATATAAGAAAGGAATATTTTATTTTAAAACCTATGGAATCCCCAAAAGCTCAACTCAGGGAAAAACTCTGTATTGGCAGAAATGCCTTCACCATTAAAGAAGAAAGACTAAAAACAAAGGAGCTGAATACACATGATAAAAATTTCAAAACAAAACATGAAAGTGTGAAGACAGAATGTATCGCTAAAACTAACATGTAAAATAAGGGAAAGTACAAATAAATACACAAACTGATATTCTGAAACCAGAAGTGGCTGAAGAGGCCTGAATTATAGGGCTGCAAGAAGGTCTGCGGAGATCATCTTGCCTAGGTACAGGGGTCAGCAGCTCCGGCGAGGTTTTAACCCTCGCCTTTCCAAATCCAATAGAGAAGCTACAATAAATCCAAATCTGCTGTGACACAAAATAAAACAATTAAAATCTTGCATGGCTATGCTTTTCTCACTTTGGAATAGTGTACGTCAGAGTGGGGCTATGGACTCCTGGAAGAACCTGTATACTAAATACCATGTTGGCTTTTGTAAATAGAATTCTATATACATGCACTAGGGGTTAACCATTCATGGGAATCTGTGCCATATCTAGTTCTAAAGTGCACATCCCTTTCTCCTTCTTCCATCTAGTTTATCTGTTGAAAAGTTGAAATTTTCACTGATTTTATTTTCTTCAGAGTTATACCATATTTAGTGACTACTTTCTGGGTCAGTTCACCTAGATATGACAGGTCTGAGACTTAAGTGGTTAGTTAGGTTGAACTGCTAGGAGTGGTGTGGGCTCTGCTGTTACCTTATTTAATTCATGGCAAAGGTGTGGAGGGGAGTATTCATTTACAACCAAAAAGGACTGGCAACTGCACTCAGTCACAGTGAATTGCTGGAATTACAAATGGTTCCCAACTTATGATGGTTCAATTTAAAGATTTTTTGACTTTATGATGGTGTGAAAATGATAGGTATTCAGGAGAAACCGTTCTTCGAGTACCCATCTGTGTTAGTCCGTTTTCACGATGTTGATAAAGATATACCTGAGACTGGGCAATTTACAAAAGAAGAGGTTTAATGGACTCATGGTTCCATGTGGCTGGGGAGGCCTCACAATCATGGCAGAAGGTGAAAGGAACGTCTCACATAGCGGCAGACAAGTGAAGTGTGAGAGCCAAGCAAAGGGGTTTCCCCTTAGCACTACCATGAGAACAGTATGGGGGAAACTGCCTTCATGATTCAATTATCTCCCACTGGGTGGCTCCCACAACATGAGGGAATTATGGGAGCTATAATTCCAGATGAGATTTGGGTGGGGACACAGCCAAACCGTACCACCATCCAACCACTGTTTTTCACTTTCAGGACAGTATTCAATAAGTTACATGAGATATTGAACACTTTATTATAAAATAGGCTTTGTAGTTTTGCCCAACTGTAATGTTCTCAGCACATTTAAGGCAGGCTAGGCTAAGCCCTGATGTTTGTTAAGTTAGGTGTATTAAGTGCATTTTGACTTAGGATATTTTCAGCTTATGATGTGTTTGTCCTAAATTGAGGAGCGTCTGTATTCTTAAAGGTTTTTGGCAGGCTTAAAGAGCTTGCCTTATACCATTGACCAGTAAGGTATACATGAGAAACACATACCTTTACGTAATTAATGAGTTTCTGATAAACTGTGGAAATCTTTACTGTCAATGAAATCAAGTTGTAAATACAGGAACAATTTTCAGTGTTCATGGGAGTATCTATATTGATCTGTCTTCTGAAAACTTGTTTATATGAGATTTGCTTAAATCAGATTTCAAAAACGTAAGATAAGACTTCACCAGTATTTTACGGTTACGGAAGTAATATAGTTTGACTGAAAACAGATGGGATAGAGTTTCATGGCATATATTAATAACTTCGCTATAAAATAGAGATATTTAATGTGTAAACTTGCTTTTATATGGGGAGACCATTTTAACTGATGCCCCTATAAAATGATCTCCCTTTAAGAAATACAGAAATCTGTGAATACTGAATATAAACATCCTGCCTTAGAGAATAAAGCACACACACACTGTATATATGTAAACACACACATATATATGATATAAAGCACACTATATATATGTGTGTGTGTGTGTGTGATATCTAGCTGCTTTTCATCCGTTTTATAATCCATGTGTGTGAAATCTATAAAACGAGCCTAAATCCTAGCTATTAAAGCTGCCTCTAAGGGCTTCTACGAGTAGTGATGGAAGTGAATTAATTGGGTCCTTTGAGTGCAGTCATGCTGAACACAGTCATGGAGAGATATACACAGCAGCCAACGGGAAGGTGGCAGCATGAGCAGCTGGCTTCCTCTTCCTGGGTGGACCTCAATCCTAAGTGGCCCTGTGAATGGGCTCATGTTCAGTTCTGGGCAGTAAATGGGCAGAGGCACCTGGGCTGAATTCGGGCTCTTCAGGGGTTATGCTCACTCTGTGATCACTCATGGGTCGTTGTGCTTACTATATTCCCAAAATAATAAAATTACCAAGTTTACCTGTTTCAGGGAGAGGGTTAGAAAAGCTTAATCAAGGTAGTTAAAAAAACAGAAGAGGGTTTCACTCTAGCCTATCACCAGATGACATTTACAAAAACAAGTAGACTTTGGGAATTTGTAGCAAGCATCATTTGTTGTTGATTCTTAAAAAAAAAAAAATTAGTGAACGTTTTACCCAAAAAGGGTGATTCTAACATTGATATGTTGAAAACCTAGGAAATCAGACTCTTTACCAGTACAATCTGATCGGAAAGATGGGTCAGATAACCCTAGTCTGTAGACGTATAAAGTGCCATTTGTTAGACTCCAAAAATTAGAAGGCAATGAAATGTGATCAATAGGGACAACTTGCAGCTTTAAGATAATAAGATCAGCACTTCCTGCACACTGTGAGACTCTACCGTAGTAACCCATCTAAGGGGTCCTTTTGCCACTTAAGTTCTAAATTTGCTTGAATACATTTATATCCATTTCATTCTTCACTGAAAGTATGGATAATGCTAACAGGTTGGGATATTTTAAGACCCCAGGAATCTTAAACCCTGTTTACCCCTTCTAACTAGACCAGTTTCCCCAGACACAATGCCACTTCTTCTAGTTAACTCCAGAAACAAGAAAAAGGCATTTATAGGAAGTATTCACATTTAAATTAAGGTGATTATATCATGATTTGTTTGTCAATTACATAAGATTATCAGATAAAAATTACAGTAATTTTTAGCTTGGTTTTAGTTGTTCAATTCCAAGTTTTTAATCAAGCAAGAGAATTGCTCAGAATGCACACGTTAATCTTGCCTAAACTTCTGGGATCAAATGGGTTGAATCCAAGTTAATGATGTTCCTTTATATTTCTCAGTGTACCTGTGGGAAGGCCTTTATGTTTCAGATGGAAAAAAGCAGCAGCAGCTCAATGGTAACTATGATATAATTGTCTTAAAGCCACCCTTTGTTTCCTGTATTTTGCTGAAATGCGTTTCTTTGTGACTCGTGTTAAGAGGTGGATTAGGGCTATGTCAGTTACATGCAATAAAACAAGCTGCATCCTTGCATCAAGATGCTCACACAAGGACCAGAGATCTGCTGTCAGTCGTTTTGGGAAGGAAGGGATACACAAAATCGACATGGAATGTGCACATTATTTACCCACTGGAAGCTTTCTCTCTTTGATTCCCCAGGAGCCGTCCACCATTGGTGTGTGGCTGGATTATTGCTTCTGCTCCCTGCCAGGTGGTGCAGCTTCTTGCAAATGCAACCTTCCAGGTGTCCCTTCTGGCCAGTTCACCACTAGTGCACATACTTGGGCTGGGGCCAATTGGGTCCTTTACAAAATGACCAGTATGACATGGAAAGCAAAACCCACAAATACTTTAATGCCACTTAGCCTTGGTGTATTCTTTTTTAAATTTGAATTTTGCCTTGTTACATTAGTGGTGTCTTTCAGCCTGAGGTTCTCTGGGCTCAGCAGATGAATTTCTTATAATAAGTAGAAAGTAAAATTGAGATTTATTATGGATGTTTCAAATCAGGAAAGTTTAGGGCAGGACAAGCACAATATTCCCGGGTAGAGATCTCTGGAAATTTCCAGTGGAAATCTCTATACAGATAGGAGTGTTGGAGGGAGGAGAAAAGTAAGCTTTCATGCCACCAGTAAGTCATAATAATCTAACTGGATACCTGGAGTCAAGTGAGGAGACAGTGATTTGAATTCAGGAGACTTGCAAGGGTTAGCTCCCAGGCTGTACTCATTGACTGTACTTGGAAACAATAAAACCCTTATCAATTACTATTTACATGTATCTTTCACCATCAGGAAAATCATGCCAGTGCCAAGGAGCTCTGGAGTGGGGGAGGAGATCCTCCTTTGTTGACCTTTCCTTTGTTGATGATGGCAATATTAGTGCAGCATGTAAGCATAAAGTAATTAAACCCCAATTTCTGAGCCAAATAAAATGAATATGGCCACGGGATTATGGAAGATATGCTGCTCGTCTGAACTGCCCCTTCCTTTAACTCCCAGTCTGAGAGTTAGCACCGGGTGTCTCTGGCTCACTAATCAGTCCTATAGAGAACAAACACAGCTGAAAAAACAAGGTCGCTCATCTTTTGGCTTCTGTGAGTTATTTTCCTCATAAGGGTTCATTTCAAAAGATTTAATATACCAAGTTCTACTTACGTCTCCCAATTGGCTGCTCTTGCAGACACTGGGTAGACTGTGTGTGTGCCAGCCACCAGGCCTGACTCAGTCTAGACGGGAGCCTTCTGTAACCTACAGTCCTTGAGAAGCCACGGTGCTTCTATCATGAGGCATCAGCGGCTGAGGAGGCCTGATCCCTGCATCAAACTTTCTCTCTCCTTTTTCTGTTCTGCACTTGAACAAGAGAAGCTCAGGGACAAAAAGCATTGTCTCCTCATTAAAACCTGTGCAAAAGTCAAGATCTGATGTCAGAACACTTCACCCATGTGAAAGAACCCTCCCTCCCTCCCTCCCTCCTTTCCTTCCCCTTCCTCCCTCCCTCCCTCCCTTCCTACCTTCCTTCCTTCCTTTCTCTTTCTGTCTTTTCTTTCTTTCTCTCTCTCTTTCTTTCTTTTCTTTCTTCCTTCCTTTCCTTTCTTTTTCTTTTATTTTCTTTCTTTCTCTGTAAAGAGAAAGGAATCAGTTCTCCAAGTCCCTGGATTAAATGAGCCATTTTAATCCTTACTTCTGAGATAAATCTGGAAGAGCCAACATTTCTTTCTCCTGTAACTGCATCGAACCCCTTGTATACATGCCAAGGCCTATTATAAAAATTGGGTTATCAAAATTTAAAATGTTTGCAAGAAAAAGATTCCAGAGTAACAGATGAAGAGCTACTTATTTCAAGCAACATGAACAATACACATTTTAAACATCACATAGTAATTCGTGTAGGCACTGAGGTAGTATCATGGTGAGATAAACTCAGTGGCAATTTTGGCAGCCCTTGCGAGACTTGTATACCCATTTGTACAAAAGGTGTCCATAGAAATCAGGGTATACCATCTTTTATAATTTCAGCCCCCAGCCAACCCTTTTTATCCAGAATGTCCCTCTATGACCTCTTTCTATTTAAAAGCTTTAAACCAGACTTTAGTTCTCTTAAAGAAGTATTTTCTGTCTTTTAGGCTTATTATTCTTATTGAAATATAATTATCTCACACTGCTTTTATTTAATTCTTAAAACACAGTCTCAAACACAATTGATATATTTGACTTGTAAAAGTTTGGTGAAAGTGTTGATTATTTAAACAGAACTCATTGTTGTGTTCTAACTTGCATCTGTTTTTAAGAACTGAAAACTGTTTCAGCACTCTACAAATGCCAATGGATTTCTACAGTGACTTGGTATTTTTTAATGGCAACATCTTTGAAATATACTTCTGTGTCATAACACAGCAGTGTTATATAATAGAGTTAATATTCACATGGTTATCCTAAGAACTTAGTATTGATTATATAATCTCAGCAATACTTTTTAACACCAGTATCTTCATGGCTACATACGGCCATTATGCAGAGCTTATTTTCAGGAGATAATTAATGTTTTTCTTTTTATTAGTGAAAATCTCCGCTTGGGTTTTACTTTAATGAAGAAACACACGTTTCTGTCATTGAAGAGAAGCCTTAAAAAAAAAAAAAAGAAACACACATAACCCCTTTCTCAGATAGAATGGATTCTTCACACCTATTTGAAATATTGTTTTAACCATTTGCATCTCATCAAAAATATTCTAATTAAAAACTAATTTTATTTACAATTTAAAAATTATAACGAATTCTAATTTAAAAATTAAAAACTATTCTGATGTTTATTAAATAAATAATGATATAACCTATACTGGTTTTTACTTGCTTTAAAACATAACGTGATAATACAACTGCAATTTGTTTTACAATTAATTGGTTGGAATTAATAAAAATAATTTAAGGGAGTGAAGGATAAGAGACTACAAATTGGGTTCAGGGTATACTGCTTGGGTAATGCGTGCACCAAAATCTCACAAATCACCACCATAGAACTTACTCATGCAACCCCTACCTGTTTCCCAAAAACCAATGGAAATAAAAAATAAATAAAAACAATTTAATTGAAACTGAAGATCTAGGAATATTAGTGGCAGCTAAAGTTGTTTTTATCATCTTGGTCTGTTTTCAAGGCTGTCCCCTATGAAGTATTGACTTTCATAATATTTTTAAAACCAGAATTATAATGGCCTTTTATTTTAGGTTTGACTATAACAACACTGTAAGAAGCTATCCCTTACTTTGGTCAAGATGTCTTAACATCAATAGTAATGGAAATTTGTAATCAGCTGGCATTCAGGTGACAGGAAGGCCAGCAATTATTGAGTGCCTATTGTGTGCTGGCCTTCATTAAAGGCTATGAATAGTTGGAGAGGCAGTCTCCCTGATGTCAAGCTGTTTAAAATGGAGCTGTCAATGCAAATTACATGCGCATTAACTTTCTTAACAAGAGACTTACCCCAACATGTTGATATGTGCAGATAAAATACATAAGTTCCAGGAGTCTAGACAACAAAGCTATGATGAATTGGGGATGAGAAAAATTGAAGGAGGTTTCCTGGAAATACAAACTAAAGACTTGTAGTGAGGGACTGCGGGGGTGGGGGGCCGGGAGCATGTGAATAAATGCCTGGAAGCTGAACTCCATTTTAATGACACCAGGTAGTAAATAAAGTATCCTATTAGAATGGAGAGAGTTTGTGTGATATGACACATCACACCTGAATGACATTTACATTAATTTGCTAGCTATTAAATGGAAAAAGTCTGATATGTAAAACGCACATAATTTTATTGAGCTTGGGAACAATAAACACTTGCTTATGATTTATTTTGCTATGCATTTTAAATAAGTTACAAAAATTAAAATCACGGTAAAGGGAACGTGCATTTTGGTAGACATCTGTATAAGTAGATGAGTTTAACATTTAGTTTTCTTTGCTTTTATATATTCATAAAGAAAGGTTATTATTTAAAAAAGGAAACAGGGTTTTCAAGAATCAATGATGTGAAATTTACAACTGTAAGCACTAATATCCACAGTTGTAAACTAAAATCAGTTAAGACACAGATTTGCATATTTACCAAAAAGTTCATAAAATATTAACCATGTTAGTTACAAACCTAGCTCTTAGGTTATTAAAATGGGTGCATGGCTAAATTATCATGAAGAAATTTCATACTTTTTAAAGGAAAATCCTCATTTCAAAATTTCTTAGGCTGTACCTAGACGCATGTTTTTAAGAACATAAAATCCAAATTAACAATCAGGCAGGTATTGTTTCCTCTATAAATAAATGTGAGGCATAAATACTAAAAGCAATACAGAATTAACTTGATTTAAAAATAACAACATATAGAAGAATGTTTGGAGAATTTAAATATACTTATGGTTGTATAGGTCCACTAATTTAAAGTTTCATTAGCAATACAAAACTCTTGATTATTTTCCTTGGTAAAAGGCACAGACAAGTGTTTTATATTCTTTTAAAATGATGGTCATCATTATTTTGGCACCTGGTGTTAACTACCCTCTTAATATTCTTTTAGTTTTTTTTTTTTCTTTGCAACGTGGGCTTGGAATTTCCTCAGCTGAAAGTAAGGAAAATTGTTTATTTTACCAAGAGCACTGCAACATTGTGAATTTCTGCCATCGCTCTTCCTCTTCTCCTAATAATGACAGTATGCTTAAGTTGAGCTATAGTATAATAACCTTTTGTCATGTAACTATATTGCAGTCTTTATGGGAACTATCAGAATGCAGTGTTCCCTCCGTTATGGGCCGGTGCGTTTATTCACAAAAGGTTTGGAGTAACAAAAGTGTAGTGTCACAGCCCTCTCCTCCTTCTGATATATCAGTAAAGAAACTCAAAGGGAAGGAAAGGAATCCGCAAGCAGCGCGTTCTCCAGGCGCAGCAGCCACCTGAGCACGGGTGAGTGACAGACCCTGTATGTCTGCGCCTTTGTCATTAAAGTCTTCACCTAAGCAAAGTTCATGAAGAAAAGAAAGTGGCTGAATGCCTCTGAGACTTACAGTAACAAACGTGGACACCAGTATGAAGGAGGGAGATCATGTATGAAAATTTCAGAGCTAATCAGTAAACTCCATCCTCAAGTTGTTTTCTTTTCCGTTGTTATGCCTTGTGATTTTTAATTTGTCCAGGAAAACGTCCCTTCCAGCAAGCACTTGGAGAAAAGGACGAAAGGTAAACAGGAGGTTGATTCTGGGAAAGGGTTAATGAAAATTTTAAAGTTTGCCTCCTGATTTAATAAGGGCTCCCAGGACAAATATTTGGGGTTTCCCACCCTGTCTCCTGCGCCCGCAAGGGGGCTTATGGGCAAGTTAAATGTATATTTTCTTGGAACTGAAAAATAGATTTAGTAACTCCAAAATGCAAATAAAGAAACTTAAATGACAAGGAGAAACAATTTTGCGTGTAAAGGAATAAACAATAAACACTTGAGGAGAAACTCGACTTCCCTAAATGTGTGGGCAGCCCTCAGACCCTTGCTGCCTGGTCCAGTCGCGAAAGCACAAACTCCGGACTCGCAGCAAAGTAACCGGAGTGGACTCTGCACGGCTGGAGAAGCGTCAAGCCGGGAGGCTGCCGGCAGCCTGGCTCAACCATTGCAGTTTTTTTCTTTGCCGAAAAAATTCAGAAACAAGGGCAGCGCCCCTAAGGTAAGAGTCACAGGAATCATTTTCTTCTTCCACAAATGTAGGGATTCTGACCTAGTGAGTGCCAAGTCTGATGCCCGTTACACGCGACACTCAGAATCTGCCCGGCAATCGCGGAGACGTCTGTGGACTTTACTGGGGGAGGGGAGCCCCAGCATGTCCTTTGCATCCCAACTGCTCAGCTTGGTGCAAATACAAAAGTGTTATTTTCCATTGGGGGGAGTTTGGATGGGAGTCGGGGAAAGCATCGACTAGTGAGGAATCTGGAGCACGCTTCAAAATAAACATGTGAAACTGGATAGAAAGAAGAAAACGTGGAGGGCGAGAAATGGCCCCGGGACCCGGGGCACACCGGGAGCCCAGGGCCCTGGGTCAACCCAGTTGCTGCACTGTAGCGCACGCCTGGCGCTTGGGTGACCGTTTTGCCCTTCGTGAAAGCTGAGCTTTGGCGCGTGTGCTCCACTCCGGGGAAGGTGACCTCGTCCAGGCAGTCCGGACAGCCCGTGCCACCGTGGAACAGCACAGCCACCGCCCCTCCTCGGACCCAGCGCGCCATGGTGGCCCCGCCGCGCGTGCCTGCCCGAACGCGGACACCTGTGCATCTGTGTGCGCTCTTGCGCTCCAACTTCCCCAAACTTCTGGCGGCTCCTAGTTCTGAGCGCCCATTGGGCGGCTCATTTCCCTTCAGTGGCAACTGCCTGGATTCATGGCTACGGAAGGGGGTGGGGGTGTCCAAGAGAGCCGCATATGGCAAGGCGGTCTCAGGGTTTGGGGCAATGATCGCACAGTCTTGCTCATTTTTGGCCACAGTTTGCCCTTTCCGTTCTCTAACCCCAACCAAGGCAAACTGGGCTTGTGCACACGAAGTTCGTTTTAAAGTGAGTATGCGAAAGGGAGTCCTGGGGAGGAACCGTATTTCAAACCCTAGTTTATGGGAAACACTGCGAGTTGATTTAAACTCCAACCAAAGGTCCGAGTTGGAACTCTCTCCCGGGAACTCTGACTGAGCACAGCTGGGTCGGAGCTGCTGGCCCGCTACCAGGAGGATTCCCTGGCTCGGGCAACGGGCAGGCCGACGTGGCTCGCCCAGCAGCGCACAGCTGGAGCAGCTGCAGGACTCAGGATTTAGAATCCGAAACACCGGACCCAGATGTGACAAGGCAGGGCAGAGACGCAGCGGTTGCTCTGTCCGCCCGCCCCGGCCCCGGGTGCAGGCGGCGCACAGAGGATCACTCGGGTGCGGGAGCCTGGCGCAGGGGCCGAGTCCCGCGGGGCGCGCTACGTGGGCGCGGAAGGCGGCGGCGGCGGCGGCGGCGTGGGGAGCGCCTGCTCCGCCAGTGGGCGTCTTCTGCCGCCGCCGCCACCACCGCCTCCACGGGCAGCGGCACTGCGGCGCTTTTCTCCGCTGCTTTCGAGAAGCCGCCGAGGCTCAGCCGCCGGAGCGCGCACACACCACGCCACGCCTGCAGGGAGGGTCTCCGCCGTCCCTAGCCCCGGCCCGGGAGGACGCCGATTGTGCGCGCCTGAGGGTAGCCAGGCGCCGTCGCCGGGGCCTGGCCCCCAGGCCCGGGTCCTCCCGCAACCCAAGCCGAGCACAATGTGAAGACTAGACTGGGAGGGAAGCCGAAGACCGGAGAGGAGGACCAGGCAGCGGTTCGGGCGGCCGGCAGGGGTGGGCAGGTCCTGCGGGGGCGGAGCCCACCGAGCCCCGGCCCGCCGCGCCCCTCCCGCCCGCGGCCTGCCCCTCCGCGGCCCGGGGAGGAACCATGGCCAGCCTCGAGGAGCCTCTTGCTCCCCGCCCCCAGGGTCCCCTGCCAGCGGCCGGGGACGAGCCGGGCTGCGGCCCCGGCAAACTCCGCCCGGAACCCCGGCTCAGCGCGGCCGGCGGGGGGAGCGCGGCGGGCCCGGGCCCGGCCCCCGAGTGGCCTGGCCGTGGCCGGGCGGAGCGCGCCGCGCCCCCGCGCCCGCCCCTCTCCTCCGCAGGCCGCCCCAGCCCCGCTGGGGGCCCCGGCGCCCTCTCTGCGCGCGGCGGCGGCTGCGGCTGGGTCGCGGCCCGCGCTCCCTTGGCGCTCGCCTTCTCGTCCCGGGTCCCCTCCTCCTCTCCATCTTTCTTTTACTTCTGGCCGCCGCCCCCCCCGCCCCCTCCCTCTTTTCTCCCCTCCTCATCTGCCTTTCACCTCCCCGTGCGTCTCCCAGGAAGGGAGGGCGCAGCGGCGGCGGCGGCGGCGGGAGGAGGCGGCGATGCTGGCGGAGGAGGAGGAGGAGGACAAGAGGCAGCTCCCTTGAGCGTCCCCACCAGCAGTAGTCACCGCGGCGGCGGTGGCAGCGGCGGCGGGCGGCGGCGGCTCTTCCTCTCGCCTGCGCTCCAGGGCTTGCTGCTTCCAGCCCGTGCCGGTCCCCGGCCGCCGCCGCCGCCCCGGCTCCCCCTTGGCCAGGCCGCCCGCCGCGCGGGCTCCCCCGGCTTCCCCGGCGCCGGCCCAGGCGGCGGCGGCCAAACTCCGCGGCGTCCCCAGGGCGCCAGCTTCGCCCTCGCCGCCGCGGCCGCGCTGCTCTTCGGCTCCGACATGGAAGATGGACCTTCTAATAATGCGAGCTGCTTCCGAAGGCTGACCGAGTGCTTCCTGAGCCCCAGTAAGTGGCCTGCTCCCCGTTCCCCGGAGGTGGGGCGGCTCCTCATCCCCTGGGGGCAGGTGGGGGGCTTGGACTGCTGGGTGGGAAGCGGGTGTCGAGCGAGGTGCCCGTGCCCGGGCGTGGAGCGCCCAGGGGGCTTCTCTGGAGGGGCAGGAGCCGGTGCCCCTGGCGGAGCGCGGGAGCGTTCGGCCGCGCAGGGACGCCGGGGTTTCCCAGGCTCCGCGAGCGCTCGGGGGAAGGGCGGCTCGGGAGGGCGGCGGGAGCTTGGACGTTGCGAGCGGGACCTGCCGCCTCCTTCTCCGCCCCTCGTGCCGTTTCTGGCCACACTTGTCCGGCGCGTATTTATACTCAACTTTGTGACCACTTAGGTTCCTCCCTCTTGAGCCTGTGGCCACTTGGCTGGAGCAGATGCGCTTCCTTCCACTTGGGGGTCCAGCCCACCGGGTCCCTGTAGCCGGGGTGAGGGAGGCCAGGGCCTCAGAACCCCGCGCTTCCAACTGTGATGGCACCGCCGTTCTCCAGGACTCGGAGTGGGCGCCCGGCCTCCCACCCCGCGCAGTGACCGGCATCCAGAGCATGGACTGGCGGGGTGGAAACGGTTGCACCTCCACCCAGGGGACGCACCCCCACCCCGGGCCGCGTCCTGTTGGTCCCGGGCTTCTCTGGGGTCCGGGGTGGTAGAGAAAAGGGAAGGACAATAGGTCGCTAGGGTGGAAGAGAAAGGCGCCGCCGCCTCCGACTCGCAGGATGCGCCCCCGGGCCCACTGTGGCGTGGCCACTCCTCCTCGCCACCCGCGGGCGCGGGGCCGAGAGCGCGCTGAGGCAGAGGTGGCAGAAAGGCATGTCACGGGGGTGGGGGACAAGATTGAGCAGAAAAGTCAAGGCAGGGGTTCGCTAGAAGGAAGCAGGCAGGCGGGAGACAGTGAGGAAAGAGGAGGCGCCCGGTGCGCAGAGGAGGGGGGCGTCGCGGTCGCGGATGGAGGGGGAGCAGGGTGAGGACGGGAAGACCGCGGCGGGGCCGGGTAGGAGCACCTCCGGGTGCAGGAGGTCGCGCCCATGGGCCCCCGCCCGACTCCGGCGCCAGTCGGGGCGGGTGCGGCTTCCCGCGGCCCAGAGCGCGGCTCCGGAGCCACCGTCCACCGCGTGTGCACCCGAGCCTTTGTCTGCGCCTCGCTCAGGAGCCGCGTTTCCGCGGCGCCTTCTCTGGGCCGACGCTCTTCCAGGATTGCTGTTTCGGTTTCCCGCTCCCAACTGCGGCTCATTCCCAGGCTTTGGCCGACCCGGGTCTCCAGGGCACCCGAGGTTGAGCCCCTCCCTGCGGCCGAAGCTGCTCCGGGCTCACCGCCCGCTCAGGCACCTTTGGGGTGCAGCCCCCGGGCTGGCGAGCGTATTCGCGCCGGGATCGGCCGCTCCTTGCAACCCCGCTTCCCGGGCACGGGCGAGTCCACGGCGGCCGCGTGGTCAGCGGCCTCTCGTACACCCGTGCGGGCTCCGGCTAGCGAGTCGCTGCTTGCGCTTGATTGGCTAGCGGGGCGCGGGCCCAATGCTCCCGAAGTCCTCTGACCCCTAAGTCCTCCCCCCCGGTGTCTGCCTCCCACCCCCGCTGCAGTCTAGGTGGGGAAGGGGTGTGGAGATGGGTGTGCATGGACAGAGCATGTGGCCTTCTCTGTTGGCCAGAGATGTGGTCAGTAGAAGCACTTTTCCCTACTGAAGTGCCCTTTGGCCATGCATTGAAGGTGGTAGAGGATGGGGCCCCACCAGCTCTCCCGGGGTGTTGGCATCAGCCTATAGGCCTGGTCTAGGACTGGGGTTCCTCCTGGTCCCCTATCTGGTGGGCTTGTGAATTCTTTCTTAAGAAAATAAACATCTGCTTTTCTCAGTTGACCTTTGATTTGGGGAAGGGGTTGAAGAACGCTCTATCTTGCAGTGACAAGCTGCTCTGGGGGAAAGGTGGTGCTACTGAGGCACGGGATCGTAGGCTTCTGGAAAAAGCCCGCGGTCCTGAAATGATGGGGCTTCTGTTGGTGCTGCTGAAACTGCTGTTGGCTCGTGTGTTCAGGGCCCTGCTGGATGTTGTGGAGGGGAAGAAAGATCGCAGCTCTGGATAGAGGGTGGAGTCCTCTCGGGATTCGTAGCAGGCTCTCCCTTTAGGAACACAATACCTGGAGAGGAGAAGGGTCTACTCTGCAGAAAGGCCCAGCTAGGAGAAGCTGGTGCATCAGAGAAACCAGACTCATCAGGGAACTTTCAAGAAAGGCCCCCTCGCCCCACACCTTGCCCTGAGCAGTAGCTTTGGCCTTGAACAGGAGCAAAAGGTTAGAACAGTCTTATTTGGGACATGACTGAGGTAGTAAACAAGAAGATACTTTTAAACAAAATTATCAGACCCACTTCACTCAAGCTTGGGAAGGGGATAGATTATTAAAAGAGAGTAGCCAATTTCTGCTCTGACACTCTTTACTTTTTGGGTCTTTGTTTCTGTCTGTTGCTGCCTGACAAGCCACTGGTCTGAATTGCTAAAGTACTGAAGTTTGACAGATTTTTCTGATATGTATCGTTTAAAAAATCAGTCTTTTGAAAAAGAATTTCTAGATTCTTTAAAAATTTTAGAATGGCCAAATGCATACAAATGTGTCTAATTGTTGAGTGTCATTCCTTTTTTTTTTCTTTCAGTTTGATCTTCTGTTGGTCTGATATGCAAGTTGTCACGTAAAGGCTGTTTTGTCCAGTTACTGTTTGTATGAATGCTGGTTTTATTTTTATTACCATCGAAAGCAAATCATGTGTAGAGGGTATGATATGCCAGCTCCGCTTCTGTCCATTTTAGCTCTGCGTTTTGGCTCTTCACACTGACCGGCTGGTTCGCTCACTCATGCACCAAACAACACTTAGTAAGAGCTACCGCCAGGACCCAGGACCCAGGCCCCAGAGACAGAAAGAAAGAAAGAAGCCTAGTAGAAGCTACGAAGCTGCTGTGGGAGCTTCCCACTCTGCCATCCAGTAATAGAGACAGAGTCCCCTAGAAGCACGTTTGAAGTTAATGCCCAGGGGTCAGTGGCCACCATGCCCAGTGCCCTTACTCTGCCCTTATCAGGCCATTCCTGACTTCACCTCATCTCCTGCCATCTGCCTCTAGTTGCTGATCTCTGGCCTCCTCCTCAGGCACCCAGCTTCATGCTTTCTTGTGAGCAAAGTTGCCATCGGAGTAGGAAAAACTCTTGTGCCTAGAGAGCCCAGTGTTTGCTTGTGCAATGGAGAGCGGAGAAGTCACGTGGGACAGACCAGTGTGAGTGGCATTTGGTCTTCTAGAAAAGATAACATAGGTTGTCTGCGCAGGTGATCAGTGTGGCTGCCCTGATGTAACACGGCTGCAGGGCGTGCAGAGATCAGGAACTCTGAGGCACGCCTGTGGATAAGGAGAACAGTCAGAAGCCACAAATACGCCCGCACCTCTCTCTGTTTGTGTTTCCCTGGTTAGCTACTCTGATGACATAAAGAGATACAGACAAAGGAAAACCCCGGCTGGTCAAGGAGGATACTGAGAAAGTTAGCAAAATAAGATGGGAAAAAAAATGGTGAATGCAGACTGCGGATAGCTTCAGACTACAGTTGATTGCCAAATATTCAAAACAGGAGATGTGTATGCTCCCAGGAATTGTGGAGTTTAAATGTGCTCCACACTCATCAGTAACCACTCTTACTGTTTCTTGAGACATAAGATACTGTGTGGCCGACACTTGAACAAACTGAGATAAATATGATCTCTTTTAAGAGCAAATGTGTTTAACACGTACAAACTACACTAGACTCGCCATTAACTTCTGTTTGTGGGCTCAGGGAGACTGAGGTTGTAGAAGAATGCGAGAACAACACTCAGCAGTGGAAATGGGTCTAAATCAGCCAACAGCTAACTCACAGATACTTGTTGAGTATCTACTGAGTGTAAATTGTTTGAGGGAGATTAAAATAATGATAACAGGTACCCCAAAGGACTTGAAATATAGCTATGGACACCTACAAAAATGACCAGCAAAGCAAGGCATGACTTCTTCCGGCAGAGCCAGGGTGTGGACGTGAGTGTCACAGTCCTCCGTGGAAGGGTGACCTATTTTTTGGTAAGGAAATCAGAAAGGACTTAAGGCCAAAGGGCAGAGCTGTTTAAACTGGTGGGATTCTTTAAGTTATTAATACTTAACTTTCAAGAAATTGCACTTTTAATTTTGAGAAACCTGCATGAGAAAATTCAAATGAGAAGCAGAAGAAACATTAGAAGATGGTGTCATCTGCTATCCCAATCAGTATATTAGTCTTAGATCATTTCTGCATGTAAAACTTTTTCCACTCCAATAGGGAAAAAACTCAGTGCAACAGTCAGTCAAGCAAATATTAGGATTTTGTTTACTATACGGCAGGTTAAACATAGTGCGGTGCACATTTCACCAACGAATACATTGTTAATTTTTGTTTGTTTCGAAATAGCTGATGCAATCTGAGAGAAAAAATAATTTTCATGTAAAACGAATATTTTCCCTTAAAAGGAAAACTCTTAGTTGTAATTCAAAACATTTTAATTTCCTTTTAAAATGTAAATTAGGCTCCTCCAGCTGATCATTTCTCTAAGTCTGTCTAAAGGAAAACTCCACAGTGACAGAGGAACTCATAATCTTGCAAGGAAATCAGAAGGTATCCAGTACTCTTGTGTTCTTTGTAGCACTCACCACTTGCTGAAATTATCTTGCTCACTTACTGGCTTATCAGTTTATTGCCTGCTTTCCCTCTCTGGAAAGGAAGCTCCATGAGAGCCTGAGGGCAGTGTCTTTTTTGGTTGTTTCCCTGAGACTGTTAACAGTGGCTGACACACATAGAGAAGGTACTCAAATACTTGTGTTGGAAATTCAAAGATGAAAGCCAAAATAAATCTAAACAGAACAAAACATGGTGCCTGTCTTCAAGAAACCTAGAAATCGATGAGCACTCTTTGAAAGCTTCCTTTGTATGAGCCTCTGTTCTGTGGACTCAGGATTCCAAGGTGTATGAGACAAAATCAGTTATTTCGAGGAGCACACAGATCACAGAAGAGATGGACAAGAGTTCACAGACACGCTCACCCACAGACAGGCTGTAGGGCGCTCTGCAGACAGTGAGAACCAGACGGCCTCTGACTGGGAGGTCCTGGAAAGGTTTCACAAGGTGTGAAGAGGCAGTGCCTTCGCTTTGCGAGAAGCCTGGGAAGGACCTTCTGAGGCCAAGGGAAAGGGATCTTCTGAGGTTGCAGGGTGGAAAACAGCCTGGACAGGTGGTAGGTTGGGGACCCGGGTGATAAGACAGGAGAGAGGATTACTTAGGCTAAGCTAAGGATACTTTACAATGACCCCTCAGACGAGTGTATAGAAACAGCTATGGAAGACAGGTAGAAAGAATCCCCTCTGTGCTGGAGCTGGGATTCTGTGTGACTGCAGGGAGAGGGCTGATCTTGGTGGCAGAGTCCTCGGCACACGAGAAGAGGTAGGAGCTGGACCAGAGATGGGGCCATGCACATGAATGGTCGGGAGAGATACAAGCAGGAGGTAGCAGTTAATAGTCACACATCCAGGTGGCTGGTTGGATAAGGCAGGAGACATCTGACTCCTTAGTTTCTGGATTGGAAAGGTGTGTGTGTGTGTGTGTGTGTGTGTGTGTGTGTGTGTGAGAGAGAGAGAGAGAGAGAGAGTTGGGGTTGGAATGGGAGTAGTTCCATGCCCAGAGAAAAGAGATATCAGAATGGGAAGTATGAGAATTGAGCCCCTACTATGTGTTAAGCAGCCTCCTTGGTAGTAGGGATCGTCTCTGCTTGTATGGTGCCCACACTCTGGTGGTGCAGACAAGAACCAGCCAGGGAAACAAAAAATACCAAGAGAGCTGCACAGCGAATGCACACGGAGAGTGGCCTGTGCAGCTGTGTGGCTCCTTGCCTTGTTCTGTGCAGGTCTCTCTTCACAGGGGCAGTAGAAATGGCCTCTGAGTGACAAGGTGTCATCGGCCATGCAGTTATCTGGGGAAAAGCACCCTAGGCAGAGGGGGCTCACAAGGCAGAGGAGCGGGGTGACGGCCGTGCTGGAGCTGAGCCCACCAGGCAGTGGCAAGTGAAGTGGCAAATGGGCCGGATGAAGGCTTTGTCAGTCAGAGGAAAAAACTGCAGTTTACTCCGCATGAAAGCAGAGGCTTTGGGGAGGTTTTGAGCAGTGGGTGATCCATGGTTTATGATCTCAGAAGCTCATTCTGGCTGCAGTTTGGTGAATGAATGAAGGGAGATGTCGTGGATACAGGGAGTCCATGGATGCTACTGTCATAGTCAAGACAAGAGCAATGGTAACTTGGATCACGGCGATGATGGTAGAAGCAAAATGCCGCGGTGGTTCAGGAGGTGTTTGGAGGTGGCGTGTATAAGACCTGCAGGTGGGTTGGATATGGGGACGTCAAGGGAGAGAGAGGAATCAAGAATCCATGCCTGGGTTTTTGGCTGGAAAGATTGGGTAAATGGTGGGGCTGTTCACTGGGATTGGGATGGGAAGCCTGGAGGAGGAGCACGTGGGGTGCGCAAGGAATCAGGCGTGGCGTTTGGTGGTGTTCAGCCTGAGATGCATATGCTAGGAAGGCAGTTGGATAAACAAAGCCTGGGAGGATTTGATCCAAAGGATCGTTCAAGACTGCAGCATAGAAACTGCAGTCACAGCATCTAAAATCATGGGATTGGATGCCCCAAGGACAGTATATAGATGCCTCAGTGACATTTTGACTCTGAGGGAAATACAGACGGAGTTGGTTAATCAACCATAGCTGGGTGCAATGTAAGTGCCTGGCTGAAGTTTGACACGCGAACGGACGGCCCGCTGGAATTCTGTGCTATGAGCCGGAGTAGAAAGAGAGATTTGGACTCTGCAACACCAAGGTAGTCGTTGAAGCCACAGTCGTGAATGGAGACCAGGAGTGAATAGTGGGAGTGAGCAGAAGTCGGAGGATAGGACAGAAGAAGGCAGAGCCATGGAGCACCCTGGAGAGGTGTGACCCGGCAAGATCCTGAGATGGAAGGTAGCACGGCCTGGAGTTCAGAAGCGGAGCCTCAAGAGGGAAGAAGCCAGATGCTCCAGAGAGCAGGTGAGTTCCAGCAGCCAGGAGGTCGTCCGTGGCCTCGGTCGGGAGATTGCGGTGGAGTGGCATGGATAATACCTGATGCCAGTGTGGTGAGGATGGCAGACGGGGCCTTTTGAATCTCAGCTGTGGGCAGGTAGATGCTGCCTTTTTCTGCATGGAGAATTGACTTGGGAATGTTGATTTGCTGAAGAAAAGGAGCTTGATGAAATAGGAAGTCGGGTGGAAACAAACCTTAAAGAGGACAGGGCGAGTAGAATGTGGGGACGTGAGATGGCTTTGGACACTGGAAGGAAACCTTTTCCTCAGAGAGGGAACCTTGGAAGGAACCAGTATGGGGGCTGCTGTGGAGATGGAATTCACAGTGCTTTCCCCAGCTTCTGACCGCCATTTCTCTCAATTGGACAGCACTGTGGCCACCTGAGAGTGAGCCGAGGAGGAGAGCGGGGCCTGGGGAAGCAGGGGTGGGGTTGGGGAGAGCGGGAGGCCGGCTGCCAGGTGATGGCCCAGCCTTGCTGAGACTGGAACTGGGAGGCTAGGAACAGGACAATGAGGAGGATGACGGGAGTGACTGGGAACGTTTTAGAAGGAAAGTGATGCAATTAAATTAATAGTTTAGGAAGACATGCAGTACCGGTGTACAGGGGGGATCGGAGAAAGGGCTGGCAGAGTAAATGTTCATACACTCTGCATTTAAAAAATATACTAAACACAAAGGTATGCACAATTCAGATACTCATCTTGATGCAAGTTGACCAGTAGAGTCCAATTGGGGTGGTATCTTGAGGGTGGAAGAGTATTTGATATGTGGAGCTGAGTGAGGGCAAGGTTCCAGAGAGGAGAGAGCCTGGACAGAGGCGCCAGGCTCAAGATGCGCAGCCAGAAGTCAGGGCTCGTAGAGTAGGAGGATCTCATGGCTGGGGGGCTTTGTGCAGAGGAGAAGGGACGGAGAAAGCTGGCACGGTGGATCAGGTCTTCCTTACGCACTGAGTCCAGCTTTGCATTGGGGGAAGGCGTGGGGAGGTGCCAGAGGGCACGGTGTGGGGAGATACCATGACATGCAGATATTTAGTGCATGTTTCCTGCTCATTGGTTTCTATCTGCATCAGAGCTGTGCCTTGCTTTCCTGGAGTTGCTGGCTCATGAGGGATCCAGACCTGATGAGGGGCGTTCTGGAGAGCCGCTGGTAGAGACACGTGTGGTGGGGAAAGCTGTGCCCCGGGATGGAGACGGAGGTCCCTCTGCGCTCCTGTGGAGCTCTCAGGCCCTGCAGCTCTCTGGCCTTTCTGCTCTGTCTCTCTCCACTTCCTCAGTGTGATTCAGCGCATGGCTGGTGCTTCTGCCCTGTGTCATGGTATCCTCCTGACTGGGAGTCTTTCCTCTTGGTTGCCACCAGTGCCCTGGAACCCTTTTTCCCTGCATCTTCCTAGGCTTCGTCATGGTCCGCTCATCCGTGCTTCCATCCTTGCTGGTGCTTACAGTTGTCTGCTTTCGTGTTTGTCTCCCATTAGCCAAAGTGTTCCTTGCGGGTAGGAAGCATGTTTCATTCATTTTCCTAACCTCAGTGCCGAGCATGTTGCCAAGCAAAATAAGTTGAATGAATGAATAAATAGTGAAGGTGCTTAAGTGAGGGAATATGACTGAAATCGTCCTTTAAAATATTAATTTTCCTAAAGGGAAAGAAATAATGAAATACATAATGTGATTGTAAAATTTCACTGGCATGACTTGAAACTTCATTTTTGTTTCATTTATAATATTTTCATGTAATCCAAATACACTAGTTGGCACCAGTGACCCAGGGCTTCTGAGCTACTGTGAACACAGCGTGTCCATATGCCCGAGCTGGTGGGGCATGGCTTGGCGTGGAGCAGCCACCCTGAGTTGATGGGAAGGAGGGAGATAAGTGTTTAGAGCGTTCTGGATGCCTCAGCTTCATTTCCTGGGGCAGTGATAAAAAGCTTTTTACTTTGATGAAAACATTTCTACACAGCAAAGTGAAAGTGTTGCTTATGAAGGGCTGACGTGTTTGAATATGATGAATTATTTACAAAAATACAAGCGTATTTGGCCCTTTAAAAGTTGGTAAGTACTGTGTAAGAAGCGGCTTTGCATAAAGAGCAGTTTACTCTGTTGGAAAAAAAGAGACTAACAGGTAACTGCAGAGTTGCAGTCCAGGGATGGGTGGAGGCTGGTGCAGAATGGGAAAAAACAGCATGGTAATATAGAATTCAAGTTGTAGTTATTGTATAGGATGTAATTTGTGTTTCTGTATTATAGTTTTAGTAGCTTCTGAAATAAACATCTAAAGTGTTATCCAAAAGGGCTTGAAGGCTGGGCGAGGTGGCTCTTGCCGGTAATCCTAGCACTTTGGGAGGCTTAGGTGGGAGCACTGCTTGAGCCCGGGAGTTCTAGATCAGCCTGGGCAACATAGTGAGACCTTGTTTCTAAAAAAAAAAAAAATAGCCCGGGAGGTTGAGGCTGCAGTGAGCCATGATCACACCATTGCACTGTAGCCTGGGCAACAGAGGGAGACCCTGCCTCAAAAGACAAAATGAACAACAACAAAAAAGAGCTTAGTTACTATGGCTTCTTGGATGTGCTAATTACATATTGTATTGGTGTCTCAGGGTTATATACATTTCAAATTTTCTTGGTGTCCCAGGACCAGAAGTTGTCTAATCAGTCATCATAACTTTTTAGGACTATACTCTGCTTCTCAGGGTTAAATATATCTAATTTTTAAAGGCAGATTAAAGATCTACTTATAAAACCTCAGTAATGAAGACAAGTGGTACTGGCATGTGGATAGGTAGACAAATTAATGCAACAGAACAGAAAAGTGTTAACAAACCCAGACACGTGGCAGAATCTAAAGGATGATATAAGTGTCATTTCATTTAGGAGAAGCAAAGATAGACTACTGAATACATGATTTGAGGATACTAGGTAGTCATCTAGAAAAAAATAAAAATAGATTATTCCATGCAGAGCACCTCCAGGATAGATTCCAAATGGATTACATATGTACATATATAGGTATATTTATGTGTATATTTAAATGCAAAAAGGAAATCATAAAAAGAAAAAAAATGAGGAAATTCCTTTCTAGCCTTGGAGTGAGGAGACCCTTTAAATGGGACTCAAAAACCAGAAGTAAAGAAAAGATTGATAAGTTAATCCACATTCAAAAAACACAATGAAACACCTTGGTATTGCCCCAAATCCTGTAAGCCAGGTCTTAGCATGTTCCTGTTGAGGCCCTGGTGCCTCTCCTACCTCTCCACCTATCTTTCTCCATGTCCCATAGCATGCCAGAAGCTCCAACACCATGTTAACAACTCCCTGTAGTTCTTGAATTGTGGCCCTAGAGAAAACACTTAAAGCTCCTATCACAGCATAGTGCTAACCTTCTTAATATATAAAGAGTTCCTAGAAATGATTAAGCAAAGAGCTCTTGGACATGACTAAAAAAAAGAACAGCCTGATAAAAAATAGTCAAAGGAGATGAACAAGACAAATCACAACGGAAGGGAAGTAAATGGCTCTTTGAAAACATGAAAAGATGCTCAGCCTTATTCATGGTAAGAGACATGCAATTGAAAATAACACCTGTGAAAATGGCACCTGTGACATTTGCAAATATTCATAAACTTCATAACACACTGTTGGCAAGTCCACGAGGAGGCAGGTGCTTCTGTACTTTCCTGGTGGGAGTATCAAGTGGTGTAGCTACCGAGGAAGGCAATTTGGCAGTATCCATCAATATTAAAAATGCATGTTGGCTGGGCGTGGTGGCTCACGCCTATAATCCCAGCACTTTGGGAGGCCGAGGTGGGTGGATCACGAGGTCAAGAGCTCAAGACCATCCTGGCCAACATGGTGAAAACCCATTTCTACTAAAAATACAAAAAGTAGCTGGGTGCGGTGGCACACACCTGTAGTCCCAGCTACTGGGGAGGCTGAGGCAGGAGAATCGCTTGAACCCAGGGGGTGGAGGTTGCAGTGAGCTGAGATCACACCACTGCACTCCAACCTGGCGACAAAAAAAAAAAAATGCATGTAACCATTGAGTCAGTAATTCTGCTTCTAGATATTTATTACTCAGACATACTCACACATAGGCAAAGTGACTTAACAAGATATGAATATGGCGTAGTATTGTTTGAAATAGGACATTGGAAACCATCTAATGGCCTGTCTACGAGTGGGCGCTTGGTTAAATAACATTTGCAGCAGTGTAAACGAATGTCCAGAAGATCTTCGAGATACACCGTTATGTGAAAAAAGCAAGGTGTAAACAACATACACACACACTCAGATACATTTTTATGTTAGAAAGGACAATAAAAGCATATACTTGTATTTGTGATTGCGTAAAGAAACTGGGAAGAAACACAAGAAACTGTTTATGTAACACTTGCTGGGCGGTAAAGGGAGGTGGAGGGGAGAAGGGGTCCTGGGGGATGGAAAACCAGAGTTGTGGGGAGACTTTTCAGTGTTACCCCGTTTTATACATTTTGATTTTTGAATAATATAACTTATCTCCCATTCAAAAATTAAATTTCAGAATTAGCAAGAAGGTACCGAAGTGGCATTGAATTAACGGTGAATTGCCTTACTTTGCTGTTCACGTGTTCATTAGGGGGTCATGTTTTTATGGTCTTCCTCCTGGGATCATGGTTTCATTTGTCAGCCCCTAAAATTTGATCGATTTCTGTCTTCCTCTGGCCTCCCACTTCTCCTACACAAGATCCCAAAATGTCAAACGATGAATATTAAAAAAATTGCACGCATCACTACCCCTTGTGGTTATCTTATCAGCTCTTTTCTGACGTCATGCACAGATTTGAACGTGGAAAGCATCACTTCTATTTTAATACAGTTTCTGACTGATGCAATTGATGGTTTCATGCTTAAGATGTGAACTATCGTTTAAACCACTGGAGAGCTGCCCAGCCAGTTTCATCTGGTAGAAATCACTACTTTTTAGAAAGAAACCAGATGCCTTGTTGTAGAAACATGAGCTTTAGATACTAGCGCTTCTCCAGTGAGTGCAAATGTAGCCTCAAGTGACATTGACATTTAATGACACCACTAAAGGGGGCCCCAGCAATTTATTACAAGTTATTCTGTTGTGACAGGGATTTGATTAGTTGACTGGACAGCAGGGGCAGTGGGCACCCCTGCACCTCTTCCTCAGCAGCTTTGCAGGGCAGAGTGGGAGCTGCTGTATACCGGGGCTAGGGGTCTAGGCTGACCAGAACTCTGCCCTGGGAGAGCTTTCTGCCCAGGGCCAGAGGGACAAAGCCTTCCCTCTGGCTGGGCCTTCATGGGGACACTTGAATTATTTAGATTCCCGTGTTTGCCCTCCGCCCTGGTTTTCCTTGGGGTTTAGAGCTCATGCTGTCTCTGGGAGTGTCTCAGTGGGCCTCTTTGCTGTCCCCTCACTGACTCTTCCCCCTTGGTTTGGATATCATCCTGCTTATTTTCCTGTGCTCTGCTTCTAGTGGTGACAGCTTTCTTTGTCTTATCACTTAATATTATTTCCTTCTAGTCCGCTGCTTGGTTTTATTTTAGCTGCTACTTCCTTCCAAGTTACTGGATTTTATGAGAACCCTTTCCTGACCTTTAAACCTCCATCTTCACTCCCCTTGCAAGCTTCTCCTTGGAGCTGCAAGCTCCTCGTGAGATCTCTTCAGGTAACCCGTGGAGCACACCCAAGTCTCTGAAAGGTACGGGCCTGTCAGTGTGCACTCACCTAGTTCTCTTTCTGCAGGGCACCCCTTTCTCACAGGAGACTGTTCTGGGGAAAACCCTGGTGGCGATTGCTCTCTTTTTCTGGGAGTGGCTCCTGGGATGGGGACAAGGATGGGGATGGGTGAGGAGAAGGTGGCTGCACGGTCCTTTCACTCTGTGGAGCACTTAAATCCTTCAGGGGCTTTGCAAGCCACCCGGAATGCCTTTGTGTGAAAGGTTATTCTTTGTGAATAATATTACTGCCCTAGTTTAATTTCATTTCTCAGGCGATCTGACTGTGCGTGCAGAGTTTTGGCACTCTGTATTGTGTAACTGTTCTGTTCCTTTTGTGAGGGCCATCGTTAGGAAATCTGTCCATTTTTTTCCTGTATGATTTTTGAATTTTCTTTGTTTTGTGTTGGTCCATTTTTGAATGTATTTCAGCAAAATGTTTGTGATTCAAAATTGTTGTGACTTCTTGTATCTGGGTTGCAGTCTGGTGGAAAGTACTGCGTATGGCTGATAGAATAAGGCATTCAGTAGTAGGTTTGGGGGTGACCTAAACGTTTTCCAAATGCCATTATTATTAGGTGGAGATCAGCTTCAGAGAGGGCACGTGTATAGAAAGAGATGTAATTCACTCTTGCTCTTTTTTTTTTCTTTTTTTAATCGATATCCTGCTGGCCTGTGTCAGTAATTTTCTTGTGCTTTATGACTTCTCAGTAAGAAACAGTGGATGGTCTGATGTGTTAAGAAATGCATATGTAAGGCCGGGCGTGGTGGGTCACCCCTGTAATCCCAGCACTTTGGGAGGCCGAGGTGGGTGGATCACGAGGTCAGGAGATCGAGACCATCCTGGCTAATATGGTGAAACCCCGTCTCTACTAAAAATACAAAAAATTAGCTGGGCGTGGTGGTGGGCGCCTATAGTCCCAGCTACTCGGGAGGCTGAGGCAGGAGAATGGCGTGAACCCGAGAGGTGGAGCTTGCAGTGAGCCAAGATTGCACACTGCACTCCAGCCTGGGCGACAGAGCGAGACTCCGTCTCAAAAAAAAGAAAAAAGAAAAACAAATGTGTGTGTGCCTGTATTTGTTAAACAAACACCAAGGAGGCACTGTAACCTAGAGTGCTTAATTACGAGCCCCTGCGTTGTAGTTGTTTCTTTTGCTACAGTCGTTAAGATTGTGGTGAAGATTAAATGAGATAATATATAGCAAGTGTTTGCAATAGTGCCTTCAGGAGAGCAAGTGCTGAGACACGTAGCCATTGTTTCCTTGGGTTCTGAGACAGTCTTTTCCGAAAAGGCAGTCTCTGCAAGTGACGTCCAAAGGGGCTTCAGTCGGGAAAGGAAGAGAAAGGCTGCTGAGAGCATCCATTTGGCTGGGAAAGGTGTTTCTTTGTAGTTGCAGGAAGTTCAGCTTCTGGAAACGCTGATATCAGGAAATGGCTGGAGTCCGCAAGCAATTCCACTTTCTTGGCAAGAAATTAAAGGAAAATGTGTTGCAAATAAAAGGGAAGAATTTTTGGAAAAAGAACTAAAAAAAAAAAGGGGATTGTCATTAGAATGCTTCTTCCATTTAGGGGAAGCTATTTTTTGAAAGGCTATTGTAGTCCCATTCCCCATTTATGGGACTTCTGCACCTCCAAAAGAATTCACCTCTGCCCTCTCCTGTCTCTGAGCGTTTCGCCTTCACTCGGTCCTGTCTAAAAGCAGAACGATGCTGTTGGGTCTCCTGCTGCTGGGGTTGAGTGGGAAGGCCCTGCCGCTGGCAGCTCCGGGGGCAGAGTGGCCTTAGGTGAGCCTGGAGCCTGTCCAGGACACCATCCCTCTCTGCCATGGACACTGTAGCTTATATTTGCTTTGTATGGTTTCCCTCTGTGACTGGTTGTTTACTCTAGACTTTTGTAGATTGTTGGTCTGTATTCTTAACTCTGTGTGTGGACTTAGTCCTGTACATGCATCACAGTTTTCTTTTGTAATTTAATTTACTCTAACTTGAAGAAAGGTGAGAATGTGCCCATCATGAGCAATGATCTCCTTATGGGTACATTTTGAGAGTGCTGTGTGTCAAATGCCTTTACACAGCCTCTACGTCTGGTTTGCCTTTATCTGAAACAAAGCTATCAAGGCTTTATCTAATTTTAATTAAAAATTCTGCAAATAATTTGAGGAATTACACTTTTATATGTTACGATATATCTGGAATTGTTTAATACTGTCGGATGGGCATGTGTACTTCTCAAAAATGGTTGGCTTCTGTCTCTCAGTAGGTCATATTTCATAAACATTCAAAGACCTTCCAGGCAGGCGTCCATTGTGCAGCTGTGGCCAGGTGCTCCTTCTCATCCCGGAACTGTGTTTGGAGCAGCAGGGGAGCAGGTGGGTGGCGATGCCGCTGTTGACTCCTGCTCGCCTGTCTTTCCTCGACATCATAAGCTTGAGTTCTGCTGTCCATCTCAGATGACTAGCAGTGCCCTGCAGGAATCACTGAGCGCGTGCTGAATGAAGGGGTCATGAGAAGCAGTGTGGGACACTTGGAGACGTGTATTTTGGAGCAAGACTTGGTCTCAAATCTCAGCTCTGTGTAATTTCTCAGCACTCTAATTTTCTCATCTGTAAAATGGATGTTCAACAAATGTCAGTTTATTGAATAGTTCATTAAATACTTTTTCCTGCACAGAAGAAATTGCAGGCTTGTTTTAGGTCATAATACTTTGGAATTTTCTTGAATTGCCCACCTTACATATTTATAATCAGTTTTGATTTCAAGTATGATAGGCTCCACCTAGGTTTTCAACATAAAAAGAGACAAGAAAATGGAGAGCCGTTTCCAGAAATCCTTCAAATGTTGCTTTTGATTTTTAAAAGAGGCTGTGACTTCATGACAAGGTCTATAAATGAACGTCCTTGCACTCCGGGGTGGGGACAGAGCTGCAGTGAGGCCTTTGCCCTCGCGTTCCTGATGCTGCCGTGGAACTGTTCCCTGGTCTGTGCCAGGCTGGCCCATTTTCCTGAGAAGGCTCAAGCATGCTCCTATTTTAGGATTTGACCTGCTGTTTGTCTTGCTGGGTTATTTTGCCTCCCTTTATACTTGTTTCCTACCTTATATAAGGGCATTGTCCTCAAGTGGAGGAATATGTGAAACTATTTGTAGTCAAATTTAGCAGTTGTTTTGGTGGATATTAGTAGTTGGCTAAAGGAAGTAAACTTTTTTTTTTTTTTTTGAGATGGAGTCTTGCTCTGCTGCCCAGGCTAGAGTACAGTGGCATGATCTTAGCTCACTGCAACCTCTGCCTCCCAGGTTCAAGCAATTCTCCTGTCTCAGCCTCCCTAGTAGCTGGGATTACAGGTGCACACCACCAAACCCAGCTAATTTTTGTATTTTTAGTAGAGATAGGGTTTCACCATATTGGTCAGGCTGGTCTCGAACTCCTCACCTCAGGTAATCTGCCCACCTCAGCCTCCCAAAGTGCTGGGATTACAGGCGTGAGACACCGCGCCCAGCCAGGAAGTAAACTTTTCAGGAGATCTCAGTCAACAACTGTGTAGGTTTTGCCAGATTTAATGTGCTTGCGTGTCTGTAAACTCACCCTAAGGACTTACTTCTGATTCCACTGGTTCTCTGAAGTACTCAGTTTCCCTTGAAGAAAGACGTCTGTGAACTCCAGTTTTCTATTTGGGTTTCCTTGCCCACAGAGCCTGAGATAAGGACAGGTGGTTCATTTGAGAGGTGACTGCAGCAGGCAGGAGTAGGGAGTGAAGCAAGGGGTCAGGGGCAAGAAGGGAGAGCCAGTAAAAGGCGAGTTACTGGTTCCAGCAGGCCCCCGCTCAGGAGGACAGAAGGCAGCCGCACCCTCGCTGTGCACTCCCAGATGCTTCTTTTGGAAATCGAGTGGGCTCTCCTGGCCCTGGCAGGGGTGCTGGATGAAAGCAGCAAGGCTCAGATGTGCGCCTGAAGTAGGATCCACCACTTCAGGAGAGACTGACCTCACTAGGCACAGGCCACCACTGCTGTGGCAGAAACCAGAAGCAGGCTGAGAGGATGTGGTACCAAGCGCCAGAGGCTTCTGCTACTAACACAATTAGGGTGACGTTTATGTTCTTTATTCTACTTTCCAAGTCTGAGGTGTATGATTTTTTAAAAAGCACTCATTAATTTTTAAAGTTCCCAGATTTCCTGGAGATCAACGTAAATCCAGACAATCACGCTTGCCCTGGCCTTGCTCATGACCGTCCATGCTTCTGAGCTGCAGTGGCAGAAGTGGGCAAGTGCCAGGGAGACAGCAGGGCTGACAAAGTCTGAAACACGTGCCATCTGGCCTTCCACAGGGGAAGGCTACCCCTGTTCTAAGACAGTCATTTCATACGGGGGTTTTCATAGAATACGCTGTGTTTAGGTGCCTGTGTTGATGAAGTACATGCAGTGTGATGTTTCAATATACGTATATGTTGTGAGTGCCAGTTAGAAGACGGGTGATCAAGAATTGGAATTTCAAGAGATCCTACACATTTGGCGTCTCCCTTCACCTTCCCTGGGTGACAGGTACTTCCACAATTCCTGCCTGTTGCCCTTACCTCTGGGCATTGTACATGTGAAGAAAGGTGCTGGTGGTTTCTCCCAGGCTGCTTCCTATGGGCACACCCACTTCCAAGAGGATGCATGGGCAAAGATCACTTAAAGAAATCTTCACGGAGACTCTTAAAAATGAACTTTTCTGGCCGGGCATGGTGGCTCATGCCTGTAATCCCAGCACTTTGGGAGGCCGAGGCCGGCAGATCACGAGGTCAGGAGATCGAGACCATCCTGGCTAACACACGGTGAAACCCCGTTCTCTACTAAAAATACAAAAAAAAATTAGCGGGGCGTGGTGGCGGGCGCCTGTAGTCCCAGCTGCCCAGGAGGCTGAGGCAGGACAATGGCATGAACCCGGGAGGCGGAGCTTGCAGTGAGCCAAGATCACGCCACTGCACTCCAGCCTGGGCGACAGAGGGAGACTCTGTCTCAAAAAACAGAAAAAAAATGAATTTTTCTGAGGATGTCTACCTGACAACAGGTCTGCCAGTCGTACTTTTCAGCTTTCTTTTAAAAATATATTTTTTAATTGACTAGTAATGGCATATGTTTATGAAGTACAGTGTGATTCTTTGATGTATGCATACATTGTGGAATGATTAAATCAGGTGAATTAACATATCTATCACTTAACCCACTTATCATTGTTTTTTGAACATGTAAAAATCTATTCTTCTAACAATTTCTAAATGTATAAGATGTCATTATTAACCATGGTAACCATGCTGTGCAATGGATAGCTAAAGCTTATTCCTCCTGTCTGATGGAAACTGTATGCTTTGACCAAGATCTTTCTTTTCCCCATCCCTGCCTGTCCCAGCCTCTGGTGACCACCGTTCTGTTCTCTACTTCAATGAATTCTTTTAAAAGTTCCAAATATAAGCGAGGTCATTCAGTATTTGTCTTTCTGTGCCTGGCTTATTTCACTTATCTGTTTTCACGACTGACTTTCTCCGATTTCCAAAAGAAGAAAGGGATAGCCCTTTCTTCTTCAGAGCCTTACTATGGCTCATTGCCCCAGCATGTAAAAATCTCTGGGGTACTAAACGATGGGACAATCTGAAAAGGCTCTGTTCCTAGGGCAGAGTTTGGGGAGAACAAACTAAGGAGAGCATCTGTGAATGTGGGAGACTCTTTATTTCACTAAGTCAGCAAACCCATGGCAAGGCTCCATCCACATACTCATCTGTCCATACATCTGTACACCCATCCGTTCATCTGTCTGTCTGCTCGTCTCTCCATCCATCCATCCATCCATCCACCCACCCACCCACTCACTCACCTATCTATCCATCCACCCACCTACCTATGCATCCACCCATACATCTACCCACCATCCGTCCTCCCATCTATCTTAGAACTATAATTCAGAAATGAGAAATTGTTACAGGGATGCAAGTTAGATGATGTATTTAAATTATAAAATAACCTTTTCAGACAGAAATTAGGTCTGATTGAGCTATTTGACTTGCCACTGGAGAATGGCTTTCCAGGAAGGTTGTTTGGTGGACAGGGTCCATGGACTGAGTGAACTATTCCTCAGCTCCAGGTTTTGACAAAAATATGTATGAGGCATATTTGCCGTAAAAAAAAAAATGTGAGAACATACATCATTCACAACTATTTAAACTTGTGATACAATTTTTATATGGCAACTTAAAAATGTGTGATGGGACGCACGTTCTTTGGCAGGTATGCCGCAAGAGAGCGAGTGAATGCAAAGGGCTCTTTAGAGCTGAATTAACAGGCTGGATGTGAGCGAATTACCTAGGCTGTGTAGCGTTCACCCACCTGAGAGTGTCTGAAAGCATAAAGGCCGGACTGGTACAGCCAACAGGCATAAGGACTACAAATGGTTTTACTTGAGATCTGTCTTACAAGTCTCCTCAGCAAGATCAGAGAGGATTCCAGGGGCTAGTCTTTCAACTTCCAACCAGTCCGTACCACTGTTGTAACCAGAATGATTATGTGGGGCTATATACACCTCAGTGCTTTGCAGAGCACTACCCCTCTAAAATCTCTGCAATTGATTATATTTTCTTTATTTTAATTCCACGTTAATGTGGCTGTGTCCCTCCTAAATACAGCCTGAGTCCTTTGTTGAGTGCCTCCTATGTGTCGATAGGGTGGTGCACAGATGGACGTCCATGACCTCAGGGAGCCTGTGCCTCGTGGCCAAGGCCGACCTGAACAAACGTATCATGCTAGACACATATGCACGGGAAGCCACATTCATCCGGGGCATCTAGGGACATCTCCCCAAGGAAGAGACAGAGGAGAAGGAAAAGACTGTGTTAGCCCCTATGGATGTGGGGCTGTGGGAGAGCAGGTGTTTCTGGCGGAGGGGCAGCTTGTGCAGAGACCTGAAGGGTAGGAGACATCTTTAACTGCAGGCGTGGCTTTCCAGAATCATGGTATTCCACCTTCCCAGAGTCAAAGCAGTAAGTTACACCCCCGATGAAATGAGCACATCACACACACACACACGTTCATGATTCCACGCCCCGAATGGGCGTCAAAGGAAACCAGATTCCTACCAGCCACGCCTCTGCCACTCCAGCTGGTGGCCTGCAGGACAGAGGCTGCGGGGCTGCCGTGGGAGGTACAGGGTGGCTGGAGAGTTGAGATGAACCGAAACACCGCTTGCCAGAGACGGGACCGTGTTCTGTTTCAAAGATTGCTTTCTATTCCTCATCTTCCTTGGTTCTCATAACAGTCCGAAGAGGAATCCTAAGCAAAGTGAGGCTCAGGAACATCTAGGGCATCTAGGAACAGACTTGAATCACCACACGGTGGGTGCAGTGAGGGAGGAGCCAGGCTGCTTTGCCTTAGCTGTGCTCAGGGTCTCAGTGGAGGGCCTGCCCCCAAGGCACTCTAAATAATATTTGCCAATATTAGCTGAGTGGCCAGTGCCCGCTCTGACTGTGGGTTATCATGGGTGAGGCACCACCTCTGCCTCTGAGAGCCAGCATTGCTGGGGAAGCATTTGCCAGATTACTGAAGTGTAACTTTTAAAGCACCTGTTTTTAGTGATTTCAGTTAGTTCAGACATCAACCTTTAAAACATGTGTGATGCCTTCTCTTCTTAGATATAGTGTTGTGCATCTGATATTTTACCTTTTTATGAGCATCAGTTATTATTGTTTTATAGTAGAGAAATGTATTTTAAAGGACTCTTGAGGTTTACAGTTCTGTTTGCTGCTATAATTAGTTAACTACCTCATATTTCTAGGTATTTTTATTTGTCTTTCTAAAGATAAATAAAAGATTTAAAAAAACCTTTCTTATGACTTTTAACATTTTTTTTTCTTTGTTGACCTCTGGGCGTCAGTCACCCCTTACTGGCCCCCACGTGTCTGCTCAGAAAGCCTGGCCATCCTCCTCTATTCAGTCTCTTGGGTCCATCCCTCTTCTGTGGTCAGGTGAAGCAGACAGCCATGTTGCTGTGATCAGCTTGCCTTGAAGATGGGAAGGAGCTGAAGGGCTGGCCACGGCCAAGTGCTGAGGTCACCGATTTAAGACACCTCTTCTGACTGCATGGACACTATATAGTGACATCAGACAAGTGATATTTGTTCTGTGTGCAACTATTCTGAATATTTCCTGGTAGGTGCTGGCTGAGGACAAAGTAACAGCCAATGCAAAATTATCATACTTCTTATTAATAGATGAGTTATATTATTCTTGGCCAATTATGTAAACCATTTTCATAAGTAATTTTATAAACAAATTTATAAACTACTGTTTACATAATCTGTGTTTTATTTAAATTTGTATCTTCTAGCAACAACATCGCTTAGTTTATCAGACTTCATTTGAAATCACTTGACATCCAGATAGGAATATGTTGTGGTTTCCGCGTTTCTGAACAGGAAGGTTTAGAAGGGAAGAGGTAGAGGAACACTGCAGCACTTATTAATGGCTAATGGTCTGTAACAGTGTGTGAATAACAGGTTATTACATAAGAGCTCTTCTTAATTTTTATGTTCATTTTCTTTGAGCCAAAATGTTAACTGTTTTCTTTCCCATTTTGGAGTTACCTGAGTAAGCTTATTTAAATTTTGTAATCTTGCTGATAAAGTAACATGAAATTTTTACTTTTAAACTTTGCAGACCAAGAATATACTTGTTTAATATACCTGTTTGCTGAATAAATAATGTATTGTGATAGGTGATTTGAAAATGGTAAAAAAAATTTTAATATGTATCTAATAAGTAAACAGAAACAGAAAGGCAGGCAATTTTTAAAAAATTTTTAAAACACTGGTAAATAGAAACCATTAGAATCTTTATGTTTTGAAAGCCTTTCAGCAGTTAAAAATTTCACATTAATTAAGTCTGCATTTCCTATACCCTAATGGGAAAGAGTTACATGCATGCAACTTAAAGACCTTTAGTCGATTCAAGGTTGTATAGATTTTTTTTTTTTTTTCTGGTGACAGAATCTTGCTCCATGGCCCAGGCTTGAGTGCAGTGGTGCGATCACAGCTCACTGCAGCCTCAACCTCCTGGGCTCAGGTGATCATCCTGCCTGAGCCTCCTGAGTCGTCGGGACCACAGGTGTGCACCACCACACCTGGCTCATTTTTAAAATTCTCTATAGAAGACAAGGTCTCCCTATGTTGCCCAGACTGGTCAAGAACTCCTGGGCTCAAGCAGTCCTCCCTCCTTGGCCTCCCAAAGTGTTGGGATTACAGGCGTGAGCCACTCCACCTGGCCATAGATTGATTTTTATGTCTCTCTCTCTTTTTTTTTTTTTTTTTTTTGGGACAGAGTCTTGCTCTGTTGCCTAGGCTGGAGTGCAATGGTGCAACCTCGGCTCCTTGTAACCTCTACCACTCATGTTCAAGGAATTCTCTTGCTTCAGCCTCCCAAGTAGCTGGGATTACAGGCATCCATCACCATGCCTGGCTGATTTTTTGTATTTTTAGTAGAGATGGGATTTTGCCATGTTGGCCAGGCTGGTCTTGAACTCCTGACCTCAGGTGATCCACATGCCTCAGCCTCCCAAAGTGCTGGGATTACAGGTGTGAGCCACTGCATCCTGCCCTCTCTTCATTTTTTATCTTGATTTTTTTTGCAGTTGAGAATTATAATAGGTATGGCTTTCTTTAAAAATAAAACTAATCTCTGAGTTTTAAATTGTGCAAATGAAGGGAAGGATGAAAAGTCTCAACAGAAAGCTGAAAAACAAGGTTTCTGGGTGTGATGTAATGAATGTGACGCTTGCAGTCAATTGACTGGAGTTTGAATATTGACTAGTTTGAATTTGGTTCCTCCATACATTGGTTGTGGACTCCTAGGCAAATTGTTTAACTTTTGAATGTCTCCCTAATCTGTAAAATGGTGGTAATTTTACTATCACACAGCCAGCTAGCTTCCTTCCTTCCTGCCGCCTGCCTGCTTTCCTTCCTTCCTGCCTTCCTCTCTCTCTCTCTCTGTCTCCCTCCCTCCCTCCCTCCTTCCTTCCCTCCCTTCCTTCTTCCCTCCCATTTGGTCAGGATAAAGATGAAATAATGAATGTGAAGGTACTTTGTAGACTATAAAAATCAGCATTGTTAGGGCGTCATTACAAAATCTGGAGGACACAGAATGTAAATGTTAATAAGCCTTATTGTTATATAATGTTTGAGTGGTAATTGTGTGTTCTAGGTTCTTAAAGACTCTAGTTTTCCCTTAGTATAGTAGTTAACTTTCTATTGTTGTTTGAATAATCTATTTTAGATTGCTAGGTAGGCAACTAAATACATAGCTTATTATGCAATGTGGGTGTTGTGTGGGCGACTTAACCTTGGGATGACGAACTTAACTTTTACCAGTTTTGGTTAGTATATATTTTAATGATGAAGTTTAAGATTTCATAGTATATCCTTTTTTAAAATTTTATTTTCTTTGCATTTATCTGTGTAGTGATGTGGCAATATAAAATATAAAGTTTGAATGTTCTAGCTCAAAAACCAGTGCAAATTAGATGGTCTGAAGACAGGAATGTGTATTACATGCGTCCTTTCAGAACACAACACAATGGCAAGAATTGGTATAAGAAAATTAAATCATTTTTATTTTAAAGCTATATTTGCTTTGATATAAAACGACTCCTTCCACCCTCTCTCTCTGTCTCTTGCCTTCCTTCTCGTCCTTCCTCTTTGTTAACTCCATTTGTAGTTGGCTTTTATTTGCGTTTAGTTTTGACTCTTACTGTGCTTTAAAAGTTATCTGAAGTATAAAGTGAAAATAAAAAGGAAGGTGAATGTGTTGCATAGTAGAATCATCGCCAAACAGAAAGGGTTAAAATACTTTTTCTTTTCTTTTTTGGTGGGGGGAGGGTGGTGGGAAGTAAGAGGCTTTCCAATGAGGCATTTCACAAAGGCATAATCTTTGAATCTGATTAGATACCATGTTGAGTTGGCCTCTTTCACCCAGCACAGAGAATTTCTGACCCATTTAAAAAGAGATGTTACTGACAACATCTGCTAACGGCAGGCGAGGGCTGGCTGGAGGAAAGGAGGAGATGGGAAATGGAATAAAAACCTATGGGAGATGGGATTGTGGTGAATGAAGGCTACAAAGCGTTTTCTCATTTCAAGAGATAAAGACAAGGCATATTTTGAGAAATTATCTTTTGGCTCTGGGGAAAATCAAGCCAGATTTTGCCTTCTGCTTTGGCGTTCTGCCCTTATTGTAAATATCATTCCACAGAGAATTCCGTGATAGCTCCGTAAAGTCTTGAGTACAAATCTGGGAGGACGCGCCCCGCCTGTGCCGGGGAAACTTGGGTCCTGGGTCGATGACCCCTGTCCTTGCCTTTCTTTTTCCGATCCTTGGATGAGAAGAAGCTTGCACTATTGACGCAGAACCTTTTGCCACTTAACATGATGCCTGGAAACAAAGTGGGGTTTTGTTTTTGTGACCCTGTTATGCTGCCCGACACACAGGACGTTCTCCAGAATGTATGGAATGAATTTTGACTGCATGTGTAGTCTTTCTCTTTTTCCATGCCAAATGTGAAAAATTTTCCGCAGTCTTGTGTGTGTTACCCGTCCGCCATAAAGCTGGACACCGTCATTCAGTCAGGTACAAACCTTGCACGTTAAGGACACCTAGGCAGGGCCTGGGTGGTGCAGTGGCTTTTCTGGCAGGACATGTGTGCGGTGACAGAATCAGGGCCACATTCTGGAAGCCACATCCTAGTATGGTATAGGTGGTGGTGGTTGTTTTGATTGTTTTTTATTGCTTCAGCCTTGATCTGTGATTCTTTGCCGTTCCACTGAGCAAGCTGGTTAAGTGCATCGGTCCTGGGGTCACCCTAGCTAGCTGCAAATCCTGGTCCCATCTCTTATAGTCTGTGAGAAGTTTATTGCATAACTATCCTTTTTGCCTCAGTTCATTTATAACATGGGATGAAAATAATAGTACCCTTGTTCATCAAGCAGTCCAAAGGGTTAAATTAATTAAATAATAGGTGTGTAGGACAGTGGGCTGAATACATATGAGCTGCTCTTTCATTTCCATGATGATTTCATTTACAGTCTGACAATTTTCACATGAATCGTCTCAGGTGGGTCATGGCAGTCTTGTTAGAGAGGCAGGCTATTGAGATCCCTTTATTTTACAGATACTAAAAGTGGCTTTGAGGTGTTAAGTGACTTGCCCTTCCGAGGTGAGGGGTGGCTGGACCTAGGCAGAGCATTTCTACAGCAGATGGAAAGATGCCTGACACAAGCAAACACAGGGCATCAAAAGGAGCCTCATTTCTGCACCTCCAATTAGTACTTCACAAATGTGTTCGGGCAGATGCATAAACAGTCTATCCAGTTTTTGCAAAATAATAGCTTGCGTGGCAAATGTCCTTTTGTGAACCGTAAGTATTGCATTTAGGGTGGGAAGCTGGAGGGGAACAGACAGCAGCTGTTCTTGGGGATACAGTTGGGGCCTCAGCCTGTGGAACGTCTGGAATGTGAGGTTTCCTGTAAGGGCTGGTTTTGCCTGCATTTTTCCTTGTGAAGGTTTTTTGAAAAGCTGTAAATTGTAATAAAATTGGAGTTCTTCTTTTAAATGATTGATTCTCAAAATTCTACATGAGTAGAATATGCATTTCATAAATGTAACTTGGCAAGTCATATTTCAATATTTCTACTTCAATTTTGCTCCTAGGAAAATTATTGTAACTTTATTTTGAAGAGTGTTTGTGTGTGTGTGTGTGTATGGGAGGGATTTCCTTTTCACATAGCCAGTGAACTAGCTGTGTGTTTGCTAATGGGATAAAGTGTGTTGAGGTGAGCACTTGAGGTCTACTTCCCAGGGTTTACCCTAACCCAGGAATAGGAAGTAGGGGATTCCTTTGATAATATGCATCATATGTCCTAGGCAAACAAGAGGGGAACCATGTAAATGTAAATGTCTGTTTACAGATAGAATTATGCATTTGAAATTGGTATAAAAATAAAACAAGAGCTAAGGGATTTCCCAGAGGTCATGGGAATGGCTCCTATTACAGTAAAATGCTTACATAATGATAACACTTAGCTTGTGATATTTGCAGTTATTTTAAATGTTATTCTTTGAAACACTGCATACAGGCAGCTTACTGTAATGGTGCAGTATATAATATTTTTCTATTAAGAGAATGGAATCTTCTGTTTCTATCAAACAAGATATGTCTACCTCTATTTTTTATTAATAATTTTTCTCTAATCGTTATTAAAGGTACCTTTATTCTTGTATGCCCCAAATGGTGTATGTTACTAAAACCAAAGTTCACGCTGTGTTTACGATAGTCTATTGATTTGTGTAGGTCTGTTCATTGATTTGTATGTACGTGAAACTGTCTTAAGTACTTATTTGAAACCTCTGAATAAATTTTATAGAATTCATAGCTAAGAAAATGTTTAGATTTGCCACAAATCTCTTTGGAATAAGTTAAAAGTAGATATACTCTAAAGTACCCACTTGTTTGCTTGGATAGCGTAATTCCAAATCCGCTGTGATGGTCGTGCACGCGTGCATGCACACACACCCACACACACACACACTCACACCCCACTTGACTTGCACCATGAAGACAAACCCCATCTCTGACATTTTGCCTGTGCCAAGACTAAACTGGTGCTGGTATTCAGTCTTACAAAATGAAAAATAATAACCACTACCCCCACCAATGAAATAACAAATAATATTCCTTTGGGAGATATTAACCTTTTCTGATGCCTTTTATCAATCCAATCTCTATGTTAGGCACGTACCTTTTAATGCTATTTTATTTTGGGATCATACTTGCCTGATCATCTCTCAATTAGAGTGATTCCAAACATTTTTCCACGGAGAATACTGCGCCTACCTAAAGGAAGCCCTTAGGCTGCCTCTCAGTCTTAGTGAAGTGACTGCTACTAGGAGTGTGAGTTGCCCACTCAATTTACTAAAGGAATGTCCCCTCTACCTCCCCTCTTAATTATTGATTAAGGCAAATGGATCTTTATTTCATTGGCAACCTGGAGGAGTAGTAGTCCAACCACTTCCCAGGCAACATAGAGCGATGGTCGCTATATAAATGCTTAAATGAACACAGGCCAGGGACCCATGGAGCCACCTGGACCATGCCATGTGGAACTAGCCAGTGTGAAGCATGGGTTCTGGGGACATCAGAATGAGATTGTGTCTACAGAAAGTTTGTTAGGAAAGACTGACACTTGGGGCACGTGCACATTGTCTTAGTACCAGGAGTACCGTTCTGTTTTTCCAGAACAAGTGGTTACTTTCTTTCTGTGGGCACTGAGTTTTGTAAACTACGAGTTCAAATTTTCACCTTGTCAGTTTACAGTCAAATTTATGGCTTCTCCGTAGCCTGTGTGTCACTTTTGTGGCGTGTGTTTTGTGTTATCTCCTTTCCTGCTTCTGTTTTACTTCCCTACCTCTTGTTTGCTTTCTTCTTTTTCATTTCAGTTTAATGCATGCTATCTTTGTCTCGCTGTAGTTTGTGTATATTTGAAAACTTTCTTAAATGTTCTCTGGAACAAGGTGAGGTAAGTAATCTTCATTTATTTGGTATCGAATACAATCCTGAGTGTGTTACCTTTGTTTTACATAAGGGGAACCAGCCACACAGCTAATAAAGTTGCAGGACTCAGGTTCAGCTTGAGGTTTCTCCTAGAAAGCCCAGGCTCACTCTCCCAGCTGTGCCCTGTTCTCTCAAGAAACCAACAGATACACTCCGCACACTCCTCAACAACCCATGACGCTCCACACACACACACACGATCTTCAGTGGGCACCGCTGCAGACACATGCATTCCACAAACCCTGCAGATCCGCTGATCGGAGGCATTGATTCTCAAAGCACATGGCCTGAAATTATACTAAAAACGCAAATTCCTGGGCCCTACCCCAGACGCACTGAAACAGAAGCCGTGAGGGAGGGGCCCGCAGCTTGTCAGTCATCGCGAGGTGATTCTGTTGCACTCTTGACTTTCAGAACCACTCAGGAGATTACACACTTTGGAAAAAAAAGAATTGTTTTTCTGATAGGACTTTCTTAAATAGCAGACCCTATGAGTCTGTTTACATTTGAATTTATAAGGATTCAGGTTATATATATCACTTCAAAAATATCTATTATGGAAAAATAGGAATTTTTTAAAAATAAAATTATTCTCAAGACCAGCCTGGCCAACATGGTGAAACCTCATCTCTATAAAAATACGAAAAAAAAAAAAATTAGCCCGGCGTGGTGGTGCACACCTGTAGTCCCAGCTGCTCGGGAGGCTGAGGCATGAGAATTGCTTGAACCTGGGAGGTAGAGGTTGCAGTGAGCTGAGATCGTGCCACCGCACTCCAGCCTGGGTGACCTGAGTGAGACTCTGTCTCAAAAACATAATAAAATGAAATAAAAATGTATTATAGACTATTCCTGTTCTCTAATACTCCTCCAGACGACCTTTCCCTGTTTCCTTTGAAGACATAAATGTTGGGTTTTGAAATGTTTGCTATTTGATTTCATTTTTCCCCTCAATTATTCCATCTTCTTTCTCCCTTCCGAGGGGGTTTTACAGTTTTTTTCTACTCTGTAATTTCTGTAGCTATAAAGAAAAGTTAATGTATAGGTAAAGAAAAGTTAATGTATAGGATATCTTTACTAGAGATCACTTAAAGTGGCCGCTTCTGAGCCACATTTCAGGGACATGAACTGAATGGGTGTGCCAACCTGTGCCCCTTTATTATTGATTCTTGAATCTCTCCTTGATGCCTTAAGCCTCTCCTTGAAGATTTAAAAATGTAAAGCTGCATAGTGTCTTGGTTTTGATGTAGAGAAGTCAGTCTACATCTTATAGATGTCTAAACCAAAGGCATTTGCTCTATTCTGCAGAGTTACAATCAGACCAAGATCAAAAGCTGTTTCTTTTTTTTCTTTTTTCTTTTCTTTTTTTTTTTTGACACGGTGACTTTTCTTTCTTCTCAGAAGTATGGTATGCTATTTCCAGAAGTTGTGAAGGAATCTCTTCCAGCATATTGAGTTGCTGAAAAATACACAGGTGATGGTGATGCTTTAATCATGCCCCCTCCATTGGGAGGGACGCCTTGTGAATTTCAGCTAGAACTGGGATCCCATCTTGGCAAATCTGCGTAATTCTTGGGTATACAGCTCTAATAGGCAAAATGATCTCCCACAGATGTCAGTAGGAAATGTCCTGTAGCTGGTGTTCCCTGAGAAGTTCATGTGCCCAAAGGAACACTCATTCCCATACTTGTGATGAAAGGTATTGGATTCGACTGGTCTGTTGTGATCTGGTTTCTCCACGGCCGCTTCACCCCTCATGGTTGTATCATTGGGGCAGAAATTCGCTGACCAAGATTTACCAATTTGTGGATCAAAGTCATAGTCTCTTTTTTTGTTAGATTATTTTGAACTGCAGGGATTGCAGTAAGTCCTGTTCTCCCAGCTGCTTGTTGCCTGGTAGGATTCAGAGCATAGCTCTGCTTTTTCAGGCATCTCATGCTCAAAACAGTGCATTTCACAATGATTCCCTGAAGTCTAAGATGTTGGTAGAGATTACAGCCTAAAGAAACTTCTCAGTGGAGAGAGAAGGTCTCACTGTTTGTCCTCAGGGGTTTTCTGTGTGGCTGTTATTTGATGTTTGCTGTCACAGTCTCATACCTGAGCTTTCTTAACAGCTTGAAGCTCAAACTAGAATTTAATTTCCTATGATTCAAGACCAAGACGGCTTCTGTGGCTTCCTCCTGGTGAAGGGTGGTGTTCATTCCGTTTCCTGTAATCTCAGACTCAGTATCTTTTTTTTTTTTTTTTTTTTTTGAGATGGACTCTCCCTCTTATCACTCAGGCTGGAGTGCAGTGGCGCAATCTTGGCTCACTGCAACCTCCGCCTCCTGGGTTCAAGTGATTCTCCTGCCTCAGCCTCCCAAGTAGCTGAAATTACAGGCATGTGCCACCATGCCTGGCTAATTTTTTGTATTTAGTAAAGGCAGAGTTTCACCATGTTGGTCAGGCTGGTCTCAAACTCCTGACCTCAGGTGATCCACCCACCTTGGCCTCCCAAAGTGCTGGGATTACAGGCATGAGCCACCATGCCTGGCCTAGACTCAGTATCTTTAAAACAATATTTTTCAGTTATGTCACTGTCACCTTGAGGAATAGGCACTATCTTTGGGTGGTCGTTTATTTTCCATTTTTGTGTGTTTAAGAGTATTTCTGTTAAACTTACGTTTTATATGAGATAGAATATCTGATGGGCATCTGTAGCATACTGCACAGGTTTGGCAACCTTGTTTCTCTACCCTTTACTCTTGGTAATTACTGAGAGTTCTGATTTATTCGTATAATGATGTTATTTATCCATTTATTCTGCAATGACAAATTTAACCATGTAATAAAAATGTTGAAACTCTTTAATTCAGACATACAAATAATGACATACTAATTTTACTGAATCTGTAGTAATGTAGATAACTTAGCATTTCATTTTTGGAGGAAATCACTGATTACAGTTTACTTTTGTCCAAATTGTCTCACTTAGAAAATGCTAAGGGGATGGATATCTTGATGCCCCCACCTCTACTCTCAGGATAGATGCTGAGGATGATGTGAATGTTTATTTGGACCTAGCAACTTCAGTTACTTTTCTTTAAAAATGGTTTATTTTATACGCATGTAACAATTATGTATAACAATTGTTGTATACATACGTGTGTGTATAACAATTCTCACTGAGACAGGTTAAAATTAATATCATGTCATTTGCAATTGTTATCAGTCCTGTTCTTTAAAGATTGTGGATTGAATCCTAGACCAAAGTGATAATCTTAATAACATATGAAATTGAATAAGATTAACCTATTTCTTCAATATTGTTCTGAACAGAGAGCAATGCAAAATGCCACATGGTTAAGTTGAAATTAGACATTTCTTCATTTTATGAAAAGAAAATAGCTGGCTATATACACAACTGCACAGGAAAACAATAATTCTAGTTGTTTTTGGCACCTGACATTTAGTTTATTGTTAAAATAAAATTCACTACACTGGGCTGATTTGCAGGAAAGCCAGGCAGAGCTTTGGCCTTAGAGCAAGCGAGCATTCCATCCAGCCGATTCTAGAGGAGCTGCCCGTTTTGTTCAGTCTCTCTAATATTTCCTTTATTCTCTATGTTTCCTACTCAGAGGCTCTGAGTAAGTCAAAAGGGCTTAGACCTTTGATCTTTTTCCAGGCTGCCATCATCATGTTTTTTTTGTGAGGTTACTTCACTTTTCCCCCATTTATATCTAAACAGCAGAATGCCAAATATATGTATCTCCAAGAATTTACAGTGCAAATATTTTTCTTTTCCAAATATGCCGTGTCCTACCAGCATAAGCCATGGTGGTCAGAATAAAGGTACTAAGTAAACAATGCTGAGTAAGTCTGAGACGAGCCTTGTCTCTACCCCGGAGACAAGTTTGCATGAGTCCATCAAGTCTCTCTACTTTTAAATGGTATGGGATTTCTAAAATCTTTTTTTGACATAATTGCAGTTTTTAAATGCATTCAGATCAGTGTTGAAATAACCATGCTTGAATTCTCTGCTTTTATATTGAAGTTATGAAGCTTTCAGGGAATTTGAAGTGTGGATGATAAGTGTTTCTATATACAGTTTTTTGTTTGTTTAAATTGAGACAGGGTCTCACTCTGTCACCCAGGCTGGAGTGCAGTGGTGCAATCTTGGCTTACTTCAATCTCCGCTTCCCTGGCTCAAGTGATTGTCCAGCCTGAACCTCCTGGGTAGCTGGGATTAGAGGTGCATGCTACCACGCCTGGCTAATTTTTGTATTTTTATAGAGACAGGGTTTCATCATGTTGCGCAGGCTGGTCTTAAACTCCTGAGCTCAGTGCAGTTCACCCGTCTCAGCCTCCCAAAGTGCTGGGATTACAGGCGAGAGCCACTGTGCCTGGCCCCTATATGATTTTTTCTAATTGTGGATGAGATTTTTCTGTTGACAATGGTGTTTAATTGAAACCACAACAAAACTAGTACAGTAAAAATAATTTAATATGGTATCAATTTATTCTTGTTTTTAATTGAGAGCGATTGCTACTCCTCAGCTGACTAAAATTCTCTACTGTTCTTTAATTAAAAAAAAACAAAAATTCATAACTCAAACTAGGCTAATTGAAAGTAGTTTTTAAGGCTGCGTGTGGTGGCTGATGCCTGTAATCCCAGCACTGTGGGAGGCTGAGGCAGGCAGATCACCTGAGCCCACGAGTTGAAGACCAGCCTGGGCAATATGGTGAAAACTTGTCTCCACAAAAAATACAAAAATTAGCCGGGTGTGGTGGCGTGCACTTGTCATCCTAACTACTCGGGAGGCTGGGGTGGGAAGATGGCTTGAGCCTGGCAGGTGGAGGTTTCAGTGAGCCGAGACGGCACCATCGCACTCCTGCACTCCAGCCTGGGTGACAAAGTGAGACCCTGTTTTAAAAAAAAAAAAAAAAAAAAAAGGTTGTTAATATTCCTTCATTCTCTACTTGGACAGTTTATAAACTATATCTAATTAACAAAACAAAAGAGTTTACATTTGAAAATGTCATTCAAACGGCTTCTTTTCTGGCTGTATAAATGCAGTATGATGATATTAAGAAGCTGCAGTTAGGTGAAAAAGTGTTTTCTGTAGAACCTTAGCTGTATGCTGTTGAAGTCATACCTTGGATTGGTACACTATTTTCTGGAATTCTAATTCTGTCCCACTGGGATATCTAAGAAGAACAAAGAAAGCGTAATGAGTGTTACTTGATTTGGTCCTATCCCTCTGAGCTCGCTGCTGCTGAACTTCATATAGGGATTTTCTCCTCACACACGGCACAGCTAAACTTTTCCAACACTTAGGAACTCTTCAAAAGTTTTTCTTCAACTCTTAGTCATTATATCCTCCCACACCATCTACCCACTCGCACATCAAAAATCCTGAAATAGTGTGAAGTCATTTATCTCTGTATTAAAAAAAAAACCCATAAAAATCATGATATTAAGGATTCTGACAACTGTAACAAAAGTCTTAGCTTTTAAATGCATGGATCTGTTGCCCTCTGATAATTAAAGGGTCTTTTCAATATCTAAATTTTAAAAAACCTCAGCATTTCAAATATTCAGGCATTATAATTCATTTTTTATATGAAAAAATGCTATCACAAAATCTCAATTATCTATAAATCTGGAGGTTTAGATTAGTGTATAGTGAATTTCACTCAAAGCACTACACTTTAAAAATTAACCATTTTGGGTTGAAATTAAAATTTTGTTTAAGAATTATGTGTGCCTCTCTGACTTCCAAATCAGAACAAGTTAATATCAGGTATTCTTTTTCTGATGGAAATAACAGGGCCATGTGCAGTGGCTCAAGCCTGTAATGCCAGCGCTTTGGGAGGTTGAGGCAAGAGAATCACTTGAGGCGAGCCTGGATATCGAGACCCTATCTCTACAAAAATATTAAAAAATAAAAATAATTGCCGGGTGTGGTGGCATGTGCCTGTAGTCCCAGCTACTTAGGAGGCTCAGGCTAGAGGATATCTTGAGACCAGGAGTTTGAGTCTACATTGAGCTATGTGATCGTGTCACTGCCCTCTAGCCTAGGCAGCAGAGCAAGACTCTACCTCTGAAAAAAAAAGAGAAAAGAAAAGAACTATCACATTAGTGCATGCTCGCTCTATTTTAGGCACTGTGCTAAGCCTTTTGCCTGGATTATTTTATTTAAGCCTCAGTACATCCTTGTGAGGTGGTAATAACTATTATCTCCATTGAATATTTAAGAAAATACATGTCAGAGAAATTAAGTAGATTGGCCTGAGTGCACACCGAATTTCAAAACCCAGGCAAGCCGATCCTGGAGTTGTACTGTGCATTATTCTGTTAATTTCTCATGGTTTAAGTTTATGATATCTTTTAAATTCTCATCATTTAAGGTTACTATAATTCACAGGCATTTTTGTTTGTCATCCTGATGTACCCTGGCATTGGTTTATATTCCAGGTAAGCCCCAAGGTGTCACAATTATGTGTAAAGTAAGAATAAATTGCTTTCAAATGCAAGACAGAGGCAACTTTGCCAGTAAGTGGCTTCAGCTTTATGGGTTGGACTTGGTGATAGGTAATGCGGCTTCTCAGATTTCATTCAGATGAATTCTAGGTTCAGAGTCTTGCTCTGATAGGTACAGTTGCCTGTTGCAGAGTTTTAGAAACAGTGGTTGTGCTGGAAAATAAAGATATTTAGTGATATGCCATTTAACACCTTAAAGTATGGACAGGTCTCTGGCTAGAAAATGAAAATGAAAATCCCTGCCGTTTGTAAACTGGGTGTTTTGTGTGGTGTTTGATTACTCTGCTCTGCCAGCAGCTGGAGGTGACACTCCCACTTCCCAGGCTGTTTGTCCCTCTTCCCCCAAGTCACGGCAGCTTGGGTGCAGCAGGGCATCCACAGAGCTTGGTGTCTGTGTCGTGCTCCATCTGATAGTGTGGAATTACATCTTCTGTGATTTCTGTGATAGCCCTAGGCAGCTTTTGGATATTTAGGCCCATCTGGCATCATCTTTATTTAGTTCCCATTTGCTTTCTAAGAATTAATCATATGGCATGGTGATTGTTGAACAGTATACTTGCGGGAAATTATGTACTAATAGAAACAAAATAGAAACAAAATATATCATTAATAGAATATGCATTTAAAATACATCAGGCCTTAGTTTTCTGATGGAAATAACAGGGCCACGTGTGGTGGCTTATGCCTGTATGTTACATACAGATTATGTTACATTGTGAGACCTTCAACAAATAGTTAATGTTTTGTATAAAAGCAATAAAGCATCCCTATAACTTGAATTTTAAATAAAGCCGCAATTAAAACTTCTTTGTGCACCTAAGGCAATTGGGTAGTTTTCGAACCAATGGGAAGTGACCTGGACTTGCAATCCTGCCTGTCAGAAAGGACAGATTTAGAGATGTGAAAGAGGTCAGTGAATATCATTTTCTCCTGCCTCTGAACTCTGGCTTTTCCAGGGGCAAGTCTGGGTCACCATCTGAAGTGTTGCTTCTCTTCTAAAATTACAGACATCTAAACTAAGCCCGTGTCATAAATCCTTAGGTCCAGAAGGACCCAGAAGGGCTACTGAGCCCGTCCCTGATGCTCCAGATAGGACCCTCTGGAATGACCCTTTGTGTTTGTTAACTGTCCCTGTCCACCCCATCCCCAGCTCCTTCAACTTCCCCCCGCCGCCCCACCTCGCTTTCCCCTTCTCACCACTGTGGGTAGGAGTGAAAGTGAGCCGCACCAGGGAGGGAAATCGCAAAGTGCCTTTTACCTTCTCTCTTAATCCTGAATGGTAAGAAAGTCTTCTTTCCTAACACATTAATAGTTTCAGCCGTGGTATTTTAGGTAAGCTGTGAAAGATTGGAAAGTGTTTTCTGTCGAGAAGAAATAATTATCCCTTTCAAAAAATTGTATATTCCAAACATCTTCTCTCTTTGTTAGGTTATTGAAAGTCTGCTATTTAAATAGTTATTTCCTGTTACTTATTAACTCAGAAAATTTTCTATATGGTTGTATTTGGGAAGATTTATTTAAAAGTTTTCTTTTAGAGTTAACATCAATAATCTGCATGTTTTCTACAGTGGAGGTGTTAATGTTGAAACATAAGAGAATGAACATACTCAGCGAATGGAAATCTTAACATCTAATCCAAAAAAGAAAACATCTGGAATAAACACCTTCATGAAAACTTTCATTTTCGACTTTTGTGTGGTTTCCTGAGCGTGATTCCCTGATCTAAGAGACTTTCTTATGCGAGGGAGAGAACTAAGAATTTCCTCTTGGCAGCATGTGATGAAGCTGGCTGCACCCTCCTTCCTGGGTAACTGTGTCTTTGATCCCCAGGACCCTTCTTGAGTTGGGTTTTGTCCTTCGCTGCCCCACTTCATCCTCTCAATCTCTAAATGTTGGGAGGCTGCAAAGCTCAGGCCTCCAACCTCTCTCTTCGCCCACTTAGTCCCACAGCTTTGTCTATAAACTGATAACTCACAAGTTGATCTGCAAACTTTACTTTCCCCCGAACGCAACGAATCATATATTAAACTGTGTATTCAGTGTTTTCATGGAAAGTTAGTGTGTGAGTCCGTTTCCATGCTGTTGATAAAGACATACCTGAGACTGGGTAATTTATAAAGAAAAAGAGGTTTACTGGACTCACAGTTCCATGTGGCTGCGGAGGCCTCACAATCATGGCAGAAGGTGAAAGGCACTTCTTACATGGCAGCAAGAGAGAATTTGTGCAGGGAAACTTCCCCTTATAAAACCATAAGATCTCGTGAGACTTATTCACTATCATGAGAACAGCATAGGAAAGACCCACCCTCATGATGCAATTACCTCTCACCAGGTCCCTCCCATGACAGGTGGGAATTCTGGAAGCTACAATTCAAGATGAGATTTGGGTGGGGACACAGCCAAACCATATCGGTCAGGTATCTTAGACTTGTTCAAAACCAAACCTTAAGTTTCTACCCTTACCTCTGAAAATGACATCACTATTCTTCCATTTGCTCAGGTCCAAGTCTTTGAGGTCATTCTTGGCTCCACTCTTAGTATCACACCTCACCAGACAGCAAGTCTTGTGGACTCCAGCTTCACCCACTTTTTGCCACCTGCACTGCTCTGCCTGCAGCCCATTCCTGGACCAGTGAGACAGCCTCTCCTTAGCCTCCCGGCCTTGGCCTGGCTCCTTGCTGGTCTCCTTCCACACAGCAGCAGGAGTGAGCCTTGCGCAGGGCCAGTCAGCTGTCTCACTTCTGTGGCCCTGTGGTCTTGTCACAGACTGGGTCAAATCCAGAGTCCTCCCCATTGCCCTGAATGAAGAAGGCTGGCTTCCTCTGCCACTCGGCCGTCTCTCCAGCACTCTCTCTCTCACTGGGTCAAGTGCATTGTTCTCCATGCACTTTGAGCTCACCAAACACACTTCCCCTTGGTGCCTTTGTACTAACTGAACACACTGCATAGCAAACTCTTCCTCCAGATACCTGAGGCTCAGGCCCTCCTGCATTCAGGACTGCTGGAGTGTATCCCTACCAACGGGTCTCCCCAGACTAACTCATGTGAAGTGGCATCCACTGCCTGTGACACCTGCTCTGTACCTTTATTTTACTGACCTTTATTTTTCTTCAAAACACTTATGATCATGTCACATTTATGATATTACTTTCTTGACTCCCTGTCTATAAGCATGTTGAAGGCAAGAACCTGGTTTGCTTTGTTCACTGTTGTGCTTCCAGGGTCTGCAGCAGTGTCTGGTACAGAGCTGCTGCTCAGTGAAGTTTTTCCGATGGGTGAATGAAGAGTTTGCTGCAATTCATTTGTACAAGATTAGGACTTAAAACTCCTAACGTGGGAATCAGCCTCAGTGACTTAGGGGCTGGAATTTTGAACTGGAATTAGTTAATGTTAGAATGTTAAGTTTTAGGAGGGCTTAGGAGAAAGGAAAATAAAAAACAGAGAAATGCTGCAAGAGACAATCAGAGCTGACGAATTACATTCAAAGTTTTGTCTCTTGAAATTTAAAGTCTTAAACGTCTAACAGTGCTAGCATGATTGACACTTGAATGTTCAAGTCAACCTGGAAAATAAAGAGTGTACCGAGATAAAAGTGTTTTGAATCGGGGAATGACATGAAGCAAGAAGTGTTTTAGGAAGATGGATGTACATGGGTTGGGTGGGGAGCGAGAGAGACCAGATGCTGGAGAGTGTGCCAGGGCCAGCCCAGGAGAGCCAGCCTGAGGCCACGAGGCCTGGGCCAGAGGAGGGACAGTTCTTGTGGGAACTCTTGTGAGAGGTGGATGGATATGACTCAAAGCTTGATGTGATATGGTGGCAAGGAAGAAGGGGACGTTAAGGAAGATCCAAGACTTTGAACCAGACTGAATGAATGACAGAAGCAGAGTTTGATGAGGAGGCCTTGGCCTTGTGGAGAGAGTACTTCATTCACTTTCCCATTGTCAAGTTTGGATTTGTGGAGGGAGCAGGAAATCCTCATGGAGATGTCTGGCAGGCAACCAGAGAAGCATGCAGCCACTGAGGAGGAGGAAGCCAGGCTAGAAAGGAGGACTTTCAGAGTTATTGGAACAGACAGGTATTTCAGAGGTGTTAAAGAATATAAATTAGAGAGAAAAACCTGGGGACATATTCATGATTGGGGTCAGGAAGAGAGTGTTTCTAAAAGGACCATATTGGTCAGGGGTGAATGCCCACTCATGAGGGAGGAGGGGAGGGAAAGCCCACCATTGGGTTCCGCAACTGAGAGGCCACTGGTGACCCCACAGTGTGAGCATTGAAGTCTGCAGAGTCTAAGCTACAAGCCTGCTTTCCTGAAGTAAGTTTAAAATATAGGAATAATTTTGTATTATATTTTAAGTTTATGTTTTAGATGTGCTTCCCTTGATAGCATTTTCAGAATGTTTAGGTTTATCTGTTTTTTTTCTCTCTCTCTCTCCCTCTGTCATCAATTCCTATGTCATAGGTTAAAAGGCTGTATTAGGCTGTTCTTGCATTGCTATAAAGAAACACCTGAGGCTGGGTGTGGTGGCTCACGCCTGTAATCCCAGCACTTTGGGAGGACATGGCAGGCAGATCACTTGAGGCCAGGGGCTCAAGACCAGGCTGGACGACATGGCGAAACCCTGTCTCTACTAAAAATCAGCCGGGCATGGTGGCCGGTGCCTGTAATCCCAGCTACTCGGGAGGCTGAGGCAGGAGAATCACGTGAACCCAGGAGGTGGAGGTTGCAGTGAGCTGAGATCGTGCCACTCCAGCCTGGGTGACCCTGTCTCAAAAAATAAATAAACACCTGAGACTGGGTGATTTATAAATAAAAGAGGTTTAATTGGCTCATGGGTCTGCAGACTGTACAGGACACATGATGCTGGCATCTGCTCAGCTTCTGGGTGGGCCTCAGGAAGTTTACACTCATGGCAGAAGGTGAAGCGGGAGCAGGTGCGTCACCTGCAAGAGCAGGAGTAAGGGTGGGGGGAGGAGCCACACACTTTTAAATGACCAGATCTCACTAGAACTCACTATCATGAAGACAGCACAAAGTCATGAGGGATCCTCTCCCATGGTCCAAACACCTCCCACGGGGCCCCACCTCCAGCATTGGGGATTACAATTCAGCATGAGATTTCCAAACTCTGTCAAAGGCAGAGCACAAGACAGTATCCCTTGGCATCTAAATTGATTATAAAGGAAGTTTCTTTCTTTACAGGGTTTCTTTCTAGCATGAACTTTTACATAGAACATGTTTTCTGATGGCCCCACTTTGTGTGTGTGTGTGCATGTCTACATACACAATCACCCACTATATAAGGATGTTTTGGTAAACAACAGACCCACATATATGATGGTGGTCACATAAGATTATAATACCATATTTTTACTGTAGCTTTCCTATGTTTAGATATGTTTAGATACACAAATCCTTAGCATTGTGTTACAGTTGTCTACAGTATTCCGTACAGTACCATGCTGTACAGTCTGTGGCCTGGAAGCAGTAGTCTATAGCATAAAGCCTTGGTATGTAGTAGGCTGGACCATATGGGTTTGTGTAAGTCCACTCTGTGATGTTCACACAACAATGAAACCAACTAGCAACACGTTTCTCACGTGTTTCCATTAAGTGACACACACGCATGCACATACACACACACACACACACACACTCACAAACACACATATACAGAGACAGAGAGAGGTTGCCCGATTGACTTTAAGGCACTGGCTCACGTGGTTGAGGAGGCCAGCAAGTCTGGAAACAGGCTAAGAGCTGTGCTGCAGCCGTGAGTGTGAATTTCTACAGAGCAGCAGGCTGGAACCTCAGCCAGTGTTTCCGTGTTTCAGTCTTGAGGAGAATTTCTTCCTCTTGGGAAAATCTCTGTGTTTGCTCCAAAGGCCTGCAGCTGATTGGATGACACATTATAGAGGGTAATCTGCTTTACTCAGAGTCCACTGATTTAAATGTTAATCACATTTTAAAAATACCTTTACAGCACCATCTAGACTGGTGTTCGGCCAAACAACTGGGCCTCATGGTCCAGCCTAGCTGTCTTATAGAGTTAACCATCACAGTGAGAAGGCAGTGGCTGTGATACCATGTGAGGGAGAAACTTTTGTTCCAAGGATTTGGTCCTTTATGTCAATCCTGTGTTTCTTCTTCTTCTTCTTTTTTTTTTCTTTTTTAGATAAGAGTCTCACTCTGTCACCCAGGGCTGGAGTTCAGTGGCGCAATCTCGGCTCACTGCAACCTCTGCCTCCCAGGTTCAAGCGATTCTGGTGCCTCAGCCTCCCAAGTAGCTGGGACTGCAGGCGCCCGCCACCATGCCTGGCTAATTTTTGTATTCTTAGCAGAGATGGGGTTTCACCATATTGGCCAGGCTCATCTTGAACTCCTGACCTTGTGATCCACCTGCCTCAGCCTTCCAAAGTGCTGGGATTACAGGCGTGAGCCACTGTGCCTGGCCAATCCTGTGTTTCTTTACTGACAGTTTCAATCGTATGCAGCCTGCCGGAGATCCTATTTTGAAGGGGAAAGGGGTTTTTCAATTCCAGAAAGAATAGGTTTGACTTTCTAAATTTTGTATCATAAGCATTATAGGCAATGCTTTAAATAGTTTACGAAGCTTAGTTTTTTTTTTTTTGAAAGCTTAAATTTGCTAGGTGAGGATTCATTGAACATAATTCCTTTTTTTTTAGTTCTATAAATGTTTTCAATGTATCTTTAAAATATACTGAACTTAATGTATCATTTTACAGTGTAATTTTCATTAGTAACATAAAACTTGATTAGGGTCATTTAAATTTTTTTTCTTCAAATACTCAGGACAATACATGTAGAATTAGAACTGGAGTAAAGACTAATAGTGTGAGCAGCTATCCCTTTCTCTACCCTTTTTCTTTCTTCCTTTTTTTTTTTTTTTGAGACAGAGTCTTGCTCCATTGCCAGGCTGGAGTGCAGTGGCAGGATCTCGGCTCACCGCAACCTCTGCCTCCCAGGTTCAATCGATTCCCCTGTCTCAGCCTCCCTAGTAGCTGGGACTACAGGTGCACACTATCATACCCAGCTAACTTTAGTATTTTTAGTAGAGACGGGGTTTCACCATGTTGGCCAGGATGGTCTTGATCTCCTGACCTCATGATCCACCCGCCTCGACCTCCCAAAGGGTTGGGATTACCCAGCCTTCTCTATCCTTTTTGTCTGGAGAGACAGACACAATTTCTCTGCTGTTTTAATCTGCTCTAGAACCAAAGGTAGAGTCCAGAAGAGTTCTGGGCTCTTCCATGATCCTTGCCACCAGGTGAAGCAGTGGCCTGCCTTCCTCTTCCTCTGCCTTTGGCCACCCCACAGTGCACCCATCCATTTACTTATTGATCGTTTTCTCTCTTCCCTTAGCCTTCAGTGGCTCTGCACAATGTTTCACCATTTCCTCGGCTGTTTCTAAAGAAGGGAACAGCTAGGTTTTCCACAGTGACCTGACTGCAGATTCCCTGGTATGCTTTGTAGCCTCTCTAAGTGCAAGGCTGGTGGGAAATTGCTCAGGTTCGACATGTCTCAAGATATTTTACTCAGATACTTACGAGAAGCATCTCTTTGGCCATTTCTACCCCCCCATCATCACCTTCTCATGCACAGTGCAGATACTGCCTGGCCAGGGTGGGGGTGGGAGAGAGACACAAAAGAAAACAAAAAATTGCTTTATTTGATGTTATCCTCCTGTGAGCATATAGACTGGTTCTGGGTATTGCAAAATGTATCGTGGCCCGGAAGTGGAGTGGCTTGTCAAGTTTTTCTTTATTAGCTAAAGGACAGGAATTGACAGGGAAATAATACAATTAATGGAGAAGAGTGAAGCATGTAAGTAGGGAAAGACAGAAATGTGGTCTCAGCTTCTTGAAACACAGTCTTCTCTGTAGAAATCTAGATTACTGTAGGTTGAGACTTTTAAGTTTACTACAGGGTCTCTAAGAGTCAGTTATTAGAAGTTAACATTGACTGGGTGCCATTAAATATCTCATCTCATCTGATGTTTATAGCTGCCCGATCATGTAGCCATTATAAATGGCAGCAAGTGGAAGCAGCTTGTCCCCGGTGCTCTATGTGAGTGAGGGCCCGGGGTTGTCTGATTCCTGAGATGACACACCAATCACTACACTAGACTATGCTACACTAGTCTACACTACACTAGACTACACTGCACTAGACTACACTACACTACACTGGACTACACTACACTACACTGGACTACACTACACTACACTAGACTACACTACACTAGACTATACTACACTAGACTATACTACACTACACTATACTACAGTACACTAGACTACAGTGCACTACGCTAGACTACAGTACACTACGCTAGACTACAGTATACTACACTAGACTACACTACACTACATTAGACTACACTACACTACACTAGACTACACTACACTAGACTACACTAGACTACACTAGACTACACTACACTAGACTACACTACACTAGACTATACTACACTACACTATACTACACTACACTACACTAGACTACACTACACTACACTATACTAGACTACACTACACCACACTACACTAGACTACACTACACTAGACTACACTACACTACACTACACCACACTAGACTACACTACACTACACTAGACTATGCTAGACTACACTACGCTAGACTACACTACACTAGACTACACTACACCACACTAGTCTACACTACACTAGTCTACACTGCACTACATTACACTACACTAGACTACACTACACTAGACTACACTACACTACACTACACGACACTAGACTACACTACACTAGACTATGCTAGACTACACTACACTAGACTACACTACACTAGACTACACTAGACTACACTACACTACACTACACCACACTAGACTACACTACACTACACTAGACTATGCTAGACTACACTAGACTACACTACACTAGACTACACTACACTAGACTACACTACACTAGTCTACACTGCACTACACTAGACTACACTAGACTACACGCTTCTCTCATATGAAGGAGAGACTAGCCCGCAGCCAGCCCATGCTCCTAGGGCTCTTTTAGTACCTATGTAACATTCATTTAATGCGCTCTCTCAACACATTTCATCGCTCACATTTCATTGGTAAGTTCACAGTTTTAGTTGCGACTCTCTTGTGAACAAGGTTTCTTACAAGAGGAGGGGAAGCTGTACAAATCACCCCTTTCTGGACACAGGGAGGGGACAGGAGAGAGGACGAGAGACAGAGCTGACTTCATTGCATGTCAGTACCAACTACCCCCTTGTTGGAGGCCTAAAACATTTTTTTTCTGGGGGGCCCTGAACCCCTTCTTTGAGGCCCTGCATATGGTAAAGGGCTGTGTTAAGTCCCGCTCCTGGATGGTGACCATTGTTTCCTTAATGTCTTGGTTTCTCCTGAAGGTGGGCGGGCCATGTCTGTGTGAACTGCAGCCTGGAGAAGAGGAAGGCTGATGGAGATGGTGGACACGTGGCCACCTCTGGAAATTCCCAAATGCCTCTTTCATGATTATTGAATGTGCCGGTTTGGGGTATGATACAGCATCAGGCTGTTAGTCTTTAGACCTAGGAATTGTTATCAGAGAGTGAATTTTCCCCATTTCTTTATTACCCTTGTAGCCTGCAAGTTAAATTCTTGTTACATTAACAGAGTAAAAAAAGAAAAAAAATCCCATTACTACACAATTATGTTGGATTGAGGGTTTCTTATGCATCAGCTTTTAGCAATGTAGCAAATATACATTTAAACAACACACATAAAATGTATACATATATTGAATACATATAGATTTCGTTTAATGACCTATTTTTGCTGTCAGAGAAGCAGTGTCACTAGATTCTTCTCTGCCTCTTTGACTGGACAATTTTTCTAACTTTTAGAGATGGAGTCTTGCTATGTTGCCCAGGCTGGTTTTGAACTCCTGGCCTTAAGCTGGGATTACAGGAGTGAACCACTGTGCCTGACTTCTCTACCATTTAATTAATATGTATAATCTGCTTGGGGGAAAAGAAGCCTTAATTTTTTGTGTGATCATTTCACTGTTGACACTTGACTTTACCACTGAGAGCCGTTAGAATAAATGTGTGTCCTCGAAGCTGAAGGTCAGTTGGGTTTACCCTGCTCTTATGATTGATGTTGTGTGTGATAACCTTTATCTTTGCTCAGTCCCAGTGATTTAGTCACATCTGCGTGCTGGGACTGACCAACTGGGACTTTCCTAGTCTTGGCACCACAAGTCCCACGTCCTGGCAAACTCCTTAGTCCCGAGTGGGCAGACTGGGATCAGTGTTCACCCTAATCGCAGTCTTTCCAACAAGCACCTCCCCAACGAGGTCTCCATTACTCCCACCTCCCCCACTTTAACACTCACTGATAATTTAATATTAATGGCCGATCAGATGTAAAGGCTTATTTTAATTGTTCATATTGCCCAGCTACTTGAGAGGCTGAAGCGGGAGAATCGCTTGAACCTGGGAGGTGAGGTTGCCTTGAGCCGAGATCCCGCCACTGCACTCCAGCCTGGGTGACAGAGTGAGACTCCAACTCAATTTTTTATTTTTTTAAATTCATATTGAACTTAAGAGTGTGGCACTTCGGTAGATGCAATGCGTAAAGCGGTCCCTCTTTCTGATTTTTAGGCATTGCTTACTTGGGTATGTGGCCTTTGCAAGGGTCACTTGTCTGATGGGTCAGGTGACAGGAAGTAACTCTTCCTTCGCTAAGAATGAATGGACATTTGGGCTTTTTTGTACTTACTCTTGTCCCAGAGCTTCTCCTGGCATTTCCATTTAAGGATGTTAAAGGTAACTACACAGGAGAAAGCACTGTGCATTTGAGGATATGCCAGTCTTTTCTTTCATTATTGAGAATATCTCTAGTATTAAGATGTATTTTCTCAAAGGTTTTCCCATAGCTTTGATTCTGGAACATCCAGTAAATAGCATTGACTCATTTTGCATGGATTCAAGAGAAGTTTGCCAGTGTAATTAAACAATATATATTTATTTTTAGTAAAATACACCAAGAAATTCTCTGTTCTCAAATTTTGGTTCCGAGTTTTAAATGTTTTGTGAAAACTGGTGGTGCACAGTGTCATGTGTGCCTTTGTCTTTGTTGAACAGAGATCAGCTCTAATTTTCATCTATTTGAGTACGAAACTGTAGTGCATTTTGAGTTGTTGGGCTCAGGAAAAACTGATTATAATAAGTTGTCTATGAATATGATAATTCATTTGTGCTAGAAGAAGCTAGTCTTTGAAACTCAGCGGATATATAATAATTTCCTTGTAGGATATTAATTTTGCATCCAAGCCAAGAGCGTTAACATGATATCGGCTTCTCCATATGCATAACCTGTACATTGTTTAATCTGACTAACACAAACTTTAGAAAAATCCACAAAAGATCACCCTTCCTTCAGGCTGTAGGCCTAAAAAAAACGTTTTTCTAAAGGAGTGACAGCTACTTGAAGGAAAACATGGATTTTTTTTTGAAAAGTGTTTTCCTACTGCCTGCCAAGGAGCAGCTACTTCATGAAATCATGCAATGGCTGCTGAAGACTGTTCCCTGGGGACTTACACTGTTTCTTGGCTAAATATGGTTAGGGAAGTTTCCTCCCTTTCTCACACAGGGACCTCTTATTTTCAGAATCGTTTTGTCAGTTGGTTCCTGGTAGGATTCTGGGTACGAAAGGAGATACACCGGGAGCTACTGCTCACGTTTAATTCTGTGGCCTTGCACCCTGTGTCATGCGAATAGGGCCAAGTAGGAGACGGAAACACAACCGACTCGGAAAATGCCTTCTGTGAACTTGAAAAGGAAAAAGAGGAATTAGGTTGAAACAACTTACTGGGAAGTCAGTACTTGCAAACTGTAAATTGGGCATAAAACTGAAAGAAGAAAATTCAAATTTGTGGGTAAAAAATCAGGGTGTTAAAATATTGAACGTGAATCAATAAAAATAGATTTAGCTTTATTTCCCTCCGTTTTGGCCTTCAGGGTGTGGATTCATGCATTCCCCTGCAATGCTGCAAACCCAATCAGAACATGAGGTTAGATCATAGGAACCAGAAAATGAAAGTGACCACAGGCAGGGCTGACATGGTGCAGACTCACAGTGGATGCTGTGTGACGGCTGAGAGAAGCAGCGGGAGTGTGAAAAGACATGCGAATTTCAGTAAAATAAACTAGGTAGTAACTGAGTAAAATTAATTATCTAAACTGACCAAATAACTTATTATTATGGATAAATTATTACTTTATAGAAAGGACTTTTGAAATAAAACTTACTTTAAATATTTCAATATGTCATTTTTAAAAGAACCTCAGACTCACAAATCTAATGATTTATCATTTAAAAAGTTTCTTCTTTTAAAAAACTCAATAAAGTGAAAATATCCCATTGCTTTCATCATCACCTGATCATCTTTGCCTTTTGCTTCTGTTTGTCACACGTAGAAAAATGCAGACTTATTTTCATCACTTTGGTATTAGAAATATTTTTCAGAGTTTGTTGAGAGTATCTGAATAAAATGTGTTTCTAGAAAACCGACATTGAAATTGATAGGATGTACATAATTGTTATGATTCAGTAAACTTATCAAATGTGATTTATCTAAAAATAATGAATGGAATTGAATTAGTTATTTTACATGTATTTCTTTTCTTTTCTTTCTTTCTTTCTTTCTTTTTTTTTTTTCTGAGATGGAGTCTTGCTCTGTCACCCAGGCTGGAGTGCAGTGGTGTGATCTCGGCTCACTGCAACCTCCGCCTCCTGGGTTCAAGCAATTCTCCTGCCTCAGCCTCCTGAGTAGCTAGAATTACAGCTGCCCGCCACTGTACTCGGCTAATTTTTGTATTTTTAGTAGAGATGGGGTTTCACCATGTTGGCCAGGCTGGTCTCAAACTCCTGACCTCGTGATCTGCCCGCCTCGGCCTCACAGAGTGCTAGTATTACAGGCGTGAGCCACTGCGCCTGGCCTATTTTACATGTATTTCTATAAATTCTGCCCAATGGGTTTAACACTTCACTTGGATTCTTATTACTTTTTCTTTTTTTTTTTTAATTGAATGCCTCCTACACTCAGCATTCCTTACTTCTATTTGATCAGGAGAGTCAGTGAGACTGTCTGAGGATTTTAAAATGTTCTCTCCATTTTGTGCCATTTAATCAGCCATTCTGATTTTTTCTGAGTGTCTATGTGCCAAGAACTCTGCTAGATGCTGGAAATACAACAGTGAACAAAATAAAGATAGTCCTGGTGTCCTGAGAGGATACAATGAGAACACTTAATGCAGGCTTGCTGTGTTGGGGAAAATCTTTGCTGAAATTAATCATATTAAAGTGAGGCTTAAATGGCAAGTAAGAGTTAACCAGGCTGGGATGGAGATAGCATTGCAGGAGGGTAGATGTTCTAGAAGAGGAGGGAAGTGGCGTGTGAGGACAGACGTGAGAAGCACGCATGATGTGTTGCTGGAGCTGGACATCAATACCTGTGTGCTTGGAGTTATCCTAGGAAGGTGAGTGGTTGGATGTGAAGCTGAAGAGGTGACTTAGGGGTCAGATTTTTGGAGGTTTTATGAGCCATATTAACAGTTTTGACTTTATCCAAAAATGGTGAGGATTGACTAAAGATTTTTAAGGATGAGTATGGGGAATAACATTAAATTTGCGGTTTACAAGGATTACTTTGGCCGTTAGAAATAGTGGTTTTGAGGAACAAAACTGAAGAAGGCAGGGAATAGTCAGTAGAGTGGTGGACTAAACCAGCAAAGTGTTTAGGAGCTAGTGACTGACAAAAGAGGTCAAAGTAAGTGGAAATGTTTGCGAGATGTCTGAGCCGCATAATTAGCACAACTTGGTGCTTAATGGTTGCACACGGCAGAAGTGGGAGCAGGGCAGCGTCCCAGGCTGGCCTCCAGTTTTGGGTGTGGGCAGGTGGGTGAATGATGCGTGACTGTCAGCGAGAAGGGGAATGGAGAAGGAAGGAAGGGCTGGTTTCGGGAGGGAGATGTTCAGTTTTGAGTCAATAGATTTTGAAGTATTTGTTGGACAGATAAGATACAGCAGGTTGGTATTAGCAGTTAATGTTGGAGTCTGAAGGTGGAGAGGGAAATAAGGGCTGGAGTATAGTTGTTAATTAAAGTATTACTCTATCTTTAACTTTTATATTGCTATTCAGAAGAGGAATTCAGTGCTACATATTGACAATCACTTAGGTAATTTCACACTTAGTTTTGAAAAATAGTGTTTTATTATTATTGTTTTTTGAGACAGGGTCTTGCTCTGTCACCCGGGGTGGAGTGCAGTGGTGCAGTCTTGGCTCACTGCAGCCTCAACCTCCTGGGCTCAAGGAATCCCCCCACACCTTAGCTTCCCGAATAGCTGGGACTATAGGTGCGTACCACCACGCCTGGCTAATTTTTGTATTTTTGTAGAGATGGAGTTTTGCCATGTAACCCAGGCTGGTCTCGAACTTCTGAGCTCAAGCAATCTGCCCATCTTGGCCTCCCAAAGTGCTGGGATTACAGGGTGAGCCACCACACCTGGCCAAATAATAGTGTTTTATAACCTCTGAAATTCTATGGCTTCCTCCGTGTCCCCAAACAGGCAATTTCTTGATTATCATCAAGTATTTGGTCAATTGAATACTGGATTATGGAATGTGATACATTAAAAAAACCTGAACACATGCAAAAAAGTATAGAATTACTCTTTTAAAGGCAGTTGCTATTGGAAAACTAATATAACCTTTTGTTTTATCATGTAATTCAAGGGATAGAATCAAAATAAGGGATTTGTTTTCTAGTTTAAAGTATGCCTATGTGAAGGAAAATTGGTTAAAATAAAAAATAAACTATCCTCTAGATAAAGAGAACTTATCCTTTTCTGTTCAAGGTTTTAAATATTTGATGTGTCAAATTTGAATGTATTTTCATCTATAAACATTGTTTCTGACTGCAAATTTAATAAAGGACTCACTAATAGTTCTTATGTTATTTATGAATCACATTTTTGAATTTATGCCCTATTAGTTAAAACAGTAAGATTTTGGTTTTTGGTGTGTTGATAGGTTTATAGTTACTCAAGAAAGATATGTGGTGAGACGAGACTGTCTTGCTGGAAAAGATATGTGGTGAGGCGAGACAGTCTTGCTGGAAGAGATATGTTTTGCATTATTTTGGTATTGTTTCTTGAAGTATACTTTAATTTGCATTCATCTCAACATGAGACAAAAATATGGCTGGGCGCAGTGGCTCACGCTGGTAATCCCAGCACTTTGGGAGGCAAAGCAAGTAGATCACCTGAGGTCAGGCTTCTGAGATCAGCCTGGCCAACATGGCAAAAACCCGTCTCTACTGGAAAATACAAAAATTAGCCGGACATGGTGGCGGGCGCTTGTAATCCCAGCTAATAGGGAGGCTGAGGCAGGAGAATCGCTTGAACCTGAGGTTGTGGTGAGCCGAGATTGTGCCACTGCGCTCCAGCCTAGGTGACAGAGTGAGACTCCATCTCAATAGAAAAAAAAAAAATCTGTGTTTATTTCTCACATCATTTTCTAATGTGAGGACTGTTTTAAAAGTGTATGGGATTAAGGAGCAGAGCATTCCTGATGTTTGCTTATATTTTGTTGGGTTGGGGAAGGGAATGAAAGAAAAGATCCTCCCCTAGGGTTGCCATAGTTTGGAGTAATAGGAGAATAACAAATGTTTTCCATCAAAAACAGACTTTCTCTTATTCTCTGAGCAATATATATCTCATTTGGTCTAGATAACATTTATGAAAGTCAATTTAGCATGGATGGGCTTCTGTAGATACTTGTCGTTAATAATGATTGTTCACTATACAGTGATGTTTTTTAAACCCTAAGTGAAATTTGAGTTGTCTTTTGCATGTGGGTAACATATGTGTTTCAGCACAAGGGAGATGAGGATGTATGAAGTGTGTAAAAGAAGCAGGGAAAGGTAGTGTCCAATACTGGCAACCAGTGAAGTTGTTTGAGGTTATTACTGATGACAGTATACTTTTCAAATTGAATTTGGTAAATTGCTTCACTGGCTGAATAAGAGAGTTGATTCTGAACGAAGGAGATCAAACCTGAACAGTACATTATCTTCATTATACTTATGGTTGTATGCAATAAACATAACTTTTCTAATCCAAATATTGTGGCAGACTATCTTACAGAAAATTGTATTTGTGTATATGAAGGATTTTCCTATGTGTTTTGAAGGAAATGAAAATGTGTAATGGCTACAGCAGTGATACTGATAGGCTAGCAGGCAATTGATTGCTCAGAGGTTAAGTTGAGAGAGAGAGAATTCTCTGGACCATAGTCATTATTCCTTATTCACACTCCATTCAGCTTTCCCCGCCCCTTCTGGGCACAGCCTCAGATCTTGTGCCGTTTTGGAAGGCACACGGTGTGGCCCTGGTACATGCTTGTATCCACTCATTGAGGTCTGGGATTCCACCATGGTAAGGCTCATCAGAGCCCTTCCTCAGGACTGGCAGGAGGACACCCAGAGAAGCAGTTCTAACATTTCACTGTGGTTGGTAAGCAGGGGAGGACATGTTTTCAGTCCTGGTTGGAAGTCAGCTTATCAGTCAGGACAGGTGAGGTTCTAATTCAGTAACAAGTGCTATGAAATTCTCAATGGCTTAGTACAACAATTATGTATTTCCTTTTCATACACAGTTTGCCACAGGTCCAGGTGACTCCTTCATGGGTCAATAAATTACTTTTTGTTTTTTTGCTTGTTAGTATGAATTGGGCTTTTGTTTCTTGCAGTCAAAAGGATCTTTTGAAAAACAAATGTATTGGAATTTTATTCAGTGGAAAGAAACACTATTTTGAGAGAGACAAGCAGAAGCAAGGGCTAGGAATAGCATTAGGATTTGCTTTAAAGCTGACGTAGACTCGCAACTCTCCCGATTGGAAGGCTTTTAAGGTAGACTAGTAGTGCTCCTTATTTTATAGAGAAGAGAGCTGAGGTGAGGTAATTTGCAGAGAACTTAGGCTGCTTGCTAAAGGTCACATGGGAATTTAAGGACAGGGACTTAAACCAGAAAAAGATTTCTGATTCTTTGTGCAGTGTGATCTTTCTATTGTTTTATGGTTTCTCATACATAAAGGTGGAACTTATACAGAAAAGTTTTGAAGGCCACTTTTTCTTAAGGCATTTAAAGGAGACGAGAGATGTCCATGAGGTTGGCCATCACAGTGGGCTCATTGCCTACAAGCTGGGCATTGTGTTAAAAAGTTCCACAAGTTATCATTTATGGGAGCAAAAGCAATATTTTCTAGCCAGTTTTCCCAGTGCCATTTGTTAAATAGGGAATCCTTTCCCCATTTCTTTCTTTTTTTTTTTTTTTTTTTGAGACGGAGTCTCGCTCTGTCACCCAGGCTGGAGTGCAGTGGCGCGATCTCAGCTCACGGCAAGCTCCGCCTCCTGGGTTCACGCTATTCTCCTGCCTCAGCCTCCCAAGTAGCTGGGACTACAGGCGCCTGCCACCATGCCCAGCTAGTTTTTTGTATTTTTAGTAGAAATGGGGTTTCACCATGGTCTCGATCTCCTGACCTCGTGATCCGCCCACCTTGGCCTCCCAAAGTGCTGGGATTACAGGCGTGAGCCACCGGGCCTGGCCGTTTCCCCATTTCTTGTTTTTGTCAGGTTTGTCAAAGATCAGATAGTTGTAGATGTGTGGTATTATTTCTGAGGGCTCTGTTCTGTTCCATTGGTCTATGTCTCTGTTTTGGTACCAGTACCATGCTGTTTTGGTTACTGTAGCCTTGTAGTATAGTTTGAAGTCAGGTAGCATGATGCCTCCAGCTTTGTACTTTTGGCTTAGGATTGACTTGGCAAAGCGGGCTCTTTTTTGGTTCCATATGAACTTTAAAGCAGTTTTTTCCAATTCTGTGAAGAAAGTCATTGGTAGCTTGATGGGGATGGCATTGAATCTATAAATTACCTTGGGCAGTATGGCCATTTTCATGATATTGATTCTTCCTATCCATGAGCATGGAATGTTCTTCCATTTGTTTGTGTCCTCTTTTATTTAGTTGAGCAGTGGTTTGTAGTTCTCCTTGAAGAGGTCCTTCACATCCCTTGTAAGTTGGATTCCTAAGTATTTTATTCTCTTTGAAGCAATTGTGAATGGGAGTTCACTCATGATTTGGCTCTCTGTTTGTCTGTTATTGGTGTATAAGAATGCTTGTGATTTTTGCACATCGATTTTGTATTCTGAGACTTTGCTGAAGTTGCCTATCAGCTTAAGGAGATTTTGGGCTGAGACAGTGGGGTTTTCTAGATATACAATCATGTCGTCTGCAAACAGGGACAATTTGACTTCCTCTTTTCCTGCTTGAATACCCTTTATTTCTTTCTCTTGCCTGATTGCCCTGGCCAGAACTTCCAACACTATGTTGAATAGGAATGGTGAGAGAGGGCATCCCTGTCTTGTGCCAGTTCTCAAAGGGAATGCTTCCAGTTTTTGCCCATTCAGTATGATATTGGCTGTGGTTTGTCATAAATAGCTGTTATTATTTTGAGAGATGTCCCATCAGTACCTAATTTATTGAGAATTTTTAGCATGAAGGGCTGTTGAATTTTGTCAAAGGCCTTTTCTGCATCTACTGAGATAATCATGTAGTTTTTGTCTTTGGTTCTGTTTATATGCTGGATTGCGTTTAGAACCTAGGCAGTACCATTCAGGACATAGGCATGGGCAAGGATTTCATGTCTAAAACACCAAAAGCAATGGCAACAAAAGCCAAAATTGACAAATGGGATCTAATTAAACTAAAGAGCTTCTGCACAGGAAAAGAAACTACCATCAGAGTGAACAGGCAACCTACAGAATGGGAGAAAATTTTTGCAATCTACTCATCTGACAAAGGGCTAATATCCAGAATCTACAAAGAACTCAAACAAATTTACAAGAAAAAAACAACCCCATCACAAAGTGGGTGAAGGATATGAACAGACACTTCTCAAAAGAAGACATTTATGCAGCCAATAGTCACATGAAAAAATGCTCATCATCACTGGCTATCAGAGAAATGCAAATCAAAACCACAATGAGATATCATCTCACACCAGTTAGAATGGCAATCATTAAAAAGTCAGGAAATAACAGGTGCTGGAGAGGATATGGAGAAATAGGAACACTTTTACACTGTTGGTGGGACTTTAAACTAGTTCAACCATTGTGGAAGACAGTGTGGCGATTCCTCAGGGATCTAGAACTAGAAATACCATTTGACCCAGCCATCCCATTACTGGGTATATACCCAAAGGATTATAAATCATGCTGCTATAAAGACACAATCACATGTATGTTTACTGTGGCACTATTCACAATAGCAAAGACTTGGAACCAACCCAAATGTCCAACAATGATAGACTGGAATAAGAAAATGTGACACATATACACCATGGAATACTATGCAGCCATAAAAAAAGGATGAGTTCATGTCCTTTGTAGGGACATAGATGAAGCTGGAAACCATCATTCTCAGCAAACTATCGCAAGGACAAAAATCCAAACACCGCATGTTCTCACTCATAGGTGGGAATTGAACAATGAGAACACTTGGACACAGGAAGGGGTATATCACACACTGGCGCCTGTTGTGGGGTGGGGGAGGGGGGAGGGATAGCATTAGGAGATATACCTAATGTAAATGACGAGTTAATGGGTACAGCACACCATCATGGCACATGTATACATACGTAACAAACCTGCACGTTGTGCACATGTACCCTAGAACTTAAAGTATAATAAAATATATATATATACATGTATATATATGCACATATATATACATATATACATATATATATACATATATATACAAGAAAAGCAATACTTGCATTAGAATAACTGTTCGTAGAATAATATGAGTCCTGGGAGAGACATTGTGGCATCATCTCATCATGCAGCTCAGAGTCATGTGGGTCGTTCCCCTTCTGTTCTCTGCAAACTCAGCGGAGGACCGGAGACTTGGGTGTGATAGGGTGACATTGACATTGTCGGGGATTTCAGGGCCCACTTGAACCTCAGATCTGGATTCTGGATTGTAGCAGATACACAGGTGATGTAGAGCTGTCTAAAGTTGATGCTGTTAAACACGTGCTGCATTTCATCCTTATAAACTGAATGAATCTCCAAAATGTTATCCAACTCATTTGGAGACACATTTCACATACATGAAACTCTATTCACGCTGCAGCTGCCCAGCGTCAGTCTCTGAAACTTGTAGTCTTGGTATTTAAATACAGTTATGTGTCGCTTAATGATAGGGATACCTTCTGAGACATGCATCACTAGGTGACGTCCTGATGGTGTGAGTATCACTGAGTGCACTTAACAAACCTAGATGGTACAGGCTGCCACACACCTAGGCTCTGTGTGTGGCCTACTGCTCCTAGGCTACAATCCCTATGCAGCATGTCACTGTACTGAATACTGCAGGCAGCTGTAACCAAATATATCTGAACATAAAAAGGTAATGTGTTGTGCTATACCATTAGGAAGGCTACTGCGTCATCAGTCAATAAATATTTTTAAGCTTCGTTATAATATTATGGGACCATCTCATATATCTTTGGTCGCTTGTTGACCAAAACATCATTACGCTGTGCATGGCTGTAATTGCAGCTAAAGCATTGCTGTCCAAATTAACTCAAGGCGTTGGGTGTGTAGTACATGCTCATTGTGCAGACGAGACCTGTGCACCATTAGCACCATCAGGTCCTGCAGTCAGTGGATTTCTTAAAGTTCAATACGTTCTTTTAAAAAGTGAAATAAGTATTCTGAAAGCATTTTTAACGAAACCACTTCTAAGTTGGGAAGCAAGAAAATAGATAAAACATGACAATAATTATGACAAGGTAACAACAGAATAAGTATATGAGGATAAATGTATATATTATATTGGAATATGAAGAGCCCTAAGTTGTTGCCAGAGTGAACCTATTCACTTATCATATTGATCATCTGGGCTCCCACCCCTCTTATGATTAGTAATAGAGCAGAAAAGTCCTCAACAACCTGACTCAGCCTGTTCTTCCACCTAAGCCCCTGCACGCACTGCACGCACTCCATGGTCCAGTCACACCAAGCCGCAGATGCTTTTCCTCATACTTGATTTACTGTTTTATCTGTTGACCTTTTTTACAATTTTTGTGCCTACCCTAAGCCTTTCTCCTACTTGCTATACCTGGTACACTTACCTCCTCTTAAGAAATGTTTCCCTGTTCCCACTATAGTCATTAGTGATGTGGTATTTCTGGTTTTCCTCCTGGGTATGAGGTAAGATTGCAAGTTTATGATGTGAGTTGCTTTGATCAATAGCAGGTGGAAGGAAGCGAGGTGTGTTACTGACTCGTGGAAGTTTTTAATAGGCGACGCTCACTTTCCCACGCTCCCATCCCCTGCTGTGGTAGCCAGTGCTGTTCTGCATGGTGTTTGGTCTTGCATTCCTGAGTGAGAACAAGGTAGAGGAAGGAGACTCCTCAGAACTTTATGCATGTGGACAGTGAGTGAAAAACAAATCCTGTGTGTTTTCAGTTACTAAGATCCTGGGATAGTTTATTATCTCAGCAACACTTAGCCCTGACGGACTGACACATGCCCCTCTTATGAGCTTCTCTTTCCTCAGTGTTATTGTAATTGTTGGTAGCATTTTTGAGAACTTACTGTGCCCTAGACTGTGTGCCTGGTGCTTTATTTCTGTTTTTTTTTTTTTTTTCGCTTGTTCGTAATGTTAATAATTTGCTCAAGGTCAGACTGTGTGACTCCTAATGACTGCGCTCTCCCCAGCTCCCTTGCCTGCGTTACTCAACAAACATCCCCACGCACCTGCTGCGTGCCCAGCTCTGTACTAGGTCTGAGGATCAAAAGATGAATCAGAAATAATCCCTGTCCATGAGAAAATAAGGATATTATAGGGAGAAACAGAAATTCAAGCCAGTGCGTATGATGACATATTAATAAAGGTTGTACAGCACAGTGGGTGCTAGAAAGATTTAGAATCAAAACCTGTCTCTTTCATTATGTGGTCTTGGACAAGTGTCTCTCTCCCCACTCTCCAACCTTTCTGACTTCTATTCCAAAAATGGGGACATTTGTAACTTTTATAAGATGTCGATGGCCACCTACCTGAAAACAGTAGTAGCATTGCATGCGCCGAAGCATTTGAAGCCACAGGCACTCAACAGCCTGCCACAAATGACAGTTTGTGTGTGGTTTCCGTGTTGCTTCAGTGGAAGATTCACCGAGAGCACAAAGGAAGGAGCCAGAAACTTGCTTGAGGGAAAAGGAGCAGAAAAGTTATATGGAGGAGGAGGTGGTGTTTGACTTGAGTTCTTAAACAGAAGTAATTTTAACTCTGATTGGAGGACAAGGGCAATACATTCCAGGATAAGGGAAATAGCATGAACAAACTGTGAAACATTGGGAACTACAGGAAACTTATTTTTAGAACAGTGCAGAGCACAGTTGGAGAAATGGTGGGAGAAGTGCTGTGCAGGTGCCACGGGCAGTCCCAGCCCCCTGAATGCGACTGCACAGGCCATTCGGAACGAGTGGAAGGGCTCATTCTGAGCTGTGACTTGTTGGTTTTTTTTGTTTGTTTGTTTTTTGTTTTGTTTTTTAATATGGGTTCTGGAAACACGGAAGCAATGTCAAGGATTGCCAGGAGTCACAGATGAAAGGAAGGAAGCCAACTGGTGGACCGCTGTAGAGAGAGATGATGAAGGCTTAAATTCAGGCAGAGGAGATGGAAAGAGAACAGGTATGAGCAAAATGAAGCAATGAAATTTGATAAAGACATATTCCGGTGGTAAAATGTAAAGAGTGAGGCAAAGAAGGGGGTTCAGGAGAGCTACCACACTTCTAATGTGGTGACTGGAGGGTTGTTTGTAATAGAGCTTGAGAGTAGAGAAAGTTTATTTTTTTAGTTTTTGTTTTTTAACTGTCAAGTTTTCTGTGTAGGAATTATTCACTTTAAAAACTCAAACAATGTGGAAAATCTTCAAAGTAAGCTAAGAAATTCCACTACCCACATATGACCCTGTTAGCTTTTTTCTTCTACACTGAAATCCACATGTATGTGTAATGATCATCTTAAACAGAATGGTACCTTTAGCAGCTTCCTTTTGTATTTAGTAACATAGCGCAAGCAGCCCTCCAGCTTTCCACTGAAGTACCTAAGAGATCTGCTTTACGCCTTAGTGTAAAAGGATAAGTAGTATCCCATTCCATGTAGGATGTTTCCGGTTATTTCTTTATATCTACTTTTACAAGTAATGTCATCCAGGACACTCTTGTGTAGCTATCTCTGCATGCTTTTGACAGTATAGTAACACTTTTTTTTTTTTTTTTTAACAAAGAGAGTAAGTGCAGTCTTGTGCATGTAGCTTCTCAGGTAGCTTGTGGACACTCACGTGGGCATGTCACCTACTCAGCTGGACCAGAAGGGGCTGATGTCAGCTAGTCAGCTGGACCAGAAGGATGAACTGGAGCTGAGTATTTGTGGGGTATCAAAATGTGAATGGTACTCGAAACTATCGCCAATGATTCACTTATTGAAAGTATTTATTGGTGGGGGTCTGCTGTTTGCCAGGCGCCGTATTATCCTTGGGGATACAATGGTCCGTAACCTCCCAGCGCTTTACTACAGACCCATGAAGACGAATGAATAGTCATAAACAAATTTACTGTTAAGAGTTTACTGATAAAATACATTTGCTGATAAAGGTTACAAATGAGAAGAAATGGGTGTTAGGATGGAACCTAATTTTTAGACTTGGTGGCAGAGGAAGGCCTTCCTATTTCTTTGTTATATATTTTTCTTGGCTAATCCTAAATATTTTCTTTATGTACATATCTTGATTGTTACACTTTCTATGTGTCCTAGAAGGAGCATGGTTTGTAAGCATTGACTTAAACAAGTGGAAATAGCTCCAGTTTGCATGATCAGTCCCATGGTTTTAGTTCCTGCTTCAGCAAATTGAGGGTGGGTATTCAGTTGTTGCATATACCACCTTTTATTCATCCGTTCCCTAGTGGATAAATATTTAAGTTAGTGCCAATTTTTTGTTGTTGTAAAAAATACCAACTTCAGAAATAACACATACGTCATTGAACTTGCCCCCTTTCTCTCCATTTTCAATACCATTAGGGGTCATTGTGCCCATGACTGTGGTGAAGTCGCTCTGCGCATAGGACACAGAGCATGGGCCCTCCCCAGAGTCCTCACTGGGACGCTGCTCCCCTCCCAGATTCTCTGCCAGGGGCTTTCATCTGAGCCACTTAGGAGAGACTTAAAGGTACCTCAGGAAATAACAGTGTATCTTAAGAACCGAATGCTTTCGGGAAGACTTCCCTCTGTTACTCAGAAGCCTTTTATATAGCTATTTCCTATGTTTTCACTACAGTGCCTTTCAGCTACAAAATGAGTTGTTAGAAGTGTCATTTTTGCTGTTAAATATTATTTCTGTGATTCTATGTTTTCACTGTTTCCTGCTTACTAACATGTGTGTTACAGTGGCCTTGACCTTATATCACTAAAGGACAGTGCTAAAATAACGATAAAGCACCAGTGAGATTTTAAGGAGTTGCTAGGGGATACAACTGCAGACGTCTCTTGCAGGGGTTCCTCAACATGGCTGGATGGCAGAATTGTATGGAGGAGCTTCATGGCCCCTATTGTACGTTTACTCATGCAGAGTCTTTGGACAATATATTTTCTAAAAGATGCCCGTGGCTTGCCAAAGTTGGTTTCAGATATATTTGAAAAGGAGGTGCATCATTAGTAACTACTTTTGCTATTTTTTAAAAAATAAAATTTATTTTTACTTCTTATTTTCCCTCTTCTAAAATTTAACCTAATTTTGCTTTCGTATTGTGGGGAAAAGAACTCTGATGTTACATGAAGAAAATGTAATACAAACTAGGTTAGATTTTATGTAGTCTGTCTAGCATAGAACAATAATTATTGCCAACAGGACAGAATGGGATGAAATGTTGTGGTGGTAGATGAGGCTCTTCAGTGATAGGACTCTTTGGTTTTAAGGACTTTGAGAGGTGGCCGTCTTCTTATAAACTATCATCAAGTAGGTAGGCATGAGGTGTGAGACCCTCCTGAGCCTCACACCTGTACAAGGTATGATTTAGGACCACTGGATTTTTGTGGGACTTGATCTTTTTATCATATGGGTGCCCTGTTTATGGAAAATAATACAAAAGTACCTTTTTCAAATTTCACAAAAATGTGATAATGTGAACTCATCACCGAGGTCATTCCCAGGACCTTGGAAGGGGCCTGTACACATGCTGGGCCCTGAAACTTCATGGTATATCTGCTTCATGGTATATAGCTTCATGGTATATCTGCCTATTCTCCTGCCCAGAAATGTTGTTCCCGCTCAGTTTCTTTGGTGACTGAAATTGCACATGTGGAAGGGCACTCTGGTGCTACATTTCTTTCTCTAGAATCGAAGTTCCCCGAGAGAGACCGAAGGGAGACATGTGGATTATTCCCCAGAGTCCACTCACACGGGCTGGTAGCTGCCTCCTAGGGCTCTTGGTTGAGAAAGAGGCATGAGAAAGATTGGGGTGGGCCAAGGCAGGATTAGAACTAGGAAGACAGGAGGGAGACAGTGGGGATCAGCGGGGCTTGTTTCCTGTTGCTGCCGTTTGTTACCTGTGCCTGAGGTTGCAGCGTGCCTTACTTGATTGATTTGTGGCCTCACTTTCTGCTGCCACTGTCCAAGCCCATGGAGAATGCTGAGGCTGGGGACTAGTGAAAACAGAAATGGACAGTGGGACAGGGAAGAAAAGGGCTGAATGAAAAGACTGACCCAAGGACAAACTTATCTTATTAACCTGTTTTGCTTAGTATATCCTGATCTTAGTCTCTGTTTTAAAATATATTGGTTACAAAAAGGATTTTTCCCATGGCTCTTTGTCATCTGGCATAGAACAATAATTACGGCCAACAGGGCAGGGTGGGATGAGATGTTGCGGTGGTAGATGAGGCTCTTCTGTTATGCGACTCTTTATATTTTTAGGGACTTTGAGAGGAGGCTATGTAATTATAAACTATAATTAATTAATTAGATATGTATGAGGGACCCTAATGATTCTTTAATGTACCCAAGAGCAAATAAATGAAAACTTCAGAAAGCAGAAGAGAACCTCCCTGACTAATCTATGTGAATTTCGAGAAACACTAAGTAGTTACCTGTTAGCAAGTTCTTAACACGAAAACTTCAGGGGGCTGTGGCATCTAAAGATTAGGAAATCTTGAAAATAATTACTCTTGTGAAAGGAATTTAAAGGACAGGGCAATTGGATCTTAAAAGTATGGGAGTCTACCAATTCTTTCATTTCTCTACCTCATAGGGCTGGTATAAGTATTTCATATTACAATGCTGCTAAGTCACATAAAACACGGCATAGTACACAGCAGGCACTGAATAAATGTTAGCAAATTATGTGTAATATAAAACTGTAAAAAATGTAATTGTTATATTTGGGTAGCTAGAGAAAAAAATACTTCAGTCATATCATATTAGTCCATTTTCACACTGCTGATAAAGACATACCCGAGACTGGGAAGAAAGAGAGGTTTAATTGGACTTTCAGTTCCACGTGGCTGAGGAGGCCTCAGAATCATGGCAGGAGGTGAAAGACACTTCTTACATGGTGGCAGCAAAAGGAAAAATGAGGAAGAAGCAAAAGTGGAAACCCCTGGTAACCCATCAGATTTCATGAGACTTATTCTCTATCATGAGAGTAGCACGGGAAAGACCAACTCCCATGATTCAATTACCACCCCCCTGGGTCCCACCCACAAACTTGGGAATTCTGGGAGATACAATTCAAGTTGAGATTTGGGTGGGGACGTAGCCAAACCATGTAACATATTTAAACCTTTGACCACTGGACTTAGCTAATCTTGCTTCCAACATCAGATATGTTTAAAGAATTTGGTGCTTATTTGTGAGTCAGGAATGGAGGGAAGAGTGCAGGAACAATTTTTGAAAATACCACTGTCTGACTTGATACAATCATGTCAGAGTAGTTAAAAGGAGTTTAGCAGGTCCTTCAGGTCCTGCTGAGGGCAATTACTTTGTGTCCTTGACAAAGCAGTCTCAAGGCCGTTATACAACACATACTGTGGGAGTGAAAGGCTGATGAGGAAAGCTGCAAATGTAAATCTGCCGGTAGGGAAGATCACTGAGACACAGAGAGAAACATCAAGTGAGGAAGTCAATGCCGGAAAGGTGACTAGATGCTGCTGGGGTTAAAGGGAGAGAGGAAGAGGCTTGGCTGTGCAACAGTGAACCTGGAAGAAATATATGCTACCCTGGACGTGAAAGGACACGTCAGAACATTTACATGTGTATGTGTATGTGCGTGCACAGCCACACACACACAATTTGGTTTCTTGAACAGAAAGAAGCAAGCGTCCTCAAAAGACAACCCACTTTCTCATTGGGTTCAGTTGGAACTCTGAGCTTCAAACCTGACTTTACAGAGAACTCATTCACTCCATTTTCCTGGACAATCGTCCTTCAGAGCCCTGCCCTGGCTGGCCACTCTCCCTCTCCCGGGTGGTAAGCATCTTGGAAGGGCTGCAGGCTGTTTTGGCAGTGTGTCCCCAGCATGCAGCCCTGAAAAACGAGTGCGTCTTTCTGTGGTTTGTGGGATCCTCGGAGGAGGAGTGAAGGTGATTATAATGTGTCAGATTCTCATTTGGGGTGGGAAGTGTTGATTTGACAGAGATGAAAGCCTTTGGCTGGGGAGGGGTGTGTGAGGTGCGGTGTGGCGAGGATTCCCCGGTCGGACTGTGATGTCAGTGGCCCCGGAGGGAACAGCTTGCACTCAGCCTTGAGCAGTTGGAATCTGTTGGGAGGGCAGTTGGCCAATCCTAGGCCTGAGAGTTGGGCAATGGGAGACCCCATCAGTGTGTCACCTTTGCCTCCGGGTAGAAAGAAAGCAATCTAAGGATGTGTGCAAGACTGCGTTCCTAGGCGAGTCTGTGTAACTGATGCCAAACCGGGGAGGAAGGCTGTGGAGGAGGCCGTGGAGGCCCGCTCACCAGCTCTGTACTGTTGGTCAGAGACGCACTCCTGCTCCTGCCTGTGACCCAGCAGTTGACGGTTAACTGGTATGGCAACATTATATGGTGAGGAGGGTGCTTGCTTGCTCACATGATAATAACAAAAATATTTATTAAATTCTTACTGTTACGAGGTATTCTGTTAAGCCTGTTTAAAGACCCTGAGGCTGTCTAAGAAGTTTTATGATACTAAAATGTAATTGAGGCATACCTTATATTTTCCTAATTGTCCTGGGTTAAGTGATGGCAACAGTGACTCTAGGGGTTCCTTTGACTTTTCATTACTCCAAGAAGTCAGAAGAGAGACTGGTGAGAAAATGAAAACTAACACTGAAATGTATCAGAAGGAAGCTTGGAAAGGGTAGTACTGAAGAAGAGAAAACTATACGGGCACTCTGCCTTTGTGCAACAGAGAAAGAGTCATACCTATTGCGAGGGAGTGAGTTGAATTGAGCAAGGACTGTGCATAAAGGTTTGTTTGCCTTATAAAGGTGAAGGCTTACGTTTTGTGTCTGCTTCTTTGTGTTCTTTGTGTTTGCTTGTTTTAGTATGCTTTTGTTTTCAGCAAAGCATTTACTATTTGCCAGAAATGCTGGCAGTCACAGTAGTGGAGGAGTTGGCATGCAATTCATTAGGATTATTTCCTTTAAAATTCCTTCACAACCGTCTTAGGGCAATTCTGAAATTACCTTTGGGAGATAGATTAGAATATATGAGAATGTCTAGCTTACAGTTAAGGCTGATCTGGAAGTACTAATAGTAGGACAGCTTCTCACCTCTTCTGAAGGACTGGAGAGGCAGTCTGCGTAGGGTAGAAAAGAGAAAAGAGAGCATTCCATAGAGAGAACTGGACATGTACAGGGAGCTAGAAGTCCTGACCCCGTCCCCTCATCTTGCAGAAGGCAGGTCCATAGCCAGCCTCCCAGCGGCTGGCAAGAGCAGGCCCTCTAGGTCCCAGTGCTGGGCTATTAGTTTAAAATTTTCCTAATTTATTTGAAAATTTATAAGAGTAATGGATTTTTTTCTTTGAAAATTAGTTTGTGATTCTACCTATTGTATGAGCTTAATAGAAGAACCCAAGGAACCATTTATTAATTGCCGTGTTCCAGATGGCATATTAAGAATTTGATGTGCATTATCTTTATTAGTCTTCATGATAATCCTTATAAGATTGATACTATTATTATCACCATTTTACAGATCTGAGCCTTAGGATAAGTCCATTGCCCAAGGTCACACAGCAGGGGCCACACCATTTGTACCCTGATTATAAAGGAAGGTATGAACTCCCATTTTCATGATATGGAGCAACTTCTGTACAAGTGTTTTAAGTTTGGAAAATTTTAAAGACAGTTTTGCTAAAAATGCCTTTCCTTTCTTCTCTTTTTGAAAGAAATCTTGACAATAAATTGCTTATGTGTTGCATGTGACTCTTAAACATTCTGTTTTTAAGATCTCTTTGATATTGTTGGTGCTCTCTCTCTCTAAGATCTGTTAATAAGAAGAAAAGAAATTAAATACTATTAGTGAAGTATACTTCCAAACTTTGTAACAATAATTTCCACCATTCTCAGATATACTTAAATAACTGCTAAAATGTATGTTGGTATTGTAAAACCTAATTGGCAAACTGACAGGTTTGGGGTTTTTTTCCCCTCAACAAAAAAGTAAGTGGAAAAAGACTCTCTTAAAATTAGAGTTGTGAGTGGTTTGTTGGCTTGACTCGTGGCATTGAGTGCCTCAGGTGAGCAGAGACCAAAGCGTGACCTGTGCTAGTGGAGCTCTTGTTGCCCTGTTTCGTTCACAAGGAGGCAAGTTCTACTTCAGTCTTGCATGTGGGTCACACACAGCTGACCTCAGGTTGCCATTTCTTTTCTTTTCCATTTTACCAGCCTCACAGTCTTTTTTCTGTTACCTTCCATTTACAATCCATTATATATAAGTGGGACTTAAGGGCCTATGAAGGACACAACAAAAACTGTGAGTAAACCTGGTATCATCCGGCTTTTCTCCTGTCTGCTGCAGTTTGATGTTGCTGAGATCTTGTGCACAGCTGTTAAGCTATCTGGAAAAGAACTAACTGGAACATGTAAAGTAGTCATTCCGTTTCTAAAGTGGGTTTGTTTTTTTCTGTCCTATAAAATGCACGTAAGTCTTTGTTTATGTGCTACGTTTGGACATATTTGAGGGAGTGTTTCCTTCTATTTATTGGTCGCATTAATATCATACATATGTCACTTTAACCATCAACCCAGATAGCCTAAGGGAGAAAACATTTTTGTGGCCAAAACCTGAGTTTTACATAGGAAAATGCTTGGGTGTAAATACAGCCAAAGACTCATTGGCTTACTTTTCTACATACGATTTGAGAATTGAGATATCTTTTTGACTAATTCTCCATTAAAACCTGATTTGGCTTTTAGTACTCTATATTAGAAGAAAGTGACTATTAAGAAACTTAATCCACCAGGATAATTTTCTTAATCCATGGTCTGTATGTGTGGGTTTATCATGTATTTATTTATGTAACAGGTATCGGGTGTCTACTATGTGCCAAGAACTTTTTTAGGAATTGGGAATACAGCAGTGAATGAATAGATTAAAATAAAATCACTTTCCTCCAGGATACCTGCATTAAAGGAGAGGAGGGGTAAGACAGAAATAAATCAGGAAAATATGTGGTGTGTCAGATTGTTGATAAGCACTATGGAGAAAAAGGAGTGAAGGGCAGTTACCATTTTAATTAACATGGGCAGGGAAGGCTGCACCAAGTAGGTAAAATTTGAGCAAAAATTTAGAGCAGGCAGACAGCTGGTAACAAGTTTCAAGCAGAAGGAAGAAAGAGCAATTGCAAAAATTTAGTCTCAGAATATGGCTGGCATATTTGGAGGCACTGCAAGGCGGCCATGTCAGTAGAGGAGGAGAGCAACGTTCTCCTAGGATATTCAGGACCCCATGAAGGATTTTGTCTGCTCTCTGAGTAAGACAGGAAGAAACTGAAGAGTTTGTTTGTTTATTCACTTACATATTTTTTTTGTGTGTGTGTGACATGGTCTCACTCTGTTGCCTAGGCTGAGTGCAGTGGTACAATCATGGCTACCTGCAGCCTCCACCTCATGGGCTCAAGCAGTCCTCCCACCTCAGCCTCTCAAGTAGTTGGGACTACAGGTGTGTGCCACCACACCCAGCTAATTTTTTAAATTTTTTGTAGAGAAGGGGTCTTGCTATGTTGCCCAGCATGGTCTGGAACTGCTGGACTCAGGTGATCCTCTCACCTCAGCCACCAGAGGTGCTGGGATTACAGGTATAAACTGCTGCACCTGGTTCATTGAAGAGTTTTAAGCAGATAAGTGACCTGATCTGACTTCCTAAGATCACTGTGGCTACTGTATTGAGAACCGACTGTAGGAGAAAAAGGGCAGACGCAGGGAGACGATTGAGGAGGCCAGTGGCCAAACCAGGCAAGGGCTGGTGGTGGCTGGGGCCGTGGTGGACACAGTAGACTGGATGAGAGATGAAAGGATTGCGGATACTTTTTCAGGGTACAGCCAACAGTATTTCCTGATGGATTAGCTATAAGGTGGGAGAGAAAGATGCCAATGATGGCTTCAGGGTTTCAGCCTTGATGGAATAATGGAGGATCATCAGGTTTAGGAAGAAAATCTGGAGTCTGCCAGATGTTTCCACCATAAAGGTATCGTTTCTCCTTTGTGATGAGTAATCCATGGAATGATACTTTGAGATCTTGTGAATATAATATTTCTCAACACTGTATTAGGTGTTTGGTTTTGGCCATTTCTGTGGTCTGAATATTTGTCCTCCCCAGCCCCAAAATTCATATGTTGAACATAATCACCAAGGTAGATGGTATTAGAATGTGGGGCCTTTGGGAGGTGGTCAGGTCATGAGGGCTGTACCCCTGAGAATGGGATTAATTAATGCTCTGATAAGAGGCCCCAAAATGCTGCTTTCCCCTTCAGCCATGTGCAGACACATAGGAGGGCTCATCTATGAAGAAGGGGCCTTCACTAGACGTTGAGTCTACTGGTGCTTTGATCTTGGACTTCCAGCCTTCAGAAATGTGAAAAATAAGCTTCTGTTGTTCCTAGATTATCCAGTCTAAGGTGTTTTGTTACAGCCTGAATGGACCAAGACAGACGTATTAGTTGGAGATATGGAGTAGGTTTTTGGCTATATTATGACACAAGTCTGGGTGTAAGTTGATTAAAATAAGGACTGATTTTCATTTGAGGCCCTGATAATGGAACATGGGCAAACATTTCATGGGTATGTCGCATGTTCAATTTCATTCATTTGAATGGACTAGAACAATGAAAGATAATAATTTAATTTTGATTGTTCTACAGGCCTGTCTTTATTAACTTTGCAGATGTCCATCTGTGTGATAATTGAGCCAGTTTTCTTAACTCTATAATATAGCCAAAGGCTTCGAGCCATCTTTTCTGTAACAGTGATGTTGCCCAGCTTTGGTGGGCAGGTGGCAGGTTAGTTTGACTCCCATGAGAGGACTAATCCAGAGACAAGTAGGCTAGCAAAGGATGGACTGAGGCTACGGCAGGTGAGCTGCAGGGCTGGCCCCTGCAGCTGGCTAGGGCTTAAGGGAGCCATTTCCACATGGCTGGACCTGGGCCTTAAACCCAGTGATGGCTGGGATTGCCAGGCTCCTGCAGTCCAAAGAATCTGGGTTTCAGAATTGACTCACTTTGTTCAAATTCCAGCTTTGCCAGTCACTAGATACGTGACTTTGACAAAGTTACTTCTCTGAACTTCAGTTTCTTCACCTGTAGATTGCGGATAATCATAATTCATGATCTGATCTTGTTCACCACACCAGACTTAACCTCCTGCCATCCTTTTAAGTGTACTTTTTAACATGCACATGAGTATATGGTTCTTTGGCTTGGCACAAATTACCATTGCGTTGCATGTCCTTTCTATTTTTGGTGATGCTAAATTTGCTCACTAGGTTCAGATGGAGTCTGCCAGATGTCTCCACCATAAAGGTATCATTTCTCCTTTGTGATGAGTAATCCATGGAACGATACTTTGAGATCTTGTGAATATAATATTTCTCAACACCGTATCACTCAGTGGTTTTACTATTCATTGATGATCTTTGCCTGAATTATTGCTTTGGGGCTTATAAAATGATGATTTTTGAATGAATTCTACTATTCCATCTATATTTATAGCTTGAATTCTTCTGAGAGAAAAGAACTTCCCTCACTCTGCTCCCACTTTTTTGTTCTGCTTCACTTTGGGTATCATTAAGGACTCGTGGATTCCTTCTCTATTCAGTATTATAATATATTACCATTTCTATTCTTTTTTGTACTTAATGTGTTATAATCTATTGCTGTATTTATTATTTCCGATATTCAAACTACCCAGATTTGGCCAGTATGCGTTCTTTCAAACATTTTCTTACTATATTTCATATGTCTTTATTAACCTCAGAAACACTTGCTCTCTTGGCACAACATTTCCCTTATTTACTTTGTATGTTCCTATTTCAGACCTGGAATCAGCCACTTCTCCAAGGAACTCTGGTTCTGTTCAGTGGGAAATGGTATTTAGTAGCCAAGACCTGAGCACTAGATGTGCTCATTGCAACTTGGATGTTATTCCTTCTAGGCCCTTACAGTGGATACAGCTAGGAAATGTATATTTAAATGATGAGTTATAATGCTATCTCCAATTCAAATCCAGTACCATAGGATTCTTCCTAATTTTTGTAAAACAATATTATACAAAGTAATTGGCATAGAAAGTAATTATTAGAAAGCTTATACATTATAGGTTAGTCTGATTAAGAATGTTGTCATATGGTGCAGGTTTTAATATTGGTTATTTAGCTCACTTACAATAATTTATCTTGTGTACTATGCCTGAACAAGGAATCTGAGCATAGTTTTCAGTCTTCGGAATTTTGACTGGATTTGGCATCCTTAACGTACTCAGAATGACCTACATACTTCATAATATTAGTAAGTGTCCTTACAAGATGGATAGTTTAGAACATCATCATTTAAAAATATCTCAGCAAGTTATAATAAAATGTTTTTATTATAAAACATAAAGGTTTACTAGAAAGTCTTTAAATAAATTGAAATGTAACTAATGTAATGTCTCAGTATTAGGTATAGATTTTGCTGATGGAATGGTCAGTATATGCAATTTTCATTGATGGCTCCTTTTTTAGGTTTATTGTAGTACCCCGTATTTGTGCTGCTTTTGATCATATCAGAATACTGACTCATGCCATCAACTTTGTTAGCCAGGACATTTTGAACTTTTTTTTTCCCATTATACTTTTAAGTTCTGGGATACATGTGCAGAACGTGCAGGTTTGTTATATAGGTATACATGTACCTTGGTGGTTTGCAGCACCCATCAACCGGTCATCTACATTAGGTATTTCTCCTAATGCTATCTCCCTTAACCCCCACCCCATGACAGGCCCCGGTGTGTGATGTTCCCCTCCCTGTGTCCATGCATTCTCATTGTTCAGTTCCCACCTATGAGTGAGAACATGCAGTGTTTCGTTTTCTGTTCCTGTGTTAGTTTGCTGAGAATGATGGTTTCCAGTTTCATCCATGTCCCTGCCAAGGACATGAACTCACCCTTTTTTATGGCTGCATAGTATTCCGTGGTGTGTATGTGCCACATTTTCTTTATCCAGTCTATCATTGATGGACATTTGGTTTGGTTCCAAGTCTTTGCTATTGTGAACAGTGCCGCAATAAACATACATGTGCATGTGTCTTTATAGCAGCATGATTTATAATCCTTTGGGTATATACCCAGTAATGGGATGGCTGGGTCAAATGGTATTTCTAGTTCTAGATCCCTGAGGAATTGCCACACTGACTTCCACAATGGTTGAACTAGTTTAAAGTCCCACCAACAGTGTAAAAGTGTTCCTATTTCTCCATATCCTCTCCAGCACCTGTTGTTTCCTGACTTTTTAATGATGGCCATTTTAACTGGTGTGAGATGATATCTCATTGTGGTTTTGATTTGCATTTCTCTAATGACGAGTGATGCTGGGCTTTTTTTTCATATGTTTGTTGGCCACATAAATGTTTTCTTTTGAGAATTGTCTGTTTATATCCTTTGCCCACTTTTTGATGGTGGTGTTTTTTTCTCGTAAATTTGTTTAAATTCCTTGTAGATTCTGGATATTAGCCCTTTGTCAGATGGACAGATTGCAAAACTTTTCTCCCATTCTGTAGGTTGCCTCTTAACTCCGATGATAGTTTCTTTTGCTGAGCAGAAGCTCTTTAGTTTAATTAGATCCCATTTGTCAATTTTGGCTTTTATTGCCATTGCTTTTGGTGTTTTAATCATGAAGTCTTAGCTTATGCCTATGTCCTGAATGGTATTGCCTAGGTTTTCTTCTAGGGTTTGTATGGTTTTAGGTCTTACTTTTAAGTCTTTAATCCATCTTGAGTTAATTTTTGTATAAAGTATAAGGAAAGTCTCAGTTTTCTGCATATGGCTAGCCAGTTTTCCCTACACCATTTATTAAATAAGGAATCCTTTCCCCAATGCTTGTTTTTGTCAGGTTTGTCAAAGATCAGATGGTTGTAGATGTGTGGCGTTATTTCTGAGGCCTCTGTTCTGTTCCATTGGTCTATATATATCTGTTTTGGTATCAGTACCATGCTGTTTTGGTTACTATAGCGTTGTAGTATAGTTTGAAGTCAGGGAACGTGATGCCTCCAGCTTAGCACATTTTAAACTTTTAAGTTTATCATATATATGTAAGGATTTGAATTAAAACCAATGCTGCAGGGAGTGTTTTTCATATGCTACTATAGCATTTTTGTCTATTTGTGTTTTAAAATGGGTATTTGGTTTTCTGGGATGGACATATAATAGAGCCTTTTAAATAAAAAGCATTGATGAATGAATAGGTCAGCTTTATGGAGTTTTAAGTTTCTTTCTTCTTGTAAACAGCATAGAACCCCATTCAAGGCAATGTCAGGTAGATTATATCCTTAATTTATATTGGGCTAAAATACATTCAATAGCTAATTTAACTTAAAAAAACAAAAAAGCAAAAAACAACACACATGTTTTGAAGAGTTGTTTAAGCTCTTCATTTTGGGTGTCCCAAGTAGGAGGTGAACTTGACATTGCCTTTTGGCAAAGACTGGAGAGCAGGGCAGGACCAGTGAGTAATGCTTGTGGAGGTTCAAATCTCTGGTGACCCATTCCATACAGCTGTGGTTCTTTTAATTGGGAGACTTGGGTTTTGAAGGGAAGATGGCAGCCGGGACTGACAGATTTTACAATAGTAGAGCAGAGTAACAGCAAAGCCAACAAATAATTTATTTATTGACACCAACTATACAATCATGCTAATTTCATTCCAAGTGCAGAACTTATACCTCATTCCAGTTTCTGTTTTCAAAGAATAACAGAAGCACAATGAAAATACTTGTCAGAGAAAATTCTTAAAATCCACTTGGCTACTTTTTTTTGCTGTGAAAGAAAAAGCCCCCTTTGTGCCAGCCATTAGGACTTATAGATACGGCTGCAACACAATTCACTTTTTTCCATGTTACCAAATTTACAATGAATTACACATGATCTTTTGATTTCCTGTCTTTCATGCCATCCTATGCTCCTTTTTTTCCCAATAAAAATACCTCTTCTCTTGCTTTGCTGTTCTTATGATCCAAATGACTAATACAATAGAATGAGAAAGTATGTGGGCAAAGCAACTCCGTCTCATTTTCTCATTTATTTTGATTTAAATACTTTGTTAGCTGAGGGGAAATTACATACATATCTATGATGTCATCATGGTTGTTGTACTTGAGTTAAATGTCTAATTTTTTTTTTCTATTTTTGAGACAGAGTCTCGCTCTGTCGCCCAGGCTGGACTGCAGTGGCGTGATCTCGGCTCACTGCAAGCTCCGCCTCCCGGGTTCATGCCATTCTCCTGCCTCAGCCTCCTGAGTAGCTGGGACTACAGGCGCCCGCCACCATGCCCGGCTTATTTTTTGTATTTTTAGTAGAGACGGGGTTTCACCGTGTTAGCCAGGATGGTCTCGATCTGCTGATCTCGTGATCCACCCGCCTCGGCCTCGCAAACGGCTGAGATTACAGGCGTGAGCCACTGTGCCTGACCATCTTAAGTTGTTTTTTAGTGTCTACCCAAAACAGATTGTAAATTTGGAATTACATGAAGTACAAAGGAGGCTACAGTTTTGTACATGGCACATAATAAGCACTCAAAAGGTGTTTGTTGGGTCAAAATGAAAAGTACATACTCTTTATGTTTGCTGTGATTTGCATTATGGTTCAACTTGATTCAGTATGTATTTCTACTCTTGTGACTGCAAGCATGACTCTGGAAGCAGACGCCTGGGTTTTAATTGAGCTTTGCCACAGACTAGCTGTGTGGCCAGCTATTTAACCTCCCTCTGCGTCAGTTCCATCCTCTAAAATGGAGGGAATAATACTAATTCTTACCATATAGAATTTTTGTGAAAAACACATGTGACTACCCAATGAGTATTAGCTCTTATTTATGACTACTTTCTTGTAAATCAGTATAACCTGCCCTCTAGATTCTATCCCGGAACCTTTTCTAGTCTTCATAAACACTCCTGAAATGTTTTTGCCAATAACTTTCCTCAACCTCAGATGTGTACAACTGAAAATCCAAATTTTTCAAGTGACATTCAGAAGCATCTGCTGTCCTTTGTACTTTTTATCTCAATTTGTGATAAAAACTGAAATAATATAGTATGCATATTTAAACTTAACAGTTTGCCTTTTGAAGTCTTTTTCTTAATGATTTACATTTTCTTTAAATGAAATTTATATTTAAAGGTAGAGTTTTAAATGTATCTGAATTTTTTTTGTTTTTTAGTGGCTGATTGGTTAGACTTGTTTAAAATCTGTTCCCTTGCTTTCTAACTTGTTACTTAACCTGCAGTTCATACCATATGCAGATAAGTTATTTAGCCTGGAATATAGACAATTTCAGTCGGTGACATTTTTTTCAAATTTATAATTTTTCTCATACATCCATTTGTCTTTCTTCCCTTCCTCCAGGAAGGCCTCCTTTCCTTCCTTCTTTCCATCCATTCAAAAATAATCTCTATGCCAGGGACTGTTATGTGTCTGAAGACACATGTAATTAATTTAAAACATGTGAATCAATGAATACCTATGTACTCCCAAACCAGCCTGAGAAAATATTAACTTGATTTTCAAAGTTTAAAAAAAGGTTCTAGTGTTCATTTTCATTTTTGATTGTCTTTATTTTACTTAAAGCTAAATGAAATAATAAAGAAATAAAACATTTTTTAAAGTTTTAACCAATGCATTTTAAATATAAAGTAATAAATCTTTAAGAGAACAACTAAAATTGGGGAAATTTCATATTCTGTATTCCACAAGCATGTGGAGGCCATCCATGCTGAGTGCTGTGGTGAACACAGCAGGCTGCGTGGGACCTTATACAGCTGATACTCATTGTCATTTCAAGTCATTTTACCCAATTAACTTTTCCCCTGTACCTTGCTTGTAAACAGAATTGGAAACTATCTAAAGGCCTATAGTACTTTGCATGCTCTGTATGTTTGCAATTGATGAAATTTTATTTTTTGGACTTCAGCAGTTTGTACAGACATGTACAAGTGAGCTTGTATATGTTGGCAATATATTAATCTGTGTTAAATATGTTAGTTTTGTGGCCATGGCTGATTTGAAAAGAACTGGTTTCTTAATGCTTTCATTGGGTGGTAGAATATTTGGAAAATAAAGATACTTACAGAGACTTTTATGAATATTTATTTTAAATATTTGTTGAGTACTTCCTGTGTGTTAGGGCTATGCTAGAGTCTTAACATTAATTACCTCATTTAACATTCACAAAAACTGCATAGTGTAGGTAGGGAAATTGTCCAGAGAGAGGTTACATTAATAAGTGGTGGATTAGAGATTCAAGCTCACATCTGTCTTCTCCCAGAACCCATGTTTTCTTCACTGTACTAGTATTTGAGATGTGGATTTCATGAACTATGACATCATATTTTCTTAAAATGGCAGAATAATGTAGGTTTTCCCTCTTTTTATGGAATATATCTGAAAGTACTGACTTGATAGTAGGGGACAAAGTAAAATCATAAAGCTAACTTTAGGCTGGGAGTGGTGGCTCACTGTAATCCCAGCACTTTGTTAGGCCAAGGCAGGCAGATCACCTGAGGTCGGGAGTTCGAGACCAGCCTGACCAACATGGTGAAACCCCATCTCCACTAAAAATACAAAAATTAGCCGGGCATGGTGGCACATGACTGTAATCCCAGCTACTCTAGAGGCTGAGGCAGGAGAATTGCTTGAACCTAGGAGGTGGAGGTTGCAGTGAGCCGAGATCATGCCATTGCACTCCAGCCTGGGCAAAAAGAGCAAAACTCCATCTCAAAAAAAAAAAAAAAAAAAAAAAAAAGAAAAAAAAATCTCACTTTATTTCCCTCACTCTCCAGCAGTTTACTACCACCCCCAAGATAATTTTTTTCTAATATTAAGATGGGAAAGGAGAGTATTTTCACCTAGTGTCAATTTTAAGAATAACTTAGTTTGAAAGGTATAGACATATAGTTATACATACCATTTTTTTAGAGCGGTATTTACCAGCATTATAAATTACCTTAAGAACAAAAGATACATTTCTTATTGATGATAAAGAAAATACAAAGGCTAATACTGGTTAAAATAGAATAGAGTCATCTAGTTTTATTGGAGTGGTAACAAAAACAAAATTTAAAGCAAACATCGTAATGAATCTTGCTTTGGTTGCTAGATCTCTAAGCCGTCCATACCAATGACAGTCATCTGTCAGCAGTGTTTTCTGAATGTTTCTGTGTGCAGGGACCTTTATGAGGTGTTTAACCTCATTTAACCTCTGTGGTTTGCAGCTTGAATTTTAAAAGGCCAAAAATAATGGTTGTTCTTTCCTGGAAGACATATGAAAATTATGTGTTGCATTTTTTTTTAACAGTAATTTCCCAAAGTCCTTATACCTTAGTTGTTCTATCCTATCAATCAGGTAAATAGGAAAAAAAAATTCATATCTGACATTTAGAGAAATCCCCCAAATATTGGGTGGGTCTGGAATTTGCTAATCACTAGGTCTCTTCTGCATCTAACTTAATGAAACATGCAGTGATTTAATTTTCTATCAGTACTTCTAATGTTAATAAGATGAAACAATGAATTAAATGAGTAATTCCTTTGTCTGTTTAGGGAATACATGCTAAAATTTTACAGCAAAAATAACTTACCCCCATCTAGGACCCAAGAACCTAAGGAAATTACTCATTTTGTTTTCCGTAAATTGCTGCTGTGCATGAGACACGTATTAAATTTCAATTCAAGAGCTGGGTTTTGGTACGTAACTTTCTCCTTGTATCGTTCTAATTGCTTTCTCCCTGTATATACTTTCAAAAAGTTTATGTTCCTCCCGTCTTTACTTCTTTCTTTCATTCCTCCACCCACATATTCTGTGCATTGACCTGTTCCATGGATATTTACTGTCTTCTTTGTTCCACATGCAGGTGATACGATGAGAACAAACAGGACAAAATCTCTGCCCGTCAGAAACTCACATTCCACGTGCCATTCTACTCTCTCCTTTTCCACTTCCCCTGCGCTCATCCTTTAGAGTTGGTCACCCTCTGTGATGGCTGGTGACATCCCCCAGAGCATGAATGGATGCCCCACAGTTTGCTAGGTGCTGGTTCCAAAGGTGCTGCCACCTGAAGTTTTGCTTGCATGCTGATTCTCCACCCTCAGATTTTAAGACAAAGTACCCCAAGATTGTCTTTTGTCATTAGCTCAGCATTTTTTTTTCAAGGCAAATATAAAAGAGTTATATAAGAAAGACTGCTGTAGATAACATTACCGAGTTCTAGATGTTGGCTTCCAACCAAATTTCAAATCAAGGAAGCGAGTTGGTATTTCAACCTCTGAAGCCAACTAACATTCTTATGAAAAGTCACTTAAAGTATTAAGAATCATGGATTTTGGTGGCTTCTAGACGTTACTTGTGGTTTTCTTAGTAAACTACAATATGGTAGTATGATTTAGAATATTATTTCTATATAACTTCAGGGGTGTAAACTATCATTTGGCCCTTGTGGATATTATTAACATTTTTAATTAGAGGTTTGCTTTTCTTCTTTTAGGCCTTTTGATATATAGTATCAGTTCTCTTCTGGGACATGACTATTTGCCCCACCTGGTCAGATCTCTAAGAAAATGGCAAAATGGGAAAGGAAATATTGAAGAGTAATGGGTTTCATATTTTGTGGCATAGTGGGAGGGAGGACATCTTAACTATTGGTGTCTGAATAAGAATTCAATTTTAAAAACTAGTTTTACTTGTGCAGTAACTTAATGGAAACATGTACTATCTCATTCTTTCTCTATAATATTATTTGATTCTCATTATATTGTTGACCTGAAGGAGGAAGTTGAGGCACAAAATATAATTTTAAAAAGTTTACTTGAGCTAAGGTGAGAGGACAGCCATCTGGAAGACTGAGACCCAGGTCACCTTGGATATGAGCTCTGTTCGGCCTTTGTTAGAAGCAGGTTTTCCAAAGCAAAAGGGGGGCAGGGAGTGGGCTGATAACTGCTGTTTGTCAGGAATTCCCGTTGGTTAGACAAATAAGATTGATTAGTGATTGACTATACATTGGTGAACTGTGGGGTATGGGGTATGGTGTCCAGTGAGTGGCCTTGCTTGGTTAGTTGATAGCTGCTTGTGGCGGCAGCTGGTCAAGAGTCCACATAGCAAGCAGCTTCAAGAGCTGATTACTTAGCGCAAGGGGGGGATGTTGGATGCGACTGCTGCCTCACTCTCATGCCTCTGTGGGTCTGATAATTTACAACAGGCTCGCATTCCTCAGATAAAATTTCTTTTCTTACTATGTTTTATTGTTAAGCACCTATATTAGTTTCCTGTGGCTGCTCTAACAAATGCCACAAACGTTGTGGCTTAAAACAACAGAAGTGCATTCTCTCATCATTCTGGAGAAGAGAAGTCTGGAATCAGGGTATTGGCAGGGCTGCACACCCTCCAGAGGCTCGAAGGGAGAGTCCTTTCCTGCCTATTCCAGCTTCTGGTGGCTCCAGGCATTCCTTGGCTTGTGGCAGCATCATTCTATTCTCTGCCTCTATTTTCACATCCCCTTTTCCTCTGTGCACTTCTCTCTCAAAAATTCCTCTGCCTCCCTCTTTTAAGGATACGTGTGATTGCACGTAGGTCCCCCTAAGATTATCAAGGATAATTTCCTTAAAGTCAATGGACTGTGACTGCTAATCATGTCTACAAAATACCTTCACAGCAACACCTTGTTTGTATTTGAATGAGTTGCTGGGAATATTAGACTAGTCAAGTTCCCACATAAAACTGGCCATCACCCCCTGTAAACTTGGCACTCATATACTTCTTCTTAAACTATGACTAATCTCCAAATAAAGACACCCATAAAGTCATATTTCCACAGGACATGATGCAGCTATCTTACTTACAACCAAAAATGTGTTAACCCTTTCCCCAGAAGAGGATGCAAAAGTTCCTGGTTGGTTTTCACTGTTTTCCTTAACTTCCTGGAACTTAAATACCATGATGTAAAGTTCAATGTTATTCATGCATCTTATGTTAGATGATAAGGGATAAGAGCAGGAAGAATGCAAAGATTCTTGCTTAAAAATGTGTATACCCACATACTCAATAACAAAATAAGAAATACTCATAAACATTGAAGCCCTTGTTTCTGAAACTGACTGCCTGGTCCTAGATAGTGTTTATAGCTACTTTCTTCCATTACTCATTCCATATTCCCTTTGCCCTCTGGGAGCACCACAGCCTGTTGCTCAGGGTTCTTTGCCTGTAGGGTGACCCAGACCCTCATTCCTGAGGGGCCTGGGTCATTAACAGTCCTGCCTGAAAGGGGTTGTTGGTTTTCCATTGACTTCAGTCACAGGGCATGGTGGCAGATGCAGATGCCCTAAGGGGTATTCTGCATTCCAGACATGTTCTTCCTAACCTTCTTTTTGTAGCCGAAAAGCAACCAGGTGTCCAGGTGGTTGATTAGGACAAGGGGCCAAACAAAAAGGAATAACTAAGGCTTTGTTCACTTGCTGGGATAAGCAAGAGACACAAAATGGTGCTGGCTCCCCAGAGGTGCTGGCTGTCATCTGCAGAATGGCACTGGTGAGAGTCAGGTGGATCAGCTCAGATGAGGGGTGCATTTCACTGCTGGGAAGTCTCAAACAAAAGGCTCCTGCGTCTTTATGGGCCTGTTGGCTGGGGGAAGGGCTAGGTATGGGAAAGTACCAAATCAAAGGGAAGAAAAGTACCTCCTCCAGGCCCCCCAGTAAGAAGGCGGCTGAATGGAGGTGCCTGGACAAGGAAGGAACATATGTGTATGAGCATGACTGGCCCAGGGGTCAGGGAAGCCTGAGTCCTCAACTGCAACTCCTTCCAGAAAACTGCAGTGCACTGACTGTGCACCAAGCATGTTGTGTGGTGGGGTCAGCTTTTCTCCATGAGGGCTGCCAGGCACAACTTTGTAACTGCCTCTATTGGACCTGAAAGATCACACAGACGATTTGGGCCTGGAGCCAGAATACCCGATAGTAGCAGCTCCATTTCCTCCTGGCAATCAGGATCAATCACCCCAGCCAGTACTTTGCCTATTGATTCAGAGGCCTGAGGAGCCCAAAGTGACTGGGTGGCAGTCTCAACTTCCAGTTCATTGGAGCCATTGTGTCTTCTGGTAGAAACATTCCTCCCTTTGAAGCTAAGGACGAGCAGAGCATAAGGTTGTGGGAACAGGAAGTGAACATTTTAGTAGTAAATCACCAGGAGTAATATTAAGGGGTGCCATTCCTATTCCTCCCCACCCTTGATTCCTGGACCCATGAATCCTGGCTATGGGAGAAACGGTATCATACATTAGACACTAGTTTAGGACATATACAATCTCCCACAGAACATTGCCCCAGCGCTGCAAGATATCCCACCTACCTGCTGCTGAGACTTCAAATACCCCTTTTCTTTTCTGTCAAGCCAGCTGCTTCAGGATATGGGGACATGGTTTGAACAGTGAATTCCATGATCGTGGGTCCACTGTCATACCTCATTTGCTGTGAAGTAAGTTCCTTGATTAGAAGGAATGCTGTGTGGAATACCTTGAAGTTATATCATTTAGGGCTCACTTGGATAATACAGGGTAAACTCCTCCTCTCAAGATCTTTAACTGTAATCTCATCTTTTGCCATAAGGCAACATTCTACAGGTTCCAGGGATTGGATGTGGGTATCTTTTGGGAAGTGATTTTTGGCCTCCTGGAGTATCTGACTGTTTTACTTGTAAACTTTGGAGAAGCAGTAAGACTGAAGAGGTAGAGAATATACGTTAAAGAGGATCTTTAGGCACACTAATTTGTTATTTGTTTTGAAACATAGCTCAGGTACACATTTGCTATGTAAACTTTGGCAAGTGACCTAACTTCTTAATCCTCTTTCCTCTTCTGTAAAATGAGGATAGTAAGAATAATTTATCTGGATCATTTTGAAGATTAAATGATTTAGTAAATGGAAAATGATTAGTATACTGCCCCCGCACATAGTAGGCATTCAACAAATTCAGACTAATGCTATCATAAGCAGCTGGCTCAGAAAAGCTTTGCATCGAACAAGCAGCTGTGGAGGCCGGTACTTGGTGGTTGACACATATGGATGTGTTTTGTTTGTATTTATAAAGGTTTTGAGTTATTTGCCGCACGAAGAAATACTGGTAAGACACACAGGAAAACATACTTGTGTGTTTTCTTGGGGAGAAATCTGGTGAGAATGAGACTTCTCAATATATATATTTTATATTGTTTTAATTTTTGAATGTGTAACAATTTGAAAAGGACAACTAAGTAAAGAACTTCAAGAGATAAAAGTTCGTAAATAGAGAGTCATCTATACTTGTCTTGATTAAAAAACAAGACAAGGTAGTAAAAATCCCCAAAGAGTAAAACCTGTTTTTTTTTTTGTTTGTTCTCATGACCCTTGAATCCATGGTGTTTCTTTTGGTGTATAGTTATTTTTTTTCCTTTGAGTTGAGTCAAATTTTTATATTCAGTTTTTTTTTTCTTAACAGTCTTCCACTTAAATTTAAATTTCAGTGGTTTTTTCATTGTGCATTTAAACATAGGTAGATTTATTTTATTTAGACTTGACAATTAGATCATTTGATGTGAACAACTGTACCTTAGAAAAATGTACTTAATTTGAAATACAGTCCTGTTATTAAATCGACATAGAAATCATATGCTTGTAATGATTTGCTTCTGCATACTTAAGAAGCTCTCACTGTACAGTTTTTATTTTTCCATTGGTTGTGACTTTTGATTTTTGGGCCCTGTATTTCCACTTACCTCATTAAGCTCCATAGTGACTACTCAAAACAGCCTACATAGAGAAATATGCTGTTATGGTGAATATCTGCCTTCAAATATTAGCACTGTACTTCTGTATAGAGCTGTGTATTTTTGAAAAAATTCAGTTTGTTTAAGCTTCATAAAAGCCCTGGGAAATAGGTGGGTCAGGCATAACTAATGCTATTTATCTTCAACTGTTCTTATTGTCTACCTGCTTAAGTAAAAGCGGGGACCATGGTCTTGTCATCCTTAGATTTCTAGTATATAGCATGTTGTTAGTGTTCAAAAATAGTTACTGAATATACAAATAAGCATATAGTTGGATAAAGAGATAAGGAAAATCACTGAAACCACATTTGGTGGCAAGTAAATGAAATAATCAAAACTAGAAACCCCATTGTTAGACTTCTAGTCCAAATGTTCCTCTCAGAACAACTGACTGATTCATAGTCTCTGCTTTAAATATGAGATCAGTTTAGGGCTACTCAAATCCTTTGTGCCAAAGAGAATATATTAATCCCCAGTCCAAGTAGGATTTAGCACTTTTGTCCACCAGAATAATCAAAGCAAAATTCTCAAATTGTAAAGGCCTCAGAAACACATGATGAGAAATTGTTTTGTTCTGTTTATCATACTTTTAAGCAAAATGCTTATGCATCTGCCTTAGTGAATTTGGGCTGCTCCAACAAGTACCACAGACTGGGTGACTTTTAAACATTTATTTCTCACAGTTCTGGGGGCTGGGAAGTCAGAGACCATGGTGCTGGCTGATGCAGTTCCTGGGGAGGGCCCTCTCCCTGGTTGACAGATGGCTGCTTTCTTACAAGAGAAATGTTTTGAGAGATAAGTCATCTCTTTCTCATTTCTTATAAGGGCATGAATCTCTCTCTCAGCTCTTGTGAGGGCACTAATCCTGTCAGTGAGGGCTCTACTCTCATGACCTAATTACCTCCCAAGGACCCTGCCTCCAAATGCCACTGCACTGAGGATCAAGGCTTCAACATATGAATTTTGGGGGGACACATTCTGTCCATAGCACTGTTCTTCTGTCAAAGCATGGTGAGGTTCTAATTAGTATTAAATGGTCTAAAGTATTCTTTTGGAAAGGAAAGATTTAAATTAACACCTGAATATTTTTATGAGTGGTAAAGTTAGAATTGAAACTGTTGACAGGTTTTCTTACCTCTTATTTTCTCCATGGTGTCACCATAATGGATCTAAAAAGGAAATTAATATTTATTTTTATCACCAATTTTTCTAACTTAATGTGCTAAAAATTATATAATTTAACAAGTCAAAAATTGAACTTACCATCTTCTTTCTCACTGGGTAGGAGACTTACCATCTTCTTTCTCATTGGGTTGGAGACTTACCATCTTCTTTCTCATCGGGTAGGAGACTTACCATCTTCTTTCTCTTCTCATCGGGTAGGAGACTTACCATCTTCTTTCTCGTTGGGTAGGAGACTTACCGTCTTCTTTCTCATTGGGTGGGAGACTTACCATCTTCTTTCTCATTGGGTAGGAGACTTACTATCTTCTTTGTCTTCTCATTGGGTAGGACACTTACCATCTTCTTTCTCATTACACCATATATATGTGAGTTTGAAAGGTGGTACTTATCTTTATTCTCATTCACCACTCTCTCCATATTCAGTCCATTAAATAAGTCCTGCTGGTTATGTTTTTAAAATATCTCTCAACTACATCACCATTACCTTATATATGCACATTACTTTTTCCTTAAAACTAATTGTCCTCACTAACGGCTGATCGATGTTTCAGAAACTCACAGTAAACTTACTTGAGCTGGAATATAATCAGGACCTTTCACTAATTGACAAAAACCAGCCTCATTTCTACCTCTTTTTCTCTTATTTAAGCTCTGGCAACATCAAACTGTTTGTAGTCCCATGCCCTTCTTGCATCACTACCTTCTCATGCTGTCATCTCTGGAAATTCCAGAGCACTTAGTTGCTCACTTAATTTCTTCTCATTAAGGCTCAGCTCAGGTTTCATTTCTAGAAGACATACCCGACCCATTCCTCCTCATGACTCTCTCCTGACCCCAAGTATTGGGTTCATTTATTCAAACATTCATTAATTTAAATATGTATTGAGCACCTGCTATTGAGCAGGCACTGTTCTAAGTGCTTGTGATATATCAGTGAACAAAACGGAAGAGCCCTGTCCTTGTGAATTCATATATTCTAGTAAAATAAATGGACAGCAAATAAAAGTAAATTATGTAGGATATTCGAAAGTTTAGAGTGCCACAGGAAAAATGATGTAGAACAGAGTGAGGAGGGTCAGGAGTTGGGCTAGTAGGGGCTGGGAGACAACAATATTAAATACCATGTAGCTCTCATTTGAGACGGTGACATTTTGAACAATAGCTCGCAGGAGGTGTGATGTAGACACCTGAGGAAAGAACAGTATTCCAGGCAGAGGCACAAGCTAGGGAAAAGGCCAGGATGTGGATGTATGCCTAGTTTGTGCAAGGTCAGAGAGGTCATGAGGAACAGGCCATGTAAGGACTTTGGCCTTCGCTGTGTGAGATGAGGGGATGTTGGAGGGTTTTTAGTAGAGCAGCAACATGATCTAGTTTATGTTTTGACAGGGTGCTATATTGAGACCAGACTATAGATGCATGCAGGTTAACCAGTTAGAAAGCTATTGGAGTAGCCAGGTGAAGGATGATAGTGGCTGGAATTGATGGTGTTGACTGTTGGGAAGGTGAAACATGATTAGGTTTTGGATGAATTTTGAAGTTTGCAACAACAGGACTGCTTAATGGTATGGATGTGAGGTGTGAGAGACAATGAAGAGTCAGGGAGGACTTGTATCATCCCAGTCATTCTCCCTAATCTTGTGCATGTAACTGGTCATCTAGTCTTGTCAGTCTGCCATGTAATTATGAGTTTTATTTTGCTACTGTTTCTCAACTGCACTGCTGCAGTGGGACTGACTAATGGGCATTCCTGGCTTCAATCAATTCTTTCTATGGGAGTAAAGAGCATTCTAAAATCCACATCTGCTTATATCATTCTCAAGGTTAAATCTTGCATGTTTCCATCCACCTACAAATAAAATTCTGAAGTCCTTAGCATGGCATACAGTATCCTTAAACTGCCTTTGCTTACTCTGAGCAGCTATCCTTCACTTCTTCCACATGCCTTTCATCATATATAATTTTTGACTTCCCTAAAAGGTTGATCCTTCATGCCTTCTTGGGAGGGTATGTGCTGTTCCTTCTGTCTGAGATGCCCTTTCCGTCTTGTCTGTTCGTGGATTACAAGGCTCAATGTGGGTGTCCATTTGTTTGTGAGAAGCTTCTCTGACCTTAGTATCTCACTTAGTCTGTTGCTTTTCTTCTTTTTCCTATAGACCTCATGTACAGTTAGGACACTTCTTATCCCACTGATGTGTAGCTGTTTGTGGTCGGTCTTCCCTTAAGGGGAGCAGCAGTGGTTTCATTTTACCATTACTTAGCAGAGGCGCAATAGATGCATGATTGACTTTTGGGCGGTTGGGACACTAAGGCAGAAATGGGTAGAAATAAATTGGAGAGACGGACTTTATATTATGCCATGTAAGAAAAAAACAGAAAAAGAGTTTGGCGGCCAAAAAGGGTAAATGCATTTAGTAGGAAAGAGTTAAGGTATAGGTGTGGGTTTTATGGAAGTCTTGAGGACCATAGGAATGGGGAGAGTAGCGGGAGATGAAGGTTGTTTGGGGCCAGATGGTGGAGGTGCTTCCATACTCTGTTTTTCATCTTTATTCTGGAACAGTGAGGAACTAATCAAATTTTTTAAATAAAAATCTGAAACAGACTGTTGTTCTTTTGGTTAAATTGGACTTTGCCCCTACCATGTTGTTTCATTGCATTGTAGCATTTACAAAAGGGAATCTGTAACAGTCAACAGTGCTTCTGGATTCTTGCAGGGAGGGTAGGGACCATGGGGAGGAGTAAGAAGTTTCCCCTTACAAAATCTTGACTTAATTTGTCATGGGGAAAAAAAAAAAATTCAAACAAAACTCTTGAGAGTGCAGCCATCCAAAGAAGAAGAAAAGCTGCTGTCTGTTGAACTAAAAGAGATGCTGGGCTTCCCTTAGGCTGAGGCTGGCCGCCCTGAGCATCTGGACGATTCGGCCCACAATTGGGACCCCTGTATTTACCTGAAGTCAGTTCGGATTGAATGAAGCAGGAACTTCCTGCTTGTACTGAGCTCAAGGTCGTGGCTCACCCAGTGGGCACTCCTGGTTCCTGTCTCTAGTCAGGGCGAGCAGACGCCTGTGGAGATGGCACAGAGGTGACCCGGTGCAAGGAGTGGCAGGGCCCATGTTTAGAGAGTTTCCTGGGTTTCTCTTGTTTTGTGTATTTTCTATTGTGTCCTCTAGCTGCTGGACTCGGGTCTCGGGCCCTCCCCAGCTGTAGGAAGTTTCCCGTCCGTCCTAGGAAGCCCAGGCCGGAAGCGGGCGGATGGCGTTTCTAGGGTGGGCATGATGTCATCAGAAGTGCCTGTGCCCACCCGTCATGTGCCACCTTCGCTGTGGCTGCTGATTGCATGAGGGCTGCTCTAGTCCAGTCTTGAAGTGGATGGTGGCTGGGAGGCAGGGACTCATAGCAGGCGGCCCACGTGTGGGGAGCTCCAAGAGTGAGGGGACCTGGGGTGAACGAGTGCCTCAGGTGGACTCCAGAACCATGGGTGTAAAGCCCATTGGCAGCTCCTTGGCTTGGCACCCAGAGATGGGGGTCGCCTGTGCCCTTGGGGGTGTGGGGCCTTTATAGCCCATTCAGTAGCTTCGTGGTCCCAGTTTCCTGCTGTGCTGAAGCCCTAGAAGACTTCCCAGAGTTTCTTGAGCATGGAGTGTTGCGTGCTGCCCTGGAAGGTCTTGGAATGCCAGCCGGGCATGGGCTGGTCATGGACTTTTGGGCCCAAGGATCACTCCACGTCCCCCAGGAGAGTACTTCTGAGAGTAGAGTAGGTGAAGAAAGATTGATCAGGAGACCTGAAACCAGAAAGGCAAGTTGAGGGAGAAGGCTGTACGCTGGCATGGGGCTGTTCAGTTAGAGCACCTTTTGGCTGCAAGTAAGAGAAACCTGCTTCAGATTACTTAAACAATAGGGAAAACTGGCGTCATAAAACATGAGCCTTTTAGGAAGGGCAACTCCAGGATTGATGGATTCAGTTACTCACACCCTTTGGATCTGCTTCTTTACCCTTCCCACTTTGCTAATGGACTTTGTTTTGATGGTGGCAAGATCAGCTCTTTGGCTGTAGGCCTGGTATGCACATTGGAAGAAGAGTGGACTTTTCTGTGTGAGAGCTAAACTAATGACTTTCAGGGAAGGAGAGCATTACCATGACTGATGTAGCAAATTGGGATTTATTCTGAGCTGGAGATGGTGAGCTTCCCTGAGAGGGGAAAATGATGGCTAACTGTCTGAACAAAGGTAATAGCAGTGGGAATGAAGAAGGTTTAAAGGAGGCAGAAACACTGTGAAGGTACTGTTGACAGAAATCAGTGATTTGCATTTAGGGACTGAAGAAGAGGGTGGATTGGAGGATGACTGGGATATTTAGTTTAGATGATTTAAGAGGAGGATGATTTCACTTAAAGAGATGGGATATGAAAGAGGGAGGTGAAGGAGGAGAAGAGGGAGAAGATTCAAGTAGGTTAAAGTGTAGCCATGCTGAGAATTATCTGTTAGTTATTTGATTTTTTTGTTTTGTTTTTGTTTAGAAGCTAATGGTATAGATATAGAAGTCATCCACAGAGATGTTACAGTTGAAGAGATGGGGGTAGAGAAGACTTTGAAGGAAAAGAATGTAGAATGAGGATAGAAGAGAGGAAATCCCAACATTTAACAGGTGAGTAGAGGACACGAAGCCAGCAAAAGAAATTTAGAAGGGACATTCAGATAGACAGGAAGCAAACTAGTACTCTATAGCTCTGTTTTGATCTGCCAATTCATTAAAATTATCAATTGATGAGAACTTTGTTTTGTTCACACCTTGACTCTTTTTGGTGCCAACCTTCAGTCAAGCCCCCTACAGTATCATTGACAGGGTTTCATTGCACCGAAAAGTTTACAGTGTTTCATACTGGATGGGTTAGTTTTAATGGCTTTTGAGGATTTCTGTGGTGTTCTAGTTGGGTGATTTTTCCCTTTATTTTTCATAGGGTGGGTTACATATTTGCTTTAGGCAAATTTATTATTGGCTAAATGACCTGCTTTACCATGTTATGTAGGAGAAATTTCCAAGAAACTAACGGATTAGTTAACAATATCTGATACTACTGAGACCAAGGGAGATGAAGACTGAGATAATGATATTTAGCAATTTGGAAAGTTGGTTTAACCAAAAAATGATTTTAACCAAAGAATGATATCCAGTCTCCAGTAACAATATCTGATACTACTGAGACCAAGGGAGATGAAGACTGAGATAATGATATTTAGCAATTTGGAAAGTTGGTTTAACCAAAAAATGATTTTAGTGCAGTTATGGGGAATGAAATCATTGGGTGATTATTAACACATGAATTAGAATTAAGGACATTAAAATAAGCACTGGACTACTCTTTTGACTTTGATGGTGAAAGAAAAATAGAAGGTGTGATGGGTTTACCAGGTGTGAAGGATGTTTTGTTGTTGTTGATCATGTTTCAGGATTGGTGGAAGTGTTAGTGTCTTAGAAATCTTTACATTAAAAGGGGCAAGGAGAGTTTGAAGACATGAGACATAAAGGGGAAATAACTGAGTGAGCAAGGAAAAGAAGGAATCAAGAACCAAAAAAGAGAGCCAGCTGAGTTAGGAGAGAAGCTAGAAAGTGGGTAGAGGTTCAGAGAAACATTGGAGGGGAAAAATAAAGGATCCTCTGAGTAACAAAAGGCTAGGTCACGTGTCAGGGTGATCATGCTGTGTCCGGATGCTTAGTAGTAATGGAACAGTCTTGGTCTGGCTGCTGTGGGATCAGTATAGGGAGCCATCTAAGAGGCAGAAAAGAATTGACATGACTGCATTTTTCTCTAACCAGTTAGAAATGCAGGTCACAAAACTCGAATGATTGGGTTTACCTAGTGTGGGGTGGGACTAAGCAAAGAATTCTGTGGTGCTTGCTGAGGTGTTATTGCAGTAATCGGCAGTGGTCTTTAAACTCAATAATGAGGTGAGGCAAAGTTAATTCAAATGGGAGAGAAACTAGATGAACAGTGACCACAGTGTACAGTTGAGGGCAAATACCTGACTCAAAAGTTATGAAAGGAAGAATGAGGTGTAAGGATAGGATGGTGTCATCAGAGAGGGGAATTTTGTCACAGGAGGGAGTAAATAATTTTTCTACTTATTCATGGTTTATAATGGCATGACCTCTAACCCACATAGAGGAGTAGCAGGGAGCAAATGAATCATATCCTGTTTTAACAGGTAAGCTTGAGGGAATAATAAACAGTTATAATGTAATATCAGAAATCTATTGTTTTATTAGCTGTATGACCAGTATGACAGTTTATGAGGTGTATTAGTTTGAGATAGTTGTAAATCATGGTATAAATGCACTCTCACTTTTAACAAAGAGCTTTTTAATGTACAGTCTGAGCCGAGACTAGTAAGTAAAACTCTTATTTTTGTTATTCAGAATGTACGTGTTGATTACATCGACAAGATTAGTTTTCAAGTAGCAAGTGTGATGTTTCTCTGAATATTTTAAAGTTGTTTTAAAATGATTTTTAAGTCAAGGATAGGTTTTTTGAAAATTAATTTTGAGGTGAAATAGTTTTTATGAGACAGTTTCTGTCTTTAGCAAATTCTCTTTGAATCCCTCAATCCTGGCTCCAGTGGTGTGACTGAGCTCCACTCACCTGAGTGGGTGGAACTCTGTCCCCTGCGTTGGTTAGAGGTGCAAATATTGGTCAACATTTGAAAGCAGTTAACCTATTCCCAATCCCCAAGCACCATTTTTAGTAGAGCTAATATAAGAGGCACACGTACATTTTCTAACAAATTGCTTTTTTTTTTTTTAAAGAATGTAATGGAGTCACTGTTCTGGACTACAACTTTGACATTTATTTGCATAAGTAGGAGTGGAAGTGGTTCTCATATACAGCTAGAACACCCCTTTAAAAGACTCACTTTCTCTTAAGTTTGAGTTTGAAGGCAGAGGCTTTTATTATTATTAATGCCATATGTTGAACAGTTTGTTTTGTTAATAAGTTGCTAAAACCTGCTTCGCTCCTAACTTTAACCTACACTCTCACAATTACAAACACCTTCCTTCCTCCAGGGTTCACACAGTAATGGCCGAAGTGCCAGGCACTATAAGCTGATAAGATAAGAAGCACATGGTGCATTGTCATAAGCCAGGGGTCCCTACTGGGCCGGCTGACGCACACAGTCTTCCCCTGATGTCAGAGGGCCGAGAAGTAGCACCTTGGCTCTTTTCCCAAATTTTGTGCCAGAGCAGGGGAAAAGACTCTTTGTTTGAAAAAGCAGCTATTGAGGTATTTTTTTTTTATTGCTTTTCTTGACTGTAGGCCAGATTCCTGTCTGTTTAAATGGTTTGGTATTATTTCTGAATTGTTTGGCAGAAATAATGTTTGCTAGCAAAGATACATTCAATTCATTACACATAATGTTTTATGATCAGTTCGTTGCCACTTATAAGGCTTTGAATTTGTCATTTTTTGGTGAAAAAGTAAGTGTGGCAAATTTGATGAAAGGCATAGTTCAATATGTCTCATATAAGCTCTTAAACTCTGTCACCAGTATTTGGACAATGAACCCTGTCTTAGTAAATCTATGAGGAGGGGGAAAGCTAAATGTAGACTAGGGTCATTTCAGTAACATTTAATGCCTAACAAGCTGTTTATCTCAATTACTTATTGGCATTTATACTGAAATATGAAAAATGTTAGATTCATGAGATGGAACTGTTCAAGACTAGTAGTAATCTACTAATGCATAGGCCAAACGCACTCTCTACTGATTAAAAAAAAAAAAAAAACCCAGACATCAGAACATGCTCTACGGCCAAATTGTCATCATAGTGAAAAGTCTGCGCAGTACATTATTCTATAAAATGTCGTTTAACTATTTTAATGGCTCCTTATGAAGTCCTAAAGAATGAAGATAATTACAAACCTGTAATTTTATGGCTGCCTTGTTGAAAAGGGCAGACCAAGGTGCCTATATCAGGATGAAAGACCTGAAAATCTAAATAGCCTAGCATATTATATATAAAACTTTTAGTCATTAATTATGAGATTAGCTCAGATTAGTGAAATATAGCAAGTTTTGCATTGTCATCTAAACTTGAAATTTTAACGTGAACGCTAGTTGAACAAAGTTGGCAGTGAGAATTGTGAATTACAATTAGCACTCTACAGAATGGTGAGACATACTGGAAGTAAAGCTGAGGATGACTGCTTTTTGGTTTGTTTGTTTGAGACAGGGTCTCATTCTGTCGCCCACGCTGGAGTGCAGTGGCACGATCGTGGCTCACTGCAGCTTCAACCTCCCTGAGCTCAGGTGATCCTCCCACCTCAGCCTCCGGGGTTTCACCATGTTGCTCAGGCTGGTCTCAAACTCCTAAGGCTCAAACAGGCCTCCAGCCTTGGCTTCCCAAAGTGCTGGGATTATAGGAGTGAGCCACGGCACCCAGCCGAGTGACTATTTAATGTTTACATTTTTGTCACCAAGGAAGCAAAAGAGTTTTAGCAATTTAGAAATGCCACTGAATTGTTAAAATGACATTTTGGATTAAGGTATTTTACAGAAACCACTTTATAACAATGTCATATTGTATCTTTTGATGAATGTTTTGTTGACTGGGTATAAACTAATTTTTTTATACTTAGGTGGTAATAAGAGCTGATATTTTCTGAGTTTTTTAAAGCAACTTTCATATATGAAGTGTAGAGATTATTATTATCTCCATTTTTCAAATGAGGAAATTGAGGCATAGAAATGTTAAGTGATGTATTTCAGTAATTCTGTAAGTGGTAGAGCTAAGAGTACCTTGGTAGTCGTCTTCGATAATTAGAATTTTATGTTTTAAATTAAATGCTGCCGTAGAGACCAGAATAATAATTCCACATTTCTTCAAGCACTAAACTTGCTCTCATGAAATGATTAAGTATTAGGGAAGGAAATCAGAGTTTTAGAGGTAATAGGTTACATACATGAAACTTTCAAGAAAGCGGAAGTGCCATATTTAAATCTTTCTCTGATGTAAAGATAAGCGGACACAATTCTTCTGTGCTTCACTGCTCTGTGCAGTAAGTTCATGTTAGTAGGGTGCACAGCTTAGATGCCTGTGTTTCTACTCATAGCATTTCTTAGTCACTAGGGACAATTTGGCTCCTAAATATTAAGAAAGAATTAGCAGCTGTTACAGTGGAGGGACAAGATGTTTGACAGCAGCATAGCAAGTTGGGGGCTGTGTAATGAATGATCTGAAGTGGAACAGCTATAGTGTCAGCAAGTGAATAGAAACTTTTGAAGTATTTGCAGCACAGCTTCAAACAGTGTAGCGTGACTGTGGATTATGAGAAAATAAATACAGGCAGGTCAACTGGTACTAAACACTTAAGAATGGGGATTTCTTTTTAAAAGCAAACTCAGTTTGCCTAAGAGGTGAAGTGTAATGCTTCCAAAGGGTATCACAATGTGTGAAAGTGGCTGAGGTCACAAATGAGAGAACTATCTCTTCAAGAACAAAATGTGAAGAAAACTGTCTTAGGAACTCTGGCCTGTCTCACTCAGATAACATTATCCATAGCAGTGATACTGACTACTCAGATAACATTTTCCATAGCAGTGATACTGACTCTCAAGCATAGGAATGTTTAGAGTATCTCATTGATGATGCCTAAGTGGTGTGTAATTTCTTGTTCCAGTCTATTGGCAGGACTTGAATTCCTAGGTTTCCCAACAGAATTTCATGGTGTTTGCTTCTCCAGTATTTTCATATTTATCAGCAAAGATGTAGTAAAATAAATAATGAAATCAATTTTTTGCAAGGTAAGCAAGGCAGAGGACAGATGTGGTTCCCAAAGACTCAGGTTGCTGTTCTGCTAGCAAACAGCTGGCGGATTCAGTGTCATATAAGTGTCGTAGATGGGATCAAAATAATGAAATTACTAGAAGTAATGAAAGCACTTCAGTAAGATAATGGTTTTATCCATCTGTTCATGTGATTCTGAAACATTTGTTTAGTGCTTAGTGTGTGAAAGTACAGTTGATTCTCATTATTTTTGAATTTTGTATTTGCTCATTTGCTTACTCACTAAAATTGATTTGTAACCCCAATCCTCACAGTGTTTTCACTGTCATTTGTGGACATGTGCATGTACAGAGTAGGGTTATGTATTGATTGGTTGATGAAAATGTCACCAAAGGCTTGTAGGAACCTAACCTTGTATTTCCAATAGGAGCAAGCATTGGTCAAGTATTTGCTGATTCAGTGTTTGGACTTTATAGAACATAATGCTACTAATAATAATCGACTGTAATTACTAGCACTGAGGATAAGATGATTAAGACGTAGTTTCTACTTCAAAGACCAGAGAAAGACTTTACATCAATGCTTAAGAAAGTGATGTATGTCTTATATAGCATTGATTTTCTGACAGACCCTTTTGTGTTGAGATGCCAGCTTATCATTAAAGAAAATCGAGTTATTTCCTCTTTTAAAATTAAGTAGTGTTTGAGAAGATTGGTTTTGATTTTGAAAATGTACAGCTTAAAAGAAATACGCTGTTTTCTTGATATTAACAAAGCAAAATCATGTAAATTGTAAAATTCAAGTGTGTATGTTTTGAAAGTATATGTGAAAATATCACTGTCGGCCTGGTATTAATTCTTACTCAAGGACTGTCCATTTATTATAATTGTTTCTCCTAGTGGCTTGAGCTAAATTTAAGCATTAGGAACATGGTAATGCTACATTTGCTTGTTTTAGATATCAGATCAGATTGATGGTTTTTGTTTTTGTATGCTTATTATTTTTGACACAATATTTGTCCAGTTATTAAAAGATTCATTCTGCCTTTTAAACAATTTGAAGTATACTTTTTTTCAGAAAGGAGAGCATTAGTTTGCTAGGGCTGCCATTAGGGTACTAGTCATATTGGATTAAGGTCTCACCCTATGGACCTCATTTTACTTAATCATCTTCTTAAAGGTCCCTTCTCCACACAGAGTCACATTCTGAGGTACTGGGGGTTAGGACTTCAACACATGAATTTTGGAGGAACACAATTTAGTCCATAACAGAGAAGAATGTACATTGTAGTTTGTGTCCTAACTTTTCTTGGCTCTCCATTGGTTAAAACAGGTAATTTTTGTGTAGTTTACATTGGAAAGTTTTTCCTGCTTAATTTTTTCCTCTCCAGAAAACAAACACTTTTGGCACTTTCAATTTTTTTCTTTTTCTCTTAACAGCAAAGAACATATGTGGGTTTATGCAGCTTTATGCAGTTCTGCATTTCCTTCAACATTTATTGATAGTGCCTACACAGGGAACAGTAAACCGGAATGAGAGTAGGGAGTAACATTTCCTGTGAAGCATTCTTCCTTGGTTAAAAAACAAATTTTTGAAGTAGATTTAAGAGGAGGGTATGAGTTTAACAAGACAAGAGGAACATTTCCTATAAAGAGACATGAAACAAGCAGTTTGAACGGAGGGAAGACTGTCACAGGCTGTGAAGGTAAACAGAGATAGTTATATTATACTACAAATTTGAACATAAGAATTTTGGGAAGACACAAACATTCAGACCCACAGCAGTCACTTAAACAATGGTGATATCAAGGTTAATTTTTAAGCACATTGGAAAGGTTGGAATATGTTCTTTGAATATTGACACAGTCTTACAACACTCGTGCAAAAGAAGAAAGAATAATAAATTCATTTCTTCATGTGGAACCCAGGACAAATGATGGCAGTTACATGGGCTGTTTCCACTGTGCTTTTAATAGTCTCAATTAGGGACAATTTAGATTATGTCCTTGAGTAAGGAGAAAAAAAGGCCCCTACAACAATGCTGTTCAACAGAAATATAACGTGAAGTAAAGATGACACACATAAGTTAAAGTATTCTAGTAGCCACTTTAAAAAAGTAAGTGAAATTAACTTAATAATAAAATGGACTTAATTTATTCCAGAATATTAGAATTTTAGCTTCTGATTATTAAAGAATTATTTGATGAAATATTTTACATTCTTACATTTGTACTGTTGTCTGTGAAATCCAGTATGTACTTTACACTCACAGCACATCCCACTTCAGAGTAGCAAGTTTTCTAGTCTCCAGTAGCTACTTGTCACTAACGGCTATTCTGTTGAACAAGTGTAGCTGTATAAACTTTGTGATTTTCCAGAATAGTGTCTTTTTAATTTTCTCACCAATAACATTTTCAACAGCAAAACTAGCATAAATTTCTCTTTCCTTCTTCACAAATTCTTGGATAGATTTATTCTGACAGCAGATCTTAGCAAGCTCAGCATACCTTTGTTTTTTCTTTCCTTATTAAATCAAGAACTTGCACCCTTTAACTTAAAGGAACTACTTTATGGCTTCTCTGTGGCATATCTGAATTGCCAGCATCACTATTCTTGCACTTTTGGGTTGTTATTAAGTAAAATAAGGGTGACTTGAACACAGACACTGGGATACCATGACAGTTGATCTGATAAGCAAGATGGCTACAAAGTGTCTGAGGGATGGGAAGTGTCTACAGCATGGAGACGCTGGACAAAGGGAGAATTCATGTCCTGGTTGGGACTGAGCTGTACCATGTGAGATTTTATCATGCTACTCAGAGCAGTGCACAATTTAGAATTATGAGTTGTTTACTTCTGGAATTTTCCATTTAATATTTTTGACTGTGGTTGACTGTGTGATTAACTGAAACTGCAGAAAGTGAAACCGTGGATAAGGAGGGTGGGTATACTATACTTAGTTCTTTAAAAAAATGCTGGCCGGATGCGGTGGCTCACGCCTGTAATCCCAGCACTTTGGGAGGCCGAGGCGGGCGGATCATGAGGTCAGCAGATCTAGACCATCGTGTCTAACATGGTGAAACCCCGTCTCTACTAAAAATACAAAAAAATTAGCCAGGCGTGGTGGCGGGCGCTTGTAGTCCCAGCTACTCGGGAGGCTGAGGCAGGAGAATGGCGTGAACCCAGGAGGCGGAGCTTGCAGTGAGCCAAGATTGTGCCACTGCACTCCAGCCTGGGCGACAGAGCGAGACTCCGTCTCAAAAAAAAAAAAAAAAAAAAAATGCCTTGTTGCGTACCTATTGTGTGCTGGGCACTTGGCTTAGGGCAGATGTTACAAAGGTAAGTAGAGACTATTGGCTTCCAAAGAAATAAGAATCTTGAGGTCAAAGCAGATAAATAGATTATCAGCAATAAGATAAGGTGAAAGATGGACACATAATATAATAGAGCTTTAGATTTGCATTCAGAAAGTTTTGATTTCGATTCTAGTTTTAATACATTTTAGACATGTGACCTTGGATTATTTATATCTTCGAACCCCATTATCCTTATTGGGAAAAGACCAATAAAATGCCTGGTACCTAATAAGTACTCGATAAATTATATATATATTTTTAAAAAGTATTGAGAGAGACGAAATACCTGGTTACTGAGCCTGTTAAGTATATGGGGAGAGATTGGGAATGGGTTTCATAGTAGAAGTAATAAGCAGGTGTTTACAGGGAAGTTATCAGTGAAGAAAAGGCACTATTAGCAGTGGAGTCAGTGTGCATAAAGGCATAGGACAATAAACATTAGTTGAAGAACATTTTGACAGTTTCTCTAGGTCATTTTTAGCCCATGGCTATGTATTTTTAAAAATCAGGCATAGATTTGAATGCCATTTCCACAACTTACTAGTTGTAAGTAATTTTACCTGTGAATCTTAGCTTCCTTGATTGAAAAATAGAGATAATACTGAAAGCCCCTCTTGTGTCCCCTTCCAGTTGCTAACCCCTTAAGGTAACACTTTTCTGACTTCTTACAGATAGTGACATTTTTCCAACTTTAAATAAATAGACTCATGCAGTATTTATCTTTTGTGTCTGGTTTCTTTTGTTCAACATTATGTTTGTGTACTTCACTCATATTATTCCATGCAGTTCTGAATAGTTTGTTCTCATTATTGTATGATATTCCATTGTGTGAATATACTAAGTGATTTATCTGTTCTAATGTTGACGGATATTTGGTAGTTTCCATGTTTTGGCTATCATAAATAGTGCTTTCTTGAATATTGTAATAATATATATGGCTTTTGATGGACTTAAGTATGCACTTTTAAGGGTGTAATTTCTGGGTCATAGAATATGCCTGTGTTCAGATTTTTCGGTAGATTCCTGCCAAACAATTTTTCAATGTGATTGTATCGATATAGACTCTTACTAATAGTGTATGACAGTAAGGATTGGGATTTGGACTTGCTCATTTTTTCATATTTCACTTACTAGAGTTGAGTTTCCTTTTTAAAAATATGATTATGATCATGTCACTGTCATGCCTAAGCAAAGCCCTTTAGCAGCTGTTGGTTGCCTTTAGAACAGAGCAACTCATGACTTATCAGGCACTTTGTGATTTGTCCTGGCTTTGCTCTATCTACACCTTTATCTCCAGAATCTTCTCCTTGGTATCATGTTCCGCAGTGTAATTGAGTTACTTGGAGATTTCCTGTCCTATGTTTTCTGGCGTTCATTTCCAGACATTGACCCACACTGTTACCTTTGCCAGAGCTGCCGAACTGTCTTCCAGAGTACCATTTCACATTCGCACAAACAGTGAATGAGATCCTGTTGTTCCACATTCTTGCTGGCATTTGGTGTTGTCAGTGTTCTGGATTTTGGCCATTTAAATAGGTATGTAATGGTATCTCACTGTTGTTTGAATTTGCATTTCCCTCATGATATATAATGTAGAGCATCTTTTCATTTGCTCATCTGTATGTCTTTTTTGATGACGTATGTGTTAATGTTTTGGACTTTTAATAATCAGGTTGTTTGTTTTCTTATTAATGAGCTTTAGAGTTCTTTGTCTATTCTGGGTTAAGTCTTTATCTGATATGTGTTTTGCACATATTTTCTCCCAATCTGTGGCTTGTCTTTTTATTCTCTTGGCAGTTTCTTTTGCAGAGCAGAAAATCTTAATTTTACTGAAGTACAACTTATCAATTCTTTCTTTCATGGATCTTGTCTTTGTGTTGCTTCTAAAAAGTAAATGACATGCCCAGGTTCATCTATATTTTCTCCTATGTTATTTTCTAGGGGTTTTATCATTTTGTGTTTTACATTTAAGTCTATGATCCATTTTTATTTAATTTCTGTGACTGGTTTGAGGTGTGTGTCTATATTCATTTTCTATCATGAGGCTGTCCGGCTGTTCCTGACACTATTTGTTGAAAAGAGTATTTTTTCTCTACTGTATTGCATTTGCTCCTTTGTCAAAGATCAGTTTTATATATTTATTTGGGTCTGTTTATAGGCTCTCTGTTTTATTCCATTGATCCACGTATCCATTATTTCCCTAATAACCACACTGTTTTGATTATTGTAGCCTTATTGTATGTCTTGAAGTTGGGTATTGTCAGTCCTCGAACTTTGTTGTTCTCTTACAATATTGTGCTGGCTATTGTGAGACTTTTGTCTCTCAATATAAACTTTAATCAGTTTTCCAGTAACCACAAAATAACTTCCTGGGATTTCTATTTTGATTGCACTGAGTGTAGAACTAACATCTTGACAATATTGAGTCTTCCTATCCATTAACATGGAATATGTATCCACTTATTTAGTTGTTTGAGTTTTTTTCATCAGAGTTTTGTAGCTTTTCTCATATAGAGTTTGTATCTATTTTGTTAGATTTATACCCAAGTATTTCATTTTTTGAGTGCTAGTGCAAATGATATTGTGCCTTTAATTTCAAAATCTACTTGTTCATTCCTGGAATATAGGAAAGATACTGATTTTTGTGTTTTAACTCATATTCTGAAAATCTCATATAATCACTTATTAGTTCCAAGAAGCTTTTGTTGATTTTTAAAAAAATTTTTCTATATAGACAGTCATGTCATCTGTGAACAGTTTTATTTCTTCCTTCCCAAACTGTAAACCTTTAGTTCTCTATTCTTGTCTTATTGCATTAGCTAAGACTTGTAGCTCTCTTTTGGCTACTTTATGAATGGAATATCTTTCCCATCCTCTCACTTTCAGCCTATTACCTATTTTTTGTCTTTGTATCTAAATTGCATCTTTTATAGACAACATATAGTTGAGTTATTTTTAAAAAATCCATTCTGCCAACTTTTTGACACATTTTGGGCAGATTTTTATTATAAGCACAATTCTAGCTATTTATACTTACTCTCTTGCTCCACTTCTTTAGTTAAGAATATTGGAGAGGAATAGTTAGTTAACTTCTCACTTTCAGGAAGAAACCTTGATTCATCCTATTGTTATTTCCATTTTATAAGCAGAAAATAAAATGTTTAAAGTAAGATGTATTCGGTGCCAGACAAGCTCCAAGTCAGTTACTTAGCATTAACTAATATAGAAATTTACTCGCAGAAAATGGGAGAGGCATTGTATAAAATGTAAACAAACAGAAGTATAATATGTGCTATGGGAATTCTTCACTGGGGTGCTTGACTGGACAAGGAAGTAACATGTCTACAGTAGCTATTACTATGCCCCGTAGTCTTAGAATATACCGGGGCAGGTGGCCATAGGTGATATTTTCATTTATTAAGTTTGAATTGGCTTAATGCAAGATTGAAAACAACCATTTCTTAGTAATCTCTGTATTAAGAAGATGTTTTCAACAACATTTCGTTGTTGTCTAACCAAGATTGTCAAAACGGGTCTTATCAGTCCTTGTTCTCCCTCTTGCATTTGTGTAGGCTTAAGGATGGGCAGCAGGACTAGAGAGCCTTGGGTGCCTCTCTACCTTCAACCCCCAATCTTTTCTTAATAAGGAGCAAGCACCAGCTCTCATGTTTCTTGACTCTCTAAACAGCTTTGCTTTGAGGAACAGTGTTGGACTCTTCAGGAAACCTGTCCTTGGAAATCCACCAGTTAATAATCTTGACTCTAAATATTTATTTTAAAGGATATGTATTTGAATTGAGGATTTTAGGGGAAGAGAAATTCCAGCCAAGGGTTTTGTGGCTCAGCAATTTTTTATTAACTTAATTCTTTTGTTGAAATCACAAATAATAGTTTATTCTCTTTGAATACTATGATCAGTGGGAGAGGGTGGAGGGGGTGACTGACTGAGGAGGATGGGTTTGTGTTTATATCTGTAGGTACATGTATGTTTTCATTTGTATCATCATTATAGCTACCTTTTTTTTTTTTTTGAGACAGTCTCCCTCTGTCGCCCAGACTGGAGTGCAGTGGCACGATCTCAGCTAACTGCAGCCTCCACCTCCTGGGTTCAAGCAATTCTTGTGTCCCAGCCTCCCAAGTAGCTGGGATCACAGGTACACACCACCATGTCTGGCTAATTTTTGTATTTTTAGTAGAGACAGGTTTTCACTATGTTGGCCAGTCTGGTCGTAAACTTCTGACCTCAAGTGATCGGGCCTGCCTCAGCCTCCCAAGGTGCTGGGATTACAGATGTGAGCCACTGCACCCAGCTGTATCTACCATTTTTGAGCCATGGTTTATGTCTTTTGCATATATTATGTTTAATTCTCATGAAAGCCATGAGTTAGAGGTATAATTTTTATTTTATATGTTAGATAAATAGGTGAGAAAGGCTGCATCACTCAAGAAACATTCAGCTGTGAGGGGCAGTACCAAGAAATGATGTCTATACTTAGTTTTCTTTGTCAGTGCTAAACATCAATACTTTCTTGTGCCTGTGGTTTCCGTATAATTGGGAATTAGAAGCAAATTGCTTAAGTTTATTTATCTACAATGCAATAGCATAGTAACTTCTTGATCTCATTACTAAATCCTTCCTTCCTTCCTTCCCTCCTTCCTCCCTCCCTCCCTCTCTCCCTCTCCCCCTTCCTCTCTTTCTTTTTTCTTTTTCCCCCCTCCCTTGCCTCTCCCCTGCCCCTCCCCCTCCCCTCTTCTTTTTTTTCCTGTATTCGGTTGTGGGATATTTAACTTATATGCCATACTTTTATAATAAGTACTGAAATTATTCTGATTGCAGTATTTTATGCAGTTTTGTTGTCTTCATAAAGTCCACATTATTTGAGCAAACACTTGTTGAAAACAGGATTTCTCAACGTGAGCACCGTTGATGCTTTCTGTGGATAATTCTTAGCTGTCAGGAGGCTTTCTGTGCACCATAGGATGTTAGGCAACCTCGCCGGCTTCTACGCACTAGATGTCACTAGATGTCACTGGTACCCCCTTCCTCTTATGACAACCAAAACCCATAATGTCAGCAGACATTGCCAGATGTCTCTTGGGGGACTAAAGATTCTCCCAGCTGAGAACTTATGATTTAAATTTTACTACGTGCCAGGCCAGGTGGGCTCTGACTGTGACAATTCTCCTGTTCCTCAAGGATCTTTAGGCCTAGTTGATAAGAGAACCATCTCCCTGCTAACCTACTATAACATGGTCAGTACAGGGCAGTAGTGGAGCAGTGCAGTGTCACGGAAACTTGGAAAACAGAATTGTGACTCAGATTGTGGCATAGTTGAGAAGAAAGTGGTAGGACTAGGGAATGTAGATGCTAAACAAAAAAAAATAATCAAACATGTCTTGAAGAATTGTTAGTTGCTGTTTTTAATGGTTAGGACTTTCTTTTGATATTCTCTAGATTTTTTCATCTTTGTCTTAAGTTGTAGTTTAAATCATATTTATCTGAAAATTATCTTGAGAAGAGCTAATACTAGTGTCTTTGTTTTCATGTAAAATAGTTGGAAAATTGAGACCTTTTGTGTCTACTTAAGTCTAATTCATTACTTTTCTTCAGGTATATAGATTTAATAACAGGCTACATTCTATTTTATACATAATATGAATTATACCCTTTAAATATAAATTTGGTTTATATCTTTTGAACTGTCTTAACATTGTAATTGTCTTAATTATTAAAATAATACATAGATATAGTATATCTAGTAAACTAATGATGGTCATGCTGGTCTAGTCATTTAGTTCTGCTCCCAAGGAAGATGCTTTCATTTCTTGCTGTGTTGCACAGATGGGTCTTGAACTCCTGTGCTGAAGTGATCCTCCTGCCTCGGCCTCCTTAAGTATTGGGATTACAGGCATGAGCTACCACACCTGGCCAGTATTTATTTTCTGAAATTCAAATTTAATGATTTAAAAAAACTTTCTCTTATTTCTCTACTAGAATTTGATAAATAATGGTTACAATTTGGCAACTATTAAAAATAATAATGCTAAAATTTGATAGCTCTGTAGTTCTTTAGATTTTTAAAAAATCTGATGTATTCATGTCTTCATTTTCAAGCCAGCAATGAGTCTTCAAATCTTTCTTGTGCTTTCAATCATGAACTTCTGGCACCAATGGGAGAAAACTATCTGCTCTTAAAGGACTCATTTGGTTAGGCCAGGCCCAGTTAGATAATCTTCCTATTTTAGGACCAATAACTGGTTATTGGTTATTTCAGTTTACAATTAAGACTTACATCTTAAAACACTCAAAACACATTAATTTGTTAGGCCAGAAAAAAATGTAGTGCAACACTTTTACAGCAACAGCAATAAATGTTACGTTTTTGTTATTATTTCCCTTTTCTGATGGTGTATTTGTGATTCTTTTGGCTTACATGATTTTACAGTTCAGTTTTGCATTGAACTGTAGGCTTATTGTGTTAGTCTCTTCCCACACTGCTGTAAAGAACTACCTGAGACTGGGTAATTTATGAAGAAGAGGTTTAATTGACTCAATTCTGGAGGCTGCATAGGAAGCATGGCTGGTCAGCCTCAGGAAATTTACAATCATGGTGGAAGGCAAAGGGGAAGCAAACGTGTCTTCACATGACAGCAGGAGAAAGAGCAAAGGAGGTACTGCTGCACACTTTTTTTTTTTTTTTGAGTTGGAGTCTTGCCTTGTCACCCAGCCTGGAGTGCAGTGGCGTGATCTCGGCTCACTGCAACCTCCGCCTCCTGGGTTCAAGCAATTCTTCTGCCTCAGCCTCCCGAGTAGCTGGGACTACAGGTGCCCGCCACCACGCCTGGCTAATTTTTTGTATTTTTAGTAGAGACAGGGTTTCACCGTGTTAGCCAGGATGGTCTCGATCTCCTGACCTCGTGATCCGCCCGCCTCAACCTCCCAAAGTGCTGGGATTACAGGTATGAGCCACTGTGCCCAGCCCATGCTACACACTTTTAAACAACCAGATCTCATGAGAACTCTATCACGAGACAGCACCAGGAGGATGGTGCTAAACGATTAGACACCACCCCATAATCCAGTCACCTCTCAGCAGCCCCCACCTCTAACACCTGGGGCCACAGTTCAACATGAGATTTACAAAAGCATAGACGTTCTCCCCTGGGCTTGTGCTTACACTAAACAAAGTATTGATTACAACTTGACAACTGTCAGCAGTTACAGTTTTTGCTTAACTGGTTAAGGGTGACATAGTTTGGAAAATACGTTTCTTTTTACTTAACTGGATTAATAATAAAAGTAATTCAATTTTTAGAATTTACTTTAGAAAAGTAAAGGTTTATTAGTTTTCTGTTGTCTCATAACAAATTACCACAAATTTAGTGACTTAAACCAACACCCGTTTACTGGCTCACAGTTCTGTAGACCCTGTGTAACTATTTGATTTGCTCAGAATATCGCAAGACTGAAATAAAGGTGTTGGCGTTACTTAGTTCTCTTCTGGAGGCTCTGGGGAAAGCTCCACTCCCAAACTGATTCTTGCCATTGGCAGAATTTAGTTTCTTGTAGTTGTAGGACTGAAGGTCCCCTTTTCTTACTGGCTGTGAGCTTGAGGTCTCTTTAGCTCCTAGGTGTTGGTTACATTTCTTAGCATATGGCTCTCCATCTTCAAGCCAGCAATGAGTCTTCAAATCTTTCTTGTGCTTTGAATCATGAACTCTGCCACCAACAGAAAAAAAATATCTGCTCTTAAAGGACTCATTTGGTTAGGCCAGGCCCAGTTGGATAATCTTCCTATTTTAGGACCAACCTGTAGCATAACATGTCCTATTGTGGAAGTAAAATACATCCTCACAGTGCCGGAGATCATGCAGAGTGTGCATATCAGGGAAAAGTCTTGGGGACTGTATTAATTCGTTTTCACACTGCTGATAAAGACATACCTGAGACTGGGAAGAAAAAGAGGCTTAATGGACTCACAGTTTCACATGTCTGGGGAGGCCTCACAATCATAGCAGAAGGTGAAAGGCACTTTTTACATGGCGGCGGCAAGAGAGAATGAAAGAGAAGCGAAAGCAGAAATCCCTTATAAAACCATCACATCTTGTAAGACATAGTCACTACCACGAGAACAGTACTAGGGAAACTGGCCCCAAGATTCAGTTATCTCCCACCAGGTCCCTCCCGCAACACGTGGGAATTATGGGAGCTACAATTCAAGATGAGATGTGGGTGGGGACACAGAGCCAAACCATATTAGGGACTGTCTTCAAATTCTGCCTACCACAAAAGGTTATCCTCTAAGATACTATATTGGTGGTTTTGAATCTTGATGATTTGAATAAAGAAGGGATTTATTAATGGGCTTACTGTATAATCTTGTTGAAAAAAGTATTCTCATGTTTCAAATTGTTCTAGAATGAATTAAAAATATTTCTAATGAGACAGTATGTAATTTTCTTTTATGATTTAAACCAATAATATAGGACAAAGATGAGAATTCACATTTTCTTTGCCACATAGGATATGATTCAGTATTCCTGGGAAATCTAATCCACTTGTAAATCTTCAGCTATTATCAAAATGGATGACTTCCACGTATATCCCTCTTAGCCCCTATTTTCTTCTTTTTGGCTGCACATTTTTATTTCCTACTTCGTATTGGAAATAACCATATAGCCGTCCTATGGGCAACTACATTTAAGCAGATCCCAAACCAAAACAATTTTCTTTTCCATGAATCCTTCACCACCTTTTATATTTTTAATCATGTTCTAGCATAACTGCCTGGTCAATTACCTAAGCTAGAAACTTTGGAGTCACCTTTGACATATCCTACTGCTTCATTATCTATAATTTGTCACCAGTTTCTGTTGGCTAGGCTTAGCCAGTATTAAAGAGAATTTTAATTTTTTTTTTTACTTGAATTGTTGTTATAGTGCTTCCGTTATTTATTTATATTTTTTTATTATACTTTAAGTTTTAGGGTACATGTGCACAACGTGCAGGTTTGCTACATATGTATACATGTGCCATGTTGGTGTGCTGCACTCATTAACTCGTCATTTATATTAGGTATATATACGTGTTCATTGTACCCTTATCGACTTTGCAGCATGCTTATCCATCTAACTATTCATCTTTATTTGCCTTCGTTTTTTGAGTTCCCTTATTCATCCTAAAACAAAATATAATGCCTGACTCATAGTCAGACTTCACAGTATTTTTAAATGAATTACATTGCATTGGGGAAATATAAATAGTAATGTCCTTTTATAGAGGAAGTCTAAAAGAAATTCTTGGGTGAATTGATAATCAAACATTTTTAAGAAGGTATATTTGCGAGCAAAGAAAGAAAAAATATGACAGCTTATTTATATAGAAAACCTATGTATTCTGTGATTTTTCTTTGTTTCAAGTCTGTATATGAATATCATGCTATCCCTCCCCCGTCCCCCAACCCCACGACAGGCCCCGGTGTGTGATGTTCCCCTTCCTGTGTCCAAGTATTCTCATTGTTCAGTTCCCACCTATGATTGAGAACATATGGTGTTTGGTTTTTTGTCCTTGTGATAGTTTGCTGAGAATGATGGTTTCCAGCTTCATCCGTGTCCCTACAAAGGACATGAACTCATCCTCTTTTATGGCTGCATAGTATTCCATGGTGTATATGTGCCACATTTTCTTTATCCAGTCTGTCATTGACGGACATTTGGGTTGGTTCCAAGTCTTTGCTATTGTGAATAGTGCCGCAGTATACATACATGTGCATGTGTCTTTATAGCAGCATGATTTATAATCCTTTGGGTATATAACCAGTAATGGGATGGCTGGGTCAAATGGTATTTCTAGTTCTAGATCCTTGAGGCATTGCCACGCTCCATAGGTTAGGCATATCGTTTGTTATATATTGCATGTCAAGATATGTCTGATTCATAGTAGGCACTCAGTATACACGTACTGAATAAAAAGAATCTCAACACTTAGAATTAATCACGTCAGCTATACTTCATGTTTCTGTTCATTGTACCCTTATCGACCTTGCAGCATGCTTATCCACTAACTATTCATCTTTGTTTGTCTTCGTTTTTTGAGTTCCCTTATTCATCCTAAAACAAAATACAATGCCTGACTCATAGTCAGACTTCACAGTATTTTTAAATGAATTACATTGCATTGAGGAAATATAAATAGTAATATCCTTTTATAGAGGAAGTCTAAAAAAATTCTTGGGTGAATTGATAATCAAACATTTTCAAGAAGGTATATTTGCTAGCAAAGAAGGAAAAAATATGACAGCTTATTTATGTAGAAAACCTATATATTCTGTGATTTTTATTTGTTTCAAGTCTGCATATGAATATCATGATTTTTAAAAAACGTATTTTGATAAGTGGAAAGGAATAATTTATAGAATACCTAAAATATGTCATTCACTTTTAGGGTATAATTTTTAAAGTCTTTAAATAAATGATAATGTTCATTTTAAACAATATTTTACTAAATGGGCATAAGAAATTATGGTTGTTATTCTTCTTGCTTTCTTTAAATCCCAGTTGAAACTGTGATCATGAAGGTTATTAATTATGAATCGGTATATAAGTCTCTTTCTTTGGTCTCTCTTTTCTCCATTTTTTGTTTCTTTTCCCACCAGATTAAATTATACTACCAGAAACCTATTTTCTTATCTTTCTTCTGTAACGTATTTTAATCTCTCTCAAGACAGTGGATACTATAAGGTTTATTTCTATGGGAGTATTTATAAGAATTTTTTTTTTTCGACATGGAGTTTTGCTCTGTCACCCAGGCTTGAGTGCAGTGGCACGACCTCGACTCACTGCAACCTCCGTCTCCTGGGTTCAAGCGATTCTTCTGCCTCAGCCTCCCGAGTAGCTGGAATGACAGGCGCATGCCACCACGCCCGGCTAATTTTTGTATTTTTAGTAGAGACAGGGTTTACCATTTTGGCCAGGCTGGTGTCGAACTCCTGACCTCAGGTGATCCACCTGCCTCAGCCTCCCAAAGTGCTGAGATAACAGGCATGAGCCACTGCACCCGGCTCAGAATTTTTTTTTTTTATTTAAGATTTATCAAGGCTTTACTGAAAACCTCAGTAGACAGTCATAGATTTTAAATTCTTATTTTAAATGTGGAAAGTGATTCTAGACTCCCAGGCAAGGCTGTACTTGCCCTTTCATAGCCGATATGCTTGTCCACAGGCTCATTGTGTGCATTGTGGCTGAGGTACAGAATGTATTTACTTAGCATTAGGCTTACTTGTATTTCATGGCTATTGTCCAGCACTTGAGAATTCACTTTCACTTTCAGGTGACAGAGAGTTGGGTCTTAGTGGTTTGGTTAATGTTATCATATAATGTAATAACATATCTGTTACCTTCAAAGTTAATGACTATTGTCCCCTTTAATCCAAATTAGCTAGCACATCTCAAGAACCATTTGAACTATGTCACAATACAAAGAAGGGAACTGTGTCCATCACAGCTGTCTTCAAGGCAGAAGCCTTGGACTTCCTTGTATTACTTTGACCAAACCCTTGGCCCCTTATTCTTTTCCTGTTTTTACCCGTTTTGATTCATTGACTGTTTTGTGTAAGCTCAGCTCTCAAGGTTGAATATTTGCCTTAAGCTGGTCTTAACCGCCAGCACTCTGTGGAGTGTTGTTTTATGCAGTTGACCCTTGAGCAATGCAGGGATTAGAGGTACTGACCCCCCCAGCCCAGTCCTGCATATAACTTTTCCCTCCCTAAAAACTTAAGTACAAATAGCTGAATGTTGACAGAAAAGCCTTATCAATAACATAAGTTTATTAACACTTATAGTTTCTACATATTTTATGCATTTATGGCATACCTGATTTTTTTCTTAAAAATTTTCGGTATTTGTAGGCTATGCAGTTCGTCTGCAAGTTTTTTCAAATTGTTGAAAATCTCCAAAATTTTTTCCAGTATAATTATTGAAAAAATCGTCACATAGGAGCAGTGCAATTCAAACCTCTGTTGTTCAAGTGTCAACTGTACTTGTCTTTGACTTCACATTCCTCTGGCTTGTTCCTTGTAGCAAATTGGCTGGATCCAGCCTTGGGCACCCATCTCTGTGGGTTCTGCCTGGAAGCTCTCACATTAGACTGTCTTGGTATCTTTGAGGTTAGTTTGTGGGTACACCTTCCAGTTAATATGATGGCTAGCTAGACAATTTCTGGATTTGATACTTCTCAATATAAGCATCATGGATGTATCTAAACCATTAATTATTCTGAGACACACCTAGATGAAATATTCTTAAATATAGGTAAATAGAGATTTTATTATCAATGTATCTAAAACAGTAGCATGGTCTTTTCTAACAGGAAGGCATTTCTCTTACAATCTTAATTTCATAATATTTCTTAATATAATGGTGCTACTGTTTTGATGAAGATAGATGTTACTGAATTAACTGTCACAAGTCACTTAGTATGTGCTCAGGTGTTTGCATGGATTATAACCCTATGGAGTAGGTACTGTTTTGGGGCCCATCTTTTGTTTATGGGGACAGTGAGGCTTACAGGGTTAAGTGACTTTCTTTTTTTAAAATTATTTTTTAAAAATGTTGTGGGTACATACTAGGTGTATATGTGTATGGCGTACGTGAGAGATTTTGATACAGGCATGCAATGTGAAAGAAGCACATCATGGAGAATGGGGTATCCATCCCCACAAGCTTTTATCCTTTGAGTTACAAACACTCCAATTACATTCTTTATTTTAAAACGTACAGGTAGGTTATTATTGACTATAGTCACCCTAATGTGGTATCAAACAGTAGGTCTTATTCACTTGTTCATTTTTTTGGTGCCCATTAATGATTCCTACCTCCTCCTAGCCCCCTACTACACTTCCTAGCCTCTCTGGTAATCATCCTTTTACTCACTGTGTCCATGAGTGCAGTTATTTTAATTTTTAGATCCCACAAATAAATGAGAACATGCGATGTTTGTCTTTCCGTGCCTGGCTTATTTTACTTAACATAATGATCTCCAGTTCCATCCATGTTGTTGCAAAAGACAATATCTCCTTCCTTTTTATGGCTGAATAGTACTCCATTGTGTATATATACCACATTTTCTTTATCCATTCATCTGTTGATGGATACTTAGGTTGCTTCCAAATCTTAGCTATTATTGTAAACAATGCTGCAACAAACAGAGGAGTTCAGGTATCTCATCGATATACTGATTTCCTTTCTTTTGGGTATATACCCAGCAGTGGGATTGCTGGATCATATGGTAGCTCAATTTTTAGTTTTTTGAGGGACCTCCAAACTTTTCTCCATAGGGGTTGTACTAATTTATATTCATACCACAGCGTACAAAGGTTCCCTTTTCTCTACATCCTCGCCAGTATTTGCTATTGCTTGTCTTTTGAATATATGTCATTTTAACTGGGGTGAGATGATATCTCATTGTAGCTTTGATTTGCATTTCTCTGATGATCAGTAATTTTGAGCATCTTTTCATATTCCTGTTTGCCATTTGTATGTCTTCTTTTGAGAAATGTCTATTTAAATCTTTTGGCCATTGTTTGATTGGATTATTAGGTTTTTTTCCTGTAGAGTTGTTTGAGCTCTTTATATATTCTGGTTATTCATCCCTTGTCAGAGTGATAGTTTGCAAATATTTTCTCCCAGTCCATGGATTGTCTCTTCACTTTGTTGATTGTATCCTTGACTGGGCAGAAGCTTTTTAACTTGATGTGATTCCATTTGTCCATGTTTACTTTGGTTGCCTATGCTTATGAGGTATTGCTCAAGACACTTAAGTGACTTTCTTAAGGAAAATAGCCTATATTTGAGCGTCTGGTGCCTCAGAACCCCCAGTCCCCCACCGAGTTACTGTAGATCTGGAATTATATTTATGCTAAAGAGATGGAGCATTAAATCCTTTATATAACATAACCTGTGCCTGCATGTCTTGTCTCCATTTGAGACTTCACTTTGGAGATTGGTTTTCTGAGTCACAGAAAGGGTAAATTTTGGTGGGTTTAAGCTTACTCTTAATAGTTCTATCAAAAAATGTTTTTCATCTTTATGTTATCATTTTGAGCAGCTCAAGTTTGTAGTTGACTTTCTCAGTTAAAAGAAACTTTCATTTATGTTCTTAGGAGAGAAAGCAAGTAATTAATTTCACTTTGGTTTAGAAATACAGCAGTATGGAATTTATCTTCTGATAAATGCAAATTGTGAATGTGGGAAACAATATCTTCTCTGCAGCTAAGGCACCCCTTAGGCTGTTAATTCACGTGAAATAAGTAATCAATTATGTAGGTCAGAATACTGGCAGTATATTAAACCAAGGCTCATTAAATGACTGCTTTCTAGGTCATAGACCAATTCTCTTTCAGTGGAATGTACTTGGATGGAAAGAAATGATTTTAGGTGATATATTTGGGGACAAGGATAGTTATTATAAGGCATTTGTTTTTAGTTTGCTTCCTGTTTTTCCTTCTTGGTTAAAAATGGTATCAGTACTAGTCAATCGAGTTAACCAAAATCTAAAGAAACATCTCTTTGTTTCTACCAAAACTTTCAAGTTATTTTAATGATAGTGAAAACTGTTTACGTCTGTCACCTGGATAACCTCCATTCATTTCCATATAAATGACTTTGCCTTTAAAAAAAAGACACCCCCCTCCTCCCCAAAAAAAGAAATTTAGAGCCTATCTATCTCTTAATCAGTAAGTGGTTAGAAAGAACTGCTATATAAATTGTTATGTTCATGAAGTTTTATGTAAAGGGTGACATATTACATATTTAAACTCTTTAGATGAAAAAAGGAAAGTGAAGATAGAAGTAAGAGAAAGAAAAGAATCTCATGTAGGCTTTGGGCAGGAATGGGAATTTAAGTAGGTACAGCAGGCTATGAGTGGAGGGGTCCTTTGCTCAGGTACTTGCTGTAGGATTTGGGATTCCTGGTGGGTCCGTCTGTGATCTTGTGAACTGGGCCGTTTTCAGCAAACAAACCTATAGCACTCCCTATTAGTCTTCTGTGAAATCATACAAGACAAAGGATTACTAAGCAATTAATTCACTTGATGATAGTCTGTGTGTTTAGGGTCCTCAGAATTACCCCTCAGTTTGGTGATTTGCTGGAAGTACTCACAGGACTGGGCATGTAGTTGTACTCAAGGCTATGCTTGATGAGAGCCGAAGGATACAAAGCACAATCCGCAAAGGGAAGAGGTGCACTGGGTGAAATCCAGGAGAGACTTGGCACAGGCTTCCGAGGATACCTTCATTCCTCCAGCAGTGACGTCTAACAGTGTTTGTCTAGTGTTACCTACCAGGGAAGCATGTTAGAGACTCAATTCCCAGTTTTCTTATTGGGGGTTGGTCAGGTACACACCCTCTGCCTGGCATGTTCTAAACTTTTCAGACTCTCAGAAGGAACGCAGGTGTTCAGCATGAACCCATATTGTTTGCACAAATGCACAAACAGTCTAGGCACAGTGGCCTGGTCTTTAGTTAACTGTTGACTGGGAACACCCCCAGAGCCAAAGTCCTTGATGCCAGCCAAGGGCTGACCTTGCAAGCAGCCTTTCTAAGTAGAAGAGCACTGTCAGGTCTGCTGTGTTAACCCCTTTTCTGCCCAGAGCCAGGCACTGTGCTATGTAGAGAATGAGACAGATCATGGAGTTTATAGTCTAGCTGAAGAGGCTGAAGTCTAATAAATTCCTACTAATAAGTAAGAAATTTCAGCTTTTGATGACTGTCTTGAAGTGTAGGAGGAGGAGGGTACAATGAGAGTATAGTGCAGTGAGTGGAGAGTGTGTGGCTAGTGAAGGTAGCTCCAGTGAAACTGCCTTTAAATTGGCTAAATGTCTCACTGAGCCGTAAGAGAGGAGGGGATTGAGGGCAGATAGCAGCGAAGACCATGGATGAGGTGAGGAAAGGAAGGGCTTGGCATGCTGGAGGACTGAAATGGGGGAAGCATAGGGCTAAGTGGCATCATTGCTACTGACTGCTCCCTTTCCATCCTCCAGTTAGACTTATTTTCCGATTAGTCTTGGGTCTCCAGGGGGCTTCTGCTACAAAGATTTCTTTCCACCTCTTTATCAAAGCCTGAGATTAGCAGTCAGATTTTTCAATTGATAATTTGAGGTAAAAACGTGTAAATTTTAATTCCAAATTGGAGCTAGCCCTGACCAATAACACTCCTGTTAAAGTGTAATAACCTCAGACGGGAGGAAGTGTAAAGAAACACAAGGCAGTCTGGCCTTAAGAGCTGACATCCTGGGCTTATATCTTCATTCCAACCCTAATTATTGCTTCTGTGGCCAATAGAAAACTGCTACAATTATTTAACTTCTCTTTGCTTCATTTTCCTGTTATATATTTTGGGGATTATAATTCATTTATTAAGTAAATATTTTGAACATTTTCTGTGTGCCACATACTTAGTTCTCTGAGGCTTACCTGGGCTAGTATGTGTAACGTGTATAACATAGTATCTTATATGCAGAGAGCATTCAAAGTAGGCCAACAGTTATTAACAAATGCTATTAGCTGTTTTATCTTTTTGGTGGGGAAGGAGGTGAAACAGTTGTAGTATAAATGCATGAGAGGTAAATACAGAGAAGGAGGTGTATGAAGTTGAATTTTGGGATTCTGAAAGCAAACTTACCTGATTTTAAAGTTATACATCTGCTGACCTTCATTTGCTTTTGGACAAATAAAGGAAGGTTTTACATAGGTGCATATGTGTACAGCCTAGAACAATTGTATGCAGTTGGGGAGAACACACACACAGGTTAATAAGAACATTGCTGATGAGCAGTGTGGTGGTATAACACTGCTTAGTATGACACAAGATACGTTTTCTTTTAACTTGACAGATTTTGTTACTAAGTTGCTACAATTATTTATACAGAAATATAAAGAAAATTTACTACTTCTGGTATATGTTTTGGAATTGTCTTTTGAAACTAATAAGATTTTTTAACGTAAATGTGTATATATACTTATCTCTTGGTGCTTGGAAAATATGAAACCATCTCACGCTGTGAAAGGTCTGTAAAGTTATTGGATTTTCCTTTCATTGAACATTTCAATTGTGGGAGGATGCACTGTCTGCTCATGTAGCCCATTCCAGTTACAGAAGCCTTGTTTCCTAAACATTCTGCCTGAAGTTGAATTGTTATCTGACTTCCTCAATTATTAATTCTAGTTTTGCCCCCTGGGTTTATGGATGGAAAAAACAAAACAAGATATGAATAAACCAAAAATATCTTAACCTGTTATACTTAATAACATTCAGATTAAACAGCAATGCCCATCAATAATCTTGTGTTCTTCAAACTAAACATTTGTACTCATTCACCCATTCCTCATATGACATGCATTACAGCCCCCTCACAGTTCAAGCTGTTCTTTGATAACTGGACTATTATAGTTCAGTAATTAATAGCATGAAATGGTGGTATTCTCCCCCAAATTTATCTTACAGTTGGACTGACACTGTAAGAAGCTGAAAATGATTTTACTTATTGTTTGTATCTGGGCTAAACACAGAAGAAATTACAAAATTGAGATAATTATTACAATAAATAAGAGATTATTGGTTACGTATACCTTAGAATTTTTTTAAAGGTTTTTCCTAACCTAGCTGAGTTTAGTTACTGTGAGATAATGGAAATTTAGTGTATTTTCCCTTTTCTGTGATTGAGGAAGGACAGAGGGCTTGAGATAAGATACCTAATGTGGCAGAAAATAATTCTTTTAAGGTCAGGAAGACGTGTTTTAGGGCATGTAAAAGCACTGTGATGTGGAATTGTAGGAGTCAGAACTCAGGTGTCGTGGGCGAGAGGCATAATGGGAGAGGAGGAAGGATATACTGGATACTTGCCATATGCTTTTGACTGGTTTTTAAAATTAATACAGACACAAAATTGGGATCTTTCTCCACAATTAAAATGGTAGAATTAATACTGAAAAATGCTTTTTCCTAATTCTTACAATAGATCCTTTAGTACCTATGATTACTAATTTAACATTCTTTCTTAGAATGAGTAAAACAATAATTCTTTAGCCTCCGATTTGAAACTGACTTTTAAAATAAATAATTTTTATAGATATTAAGGTGATGAGACTTCAGAAATAATAAAGGCTTTGGCTTATTAGGATAATATATTGTCATAAAGACACATTTAAAGATATATCAGAAATGAACCTAATTTGCATTCAGTTGGTGACATAGCCACAGAGAGTTGAATATTTCAAGTGACTTTAAAACATAATAATGCAGCCGCGCATGGTGGCTCACGTCTGTGATCCCAGCACTTCGGGAGGCCAAGGTGGGTGGATCATGAGGTCAGGAGATCGAGACCATCCCGGCTAAGACGGTGAAACCCCGTCTCTACTAAAAATACAAAAAATTGGCCGGGCGTGGTGGCAGGTACCTGTAGTCCCAGCTAATCGGGAGGCTGAGGCAGGAGACTCCCTTAAACCCAGGAGGCGGAGCTTGCAGTGAGCCGAGATCACGCCACTGCACTCCAGCCTGGGTGACACAGAGAGACTCTGTCTCAAACAAAAACAAAAACAGAAAAAACCGTAATAACTTATATATTTGTCTTGGTTATATATCTTAAAGGATAAAGAAACCCACCTTATATGTTTGTTGTGTGATAGAACAATGAATGATTATGTAATCTAGTTCCATTTTCCTGAAATTGAAATACTTCTATTTACTGAAAGGAACTAGAGATCCTGAGAAAAAGAGTACGACTCTATGTCTGGGGCAGAAAATGAACAAAAGGAACCTAAGATATCTCATACTAGCAGAGGATGGAAGCTGTTGAGATCGACTAGGTTCTTGTCAGAATGACTGAACCTGCTTGAAGAGGCTGCTCCACCTGGCTGCAAGATGGGACAATTTGAGCACCAGTTAAGGATAATAGTTACAATGGAAGAAACAGATCAAATTTATTCAAATATATGGTTTCGTAGTAATACTGTTATTTTTTAGTTGTTTACCCATGGGAGAATGTTACTGCATCCACTCATTATTTTCAAAACTGGTGAACAAAGGGGAACAAATTAAGCATTTGTCTTGTTTGATCTACATGAACTGTCCCACCGGACAACCACATAGTAGATGAAGCTAAGTTTCTCTTCATATTATTTCAGCTAATAAATGAAGAAGGCATGATAGAATGAGGAAAATCACCATTGTCAAGCCCTACTGAATTAGTCACTCAAGAGCCACTAATGCTGCTGACATCACAAAAAACTTCTGACAGAAGTGTGCAGTAACACTGACCAGATTGTACCCCAAATGGAACCTACATCTCTTCAGGCCTTGAGGACTAATGTCAATTTTCAAGAAATGCAGAGAGCGGAGGAACATGCTAAACCCCACAGGGATAAAGTCAGAAAAATCCAGATTGAAGTAAACCATAGGACTAAAAACCTATTTTATTCAGAAATAAGTTATAATGGGGGAAAGTAAGAGATGGAGGGAATATTATTGGACCAAAGAGACCTAAATATAATTTAAAAAATGAAATTCCGAGCTACTGCAACATGTGGAATTTACTTGTGTCCTAGTGCAGACCAACAAGCAGTAAAAAAAAAAAAAAAAAAAAAAAAAAGAGATTTAAAGCCTGGATATTTTTGATGGAATTAAAAATAATAATTTCTCTTTATTTGTGATAGTAGTATTTATGGTTAGAATAGTTTTATCTTTTGGAGATACATATTGAAATGTACTAATATATTAAAATAATTTCTTGGATTTGCTTTGAAATTATATGAGAGGAGAGTAGGTGGTAGAGATGGAAAATATTGGCTATGAATTGTGATGGTTGAAGCTGGCTGTTGAGTACCTAGGGCCATTATATTTTTTGGTGTGATTTGATAAAAGTTTTAAATGTATATTTATACATATGCGTGAATAGGCAAAATCTTCATCTGAAAAAGAAAGTTGAATTTGTGGCTTGCAGAAAGCAAAAACCAAAAGGGTAGCATAGTAATGTGTTACTTTATGAGAAGCTTGTAAGATTTCTGTGAAGACAGAAGAAAAGTAGCCTCAATGCTACTGTATTTAAAAACAAAGATATAAAAATGTATCATTGTTGATGTTATTTATTTTTACTGATGTTTTGCATTATTATGCGTGGAAACTCAAAGGTGTCAATCCTTTTCATCACTGCTCTATGGCTCAATATCAAAATGTTGAAGTAGAGATACTGCTGTGGTGTTTATCCATTTCTTTAAAAGAGTTACTCAGCAAGAAAAGAAAGTTAATTCTTATCTACCCCTCAGATTGCTGGCTGAATCATTAACCATAGAAGCAATTATCTTTACTAAAATATTCATCAGTCTTTATTATGCCTTTTGTTGTGTATCTTCAGGTACCAGTGTTAAATCTAACCACTACATGTACCACTCTGCTTTTCAGTTTGGTTTTGTTTAGACTGTAATCCTTCATGACAGTTTCCATGGGCATTTGCAGATTGCACTGCGAAAATTAATGAAATTCATCAGCTCTTCATAACTTACCCTGATCATTCAGTCTATCAATACCCGTGTGCTTCTCTTCTATCATTTATTACTTTTAACCTGCCCCTGCTCATGAGTACTCCTGCCAGATGCTGAAAAATGAAATGAAAATGAAAGTCAGTTTAATTAGTTTTATCTGTTTCCACTCTGGCAAAATGTTATGTAGATGAAAGGTTGTAGTTTATTAGCAGGAATGATATATTTTAAAATATACTCGTTCAAATATACACAATTGCTTTGGAATAGTTGTCTGTATTTGTCTGTCTGTGCGATTTACTGGTAGCAAATTTTAAATCATCAGCTACTCCAAGCTTATGTATTTTCTGTTCTTATCCTAAATTTAGCTGTTTCTTCATGGAGTCTTGGTTCCTTTTATTGTACACTGATACTAGCAACCAAGCTCTAGGTGCTGTATGTATGCAATTATACCGGGATATTGTTGCTTCTAGGCCCTCTCAGCTAACATAGCAAAGTGAGACTTGTGTGTATTTATGAGATATACGTTATCTACCAATATTCCTATATGTAACCATTTTTATTTGTATTGTCATACATGAGTTCACTGATATCTCCAACTTTAATTCATTACCACATGGATCATTCTGAACTCTTCCTTTTGTTTATCTGTAACATCTCACTCTACCATTGAGAAATCTTGTCCCCACCATCTACCACTCATTTGTTTAATTGACCAGTGTCAAACTGTACCCTCTTGGGACAACAACTTTATCAACTAGAGTGTGGTGCTTATGTACAGTTTATTTTGTGTCTAGTCTCACAGACCCCACTTATTTTCAAAGTTCTATAGGTTAGCACCTTATCCTCTGCCACCCGCTTCAGGGAGGTTGTTTTATACGTTTTATATTACATGTGTAATACATTTAGATTCTTGTGTTGCATTATGCTTTCCATCCTGAGATCCCCTGACCTTGTAATTGAGTTTTTAAAAATTTACATACGTGATAGTTTACTCTTTGTGCTATAAAGTTCTACAGATTTTTGGCAAATTCATAGTGTCATGTATTCATCGTTATAGTGTCTTACAGAATAGTTTCATCATCCTAAAAGATCCCCTGTACTTTACCTATTCATAATTTGCCCTTTCCCCTTGAGCTCCTGGTAGTTACTGATCTTTTTACTACCTCTGCAGCTTATGCCTTTTCTCCAGTGTTGTATAGTTGGAATTGTGTAATATGTATCCTTTTTAGACTGGCTTTTCTTCTCATAGCAATATGCATTTAAGACTCATCCATGTTACTTCATGGCTTGTTAGCCCGTTTCTTTTTAGTGTGAAATATTTAGTCGTATGGATGTATCACAGTTTGTTTATCCATTTGTGTATTGAAGGACATCTTGATTGCTTCCAGATTTGGGTGATTATGAGTAAAGCTGCCAAAAACACTCACATGGAGGTTTTTGTGTGGACATAAGTCTTCATATCCATTGGGTAAATGCTTACTAGTGAGATTTTTGGGTCATACAGAAAGACTCTATTTAGCTTTGTAAGAAACTGCCAAACAGTCTTTCAAAGTCACTGTAGCATTTTGCATCCTTATCATGATTAAATGATAATTTTTGTTGCTTTGCATCCATGCCAACAATTGGTACTGTCAGTTTTTTTTTAATTTTAGCCATTCTAATAGGTGTGTAATAGAATCTCATTTTTGTTTTAACTTCAATTCATGATTAACAAATGAGCATCTTTTTAAATGTTTATTGCCATATCTATATCTTCTTTACTGAAGTGGCCTTTGGCCCATTTTTCAGTTGGGTTGATTGTTTTCTTATTGTTGAGTTTAACGAGTGTTTTTTTGTTTATTTTGGATGCATATCTTTTATCTCATGTAATTTGGCAAATATGACTTGTATGGTAATGCACTAAGATGAAATGAGATGACAAGTCGGAATGAGTCAGTTATTACTATATTTTTCAGCCTCAGTTTCTGGGAAAATGTAGAGTAATAGTAACACAAAAAGGAAAACCAAGAGTTAAAATCTCTTTGGGAAGAAGTGAGAAGGAGATAACTCATATAGTTTTGACTTAAGATGGAGCTTGAGGTGATGGGAAAGTAGCTAGACTGGAGATTAAAAATATGTTAAGATTCCTGATTTAGATTTTGGTGTCGTCATTATGGATTGTTGAAGAGAAAGTAGAATTCAAGAGCAGTTAGAAAGTTAGGATAAGAATTCTATAGCCTTGTGTCATGGGAGTGGCAGAAAGAAATTTTAAGAAGGAATCAATATTGAATATGGAGGACCTAAAGAGAGCATGAAATTTGCATTATCTGTCTTCTCAAAGGTCAAGTATGCTATCAGCTTACTGTAGTATCCTGCACCTTTTGTTTTTAGGGACTATAATTTGCTGTGCCAGGAGAGCACTTACTTACTTTATTGAGCCAATTATCTTTAGCATTTTATAGAATTTCTCACACTGAATTTTACACCACTGGGGCTCTTTTGCAGGGTGAATATAGCCAGAGATCTTATTTTCATTTGTCTTATACAACTCTATTTGTGTGTGTATATGTGTGTGTGTGTGTGTGTGTTTAAATTGACTATTTAACTACCAATTTCATTGAAAGAAGTCATTTTCCTTTTCAGTTATACCATTCTGTTGTAGAATCCCAACAGTTGTGACTTTAGTTCCCAGCAGAATTAATTAACACATATGAATTCTCTGCTTTGTCTGTTTGGGAAAACATACAGCCTACTCTCTGGAGTCATAAAGATATGCTTCCTTTCCTTCTTTTTTTTCTCAGAGTGCAGTTTTTCATTGCTTTTTTTTTTTTTTTAACCTAACCATCCCTAAAAAGGGTAATTTATTCAAATAATTCACAGAAAAGATACAGTAGTAAAAATAATTCCCGTCACTGAAGGATAATTATTCAAAGCCTGTTTGTGTTTGGGGTTGTTTAATGAAATGGCATACCAACACAAAGCACCAAATTGAAAACATATACTTTATATGTGAGATATGAAAACATGTGAAAATACTTTGTTTGCAAATCTTATGTATATTCAGTACTTATCATTGGACTATGAAAAGTATTTCAGTGAAACTGACTACATACACAGAATATTAACGAATAAATGTCAAGATTATTCTGAACTGAACATTAGTTATACCACTGGGTTTAATGACTTTGAGAAAAAGGAAGGATTTGTGTTGTAAGGCAATAAAAGATAATAATGTATTCATTTATTTATTAAACAATTTGTAGCACCTATAATGTTTCAGTGCTACATTTTCCTGTTTACTACTCTTGCTAGAGTTTCACTTGCTTTGACCACTAAATCTGTGGTAACTATATACCGAAAAAATAAGTACTCTGTAAGCCTTAATGTACAGCATTGGTTCTTGGCATTGGTTCATATGTAACTCTGAAATTTATTGCTAGAAACAGCTATGTAACATGATGTAATATCTGTAGTTTAAAATTGCTAAACTAACTGCATTCTTTTTTATTGTGGTCATACACACACACACACACACACGTATATATGAAAAATGGTGTTTTTTTACCATTTTAAATGCTGTTTTAAGCGTACAATTTAGTGGCATTACGTATATTCCCAATGTTGGGCAGTATTCACCTGTCTAGTTCCAAAACTTTGCTGTCACTCCCAGTAGAAACTCTGTACCCACTAAGCAGTAGCTTCCCCTTCCCGCTCTTTCCAGCCCTCTCTCCGTTAGATGAGAGGTTGCTGGGTCTTAGCATAATGTGTTGTGATACTATACCTTTCATTGATATGAGGATGTTGTATAGGTGAATTTTATTCTTTTCAATTCTTTTACAGGTTTGACAGATGAAAAAGTGAAGGCATATCTTTCTCTTCACCCCCAGGTATTAGATGAATTTGTATCTGAAAGTGTTAGTGCAGAGACAGTAGAGAAATGGCTGAAGAGGAAGAACAACAAATCAGAAGGTAAGGTCTCTTGTGGATCTCATTTTAAACCAGCTTTTTCTATCTTACGGCAAAAGACTAAGCATTTAATATATTCTAGAGTGTGAAATATAAAGTAGACAAATATTAACACTGTAATTCTATCAGAGTTATTCCATTTAAAAAGATAAAGTAAGTTAGAGAAGAAATAAATACAAAAGAAAGATCCGTGACTAATTAAAAATAAAAATTTGGCAAATCTTGAGAATTCAGTTGATTAAGTTACAACCATATTGAAAAATGCAGAAGTCAGTATTATAATTGATTTTATTTAAGGATTATTTTTAGTGATTAGATAAACATTATTCATAGTATGTATTTCAAAGATACTATATTTTACAAAGATAAGTCTATTACAAAAAGAAATCCTTTACAAAAACAAGCCAATATAAAAACAATTTTTATATTGGGAAAGCACTGTAGACTTGGCATTTGACTTTCATTCACACTCAGACTCTAGAAGATTTGTTGTCAGTAAACTTTCAGTAAAAGAACAAGTATATTGGCTGGGCGCAGTGGCTCACGCCTGTAATCCCAGCACTTTGGGAGGCTGAGGCGGGCGGATCACGAGGTCAGGAGATCGAGACCATCCTAGCTAACACAGTGAAACCCCATCTCTACTAAAAATACAAAAAATTAGCCGGGCATGGTGGTGGGCACCTGTAGTCCCAGCTACTCAGGAGGCTGAGGCAGGAGAATGGCGTGAACCCGGGAGGCGGAGCTTGCAGTGAGCCGAGATCGCGCCACTGCACTCCAGCCTGGGCAACAGAGCAAGACTGTCTCAAAAAAAAAAAAAAAAAAAAAAAAAAGAACAAGGACATCTTTTTGACCTAAACACTCATGAAATGAGAAAAGGAGTGCAGAACCACTGTTTTAACTTTTGAGATCCTGGCATTTTAAGCACATCGTGGTTTAAATTTTCTGCAAAGTAGCTTTCTACAGTAGGAGTCTCTTTGCATGTTGTTCTCTTAGTCTCTGAAACACGTGTATTTTTAATGGAGACTGTTTAAGAAGCAGTTATATTCACGAATAAAGAACTAGAGGCTCAAAGGGGATGGGAAGCAAAATAATTTTTTCCTCAAACTGAATGTATATTAATATATTGGATTGTTTGATTTGAATATTGCATAATTTTTATTTTGTTTCAAATGGATTTATATTTGGCTAAACTTATTTCTGTGAATATTGTTTTTATTGTGACAATTTTATATGTGTTTTTGACTGTTCAACTTTTTTTAAATTATACTTTAAGCTCTGGGATACATGTACAGAACTAGGAGGTTTGTTGTATAACTTTTATATTAAAAACACAAAGATACTATTTGGGGGAAACTTTATTAGTGTAAAAAGGTGTTATCTTAAAGTTCTAAAATGTCTAATAGCAATGAATAAAAATGTATAATTGTTATTAAAATGTTATGGTGTTAGAAGTATAGGTAATTTTTCTCACTAATTTTTAAAGTTTCTGAAATTTTGTTTTGCATTTTTTATAGTGGTAATGTTTTTTAAATGAGGGCTTTTGTGCTGAAATATGAAGTAGTTTTTAAAGTAAGTGTATGTGAATGTGTTTGTATGTGTATGCCTGTAAGTGTGGATTGAGAGGGAGGGGAGAAGAGAAATAATAAATCAGAAACAGGCATTGTCTTCTCAATCTTGGCATTTAATATCAAGACTAACCTTAAAGAAAGCTTGACATAGCATAATTTAGTTTTTATAAGCCTCAAACATTTGAAAACAGTTTAAATGTTTGACACTTTCAAAAGTGTGGCTGAGCTTTGCTTAAGCACTTGATAAAAAAAGATGCAAATTTCAGCTTGCTATATAATGAGGGATAATAGTGTAGTGTAAGAATATATGGTCTTTGTGGGATATGAAATTGAGTACAGGTCCTAGAACCTATTGTAGTGCTACCATAAAAACTAACTCTTGAATTTTCATAAACATTGTCAGTGTGTCATTTCCTACCTCCCAAATCTTTGTTTTCTATATTAATCAAATAATACTTTATTGAACACATGTACAGAAGAGTTAAATAATTGTTAAGACCAGCAGTGTGTAACTGAAACTCTACTCAGTTATTCTCCTCCTCACTTAACTTTTTTTTTTTCTTATAAGGAGATGTTTTTTATTTGACCTTGCAGAGGGCTAGGGACAGTGGAAAGCGGCTGAGTGAGATGTGACTTGGAGTTTACCATCTAGTTGTGGGAATAGACATAGAGCCACTTAGCAGAATGCATCAGTAGTAAACAGGGATACAAGCACTGGAAGTATATAAAAAGGAACCTTACATTCCACTGTGCAGCCTAGTAAGACCCCCTTCAGCCTGTCTTCTGAGAGTGTTTATCAAAAGAATGTATCTCATCATATATCGCTTCATGTTCAGTGAAATTCTGTAGCATGGCCCTTGAGGCCTATATAAAAACCAGGCTTCCTCCCTTCATTCTTTCCTCCCTTCTTTCCTTTCTTCCTGTTACTTTAGAAAATGTCCTGTTCTCTGGGCGTGGTGACTTATGCCTATAATCCCAACACTTTGGGAGGCCGAGGTGGGAAGATCCCTTGAGGTCAAGAGTTCGAGACCAGCCTGGCTAACCTGGTGAAACCCTGACTCTACTAAAAATACAAAAATTAGCTAGGCATAGTGGCGCATGCCTGTAATCCCAGCTACTTGGGAGGCTGAGGCACAATAATCGCGTGAACCTGGGAGGTGTGGGTTGTAGTGAGCAGAGATCGCACCACTGCACTCCAGCCTGGGCAGCAGAGCAACCAAACAAACAAAAAAAGAAAGTCCCGTTCTCAAGTATGCCTTATTCTCCTTCCACGTTGCTTCACCGAAAACTTTTTGAGGAAGAAAATTTTTGTGGAGAGGATTTTCAGGGAGTGTTTTCATTTCCATGAGTGGAACCAGGAACAGAAACTGTGGCAGATAGAAGATATTGGAGAATAGCTTGTTGAAAATGAGACAAGCCTATCTAAATTATTTCATTTTTTGTCATTTAGAAAAAAGAAAATGAAATAAAACCGTGTAACACACTGTACCCCATAAATATGTACAATTATTATGTCAAAAATAATAATAAAAGAAAAAAACACCTGTAAGCAGTGTGAACGCTGACCGTATTTGATTTGAGTATTGCAGCAGAATTTTTATTTTGTTTCAAAAGGATTTATATTTGGCTAAACTTTCAAAGGGAAGCTAAAGGATCACCAGGGGTCAGGCATCTGAATCTCGATAGAATCATGAGACGCTCGCTATGAGATCAATTTGAAGGCATGAACTGCGTGCATCATAGTAAATTTTGTATTCCTCACATTTTCGAATGAATGAATAAATTAGGGAGGGTTAAATACTAAACCTCCAAGTGAAATAGCCTGAGGGTCGCTACATTTGCTTCTCATACTATGGGGACACAGAGCTATTTTTATGCTTCTGTCCCTCATACTCATTTAATAGCCTCTTGCTTGAGGGAAGATATTATATAATTGATTGATTGATTTTTGAGCAAAGTGTTGCTCTGTTGCCCAGGCTGGAGTGCAGTGGTGTGCTCTCGGCTCACTGCAACCTCCGCCTCAAGGTTCAAGTGATTCTCCTGCCTCAGCCTCCAGAGTAGCTGGGATTACAGGTGCGCACCACCACGCCCGGCTACTATTTGTATTTTTTTTTTTATTAGAGACAGAGTTTCAACGTGTCGGCCAGCTTGGTCTCCCAATCCTGACCTCAAGTGATCCCCCACCCCAGCCTCCCGGAGCGCTGGGCTTGCAGCCATGCGGCACTGCTCCCAGCCGATACATATTTTAATTCCCACAGGTTCCTTGTGTTTTCATTCATTCAGCAAACTGTGTGTCAAGTTCTGTTCAGGTGCTGGGATTATTAAATTGTTAAAGGGTTCTCAGTCTACAAATAGAAGGAAGGAGTTGTAATTTATTCCTTTCTTCTAGTTAGTCTGGCAGTGGGTTTAAGCAGAGTCCAAGCTGGTAGTTTCCCTGTCAGGGAAAGTCTTACAGAGAAAGAGGCGCGATTACGACGAGATTTTGTTTTGACAGGTAGAAGGAGGTTTTGGGAAATGTATATAACATGACAACTCCTCAAAGATCTAAATTCCAGAGTCTTTTTTTCTAACTCTTATTTTCAGTTTAATTTTATTGCTTTCATAGCATTTTCATTTCAGATACATAAAATTCTATCTACAGTTGAGAGGAAAATTGCTTTTTAAAAGTTGATCTCTGAACCTAAATTCCAAACCACCATTTTTTCAGTGATATATGGAAATTAGAGATTGCATTTATTCATTTTATAACCTGTTGTACTTATTTAGGGAATATATAAAAACTTCCTCAGGAAGCATTAAAGCCGATACATCCTCAGAAGAAAATATAGCTTCGAAGCAGAGTTTTAAACAGGTTTCATCAAACGACTATACATTCATTTTGAAAAAATGTAGGAAAATAAAGAAAATTATCTAGGCATATGTTGCCCACTAAATGTTATATTTTTATGCAAAGTAAATTTGACAGTAAATTTCCTCCAGCTGGTACCCTTCAAGACTCAGATTACTAAATGATTTAACATTTACACGTCTGTATTTGTACAAAGTATATATTATTAAATAAACATTAGGATATAATGAAGGTCCATTGTTTTGCATTTCTTATAAGAATATTCTAAAATGGAAAACAATTTCCCACCACTAATGCCGTTCCAGTATTTCAGTTATAAGTAGGAAGAATCACGACTTACCTTGACAATCAGCAGTGTCTCCTTTTGGCCCCTAATGTAAAAAATTGTGAGTTGACAGTGTCGGTGGTATTAGAAAGGGTGCATGAAGAAGTGAATGGTAGCATGACTATATTTGGCATCTTTTTGTAGTAGAATAATATTTAAAATAAGTGGATTAATTTCTTAAAAACCTCAAATGTAATTGTAACATTAATTTCTTAAAGGCGAGTTACTTAGTATTCCAGAGGGTGATTGATGAACCCACAATCATTTGAAAATTGTAAGTAGAATGCCACCTTTTGTGGGCAGTAATTTTATTTCTATGATCGTGTCTAAAATATTCAATAGCCGACCGTATCACTATCATTGTACCTATAAATTCAAATAATTAGTAATGAAAATATTTGTGCTGCCTGATACCTTAAATTTTTTTCAACAAATAATTGAAGTTTTCTTTTTTCTCAAATAATGTAGTTAGTATATGTTTTTCTCCTTTCAGTGATTCTAGAAGTGGGATTTAATTTTCATACGAATAAAGCAGTTAGATATTTTATTCTTAGAATAAGTAGGATTTAAATTATGCCCCCTAAACCTACTATTTGATAACCTAAAATTCAGATTAAATTGCATTTGTATGGTTTAATATGTAACGGATGGTTTCTGTGCTAGTATATATACGGAAGAAGGATATTAAATTAATGGGGCATAAATTACTTTGCCAAAACATTCGGTGTTGGAAGGTTTAGTAAGTGGGATACTAATAAATAATATATTAACTATTAGTATATTTTCATGATAAGAAAAAAACACGTTTTTGAAATGGTTTGCATGAAACCTAATTTTGGACACTCTTCTCTTTTTCCTTCAATTTTTTTGTCTCAAATGTTAAATTACATTCTTACACAGAATTTTCATATATTTTATTTATATTTTTTGGTAATGGAAACCAGAAAATGTGTTGAATGTCTTGATCTGAATTATAAATAAACATGAGTCCACCATCTGGTGACTAGAAAGGAGATAAAGTTGATACGAATTCATCTATAAAGAGTTATTTGGCATATTCTATTATTTCTGTTAATTGTGTGTTCACATTATCATAAAGATGGATCTTTGGTATTTACATATTTTAAAATTTAAAATTATGAATATATTATTATGAATACTTAGTAATTATACATATTTATGAGGTTCAGGTGATATTTGATACAAGCATACAATGTAATAATCAAATCTGGGTAATTGAGATATCCACTACTGCGAACATTTATCATTTCTTTGTGTTGAGAATATCCCAAATCTACTATTCAGGTTTAATGATTGGTCCCCCTATTGTGCTACCAAATACTAGATCTTATTCCTTCTATATAACTGTAATTTTGTACCTGTTAACCAACCACTCTTAACCATTTCTTCTCACTGGTGTTCCCGGCCTCTGGTAACTACCAATCTACTCTCTTCCTTCGTGAGATCCCTTTTCTAGCCTCTCACATATGAGTAAGAACATGCAATTTTTGTCTTTCTGTGCTTGGCTTATTTCACTTAATGGACTCTAGTTCCATCCATGTTGCTGCAAATGATAGGGTTGTATTTTTCATGGCTGAATAATATTTCGTTTTGTATATATCACATTTTCTTTATCCATTCACCCATTAATGGGTGCTTAGGTTGATTACATATTTCGGCTACTATGAATAGTGCTGCAATAAACATGGGAGGACAGATATATCTTTGATATGCTGATTTCCTTTCTTTGAGATATATAGTTAGCAGTACCACTGCATTTTATGGTAGCTCTGTTTTTAGTTTTTTGAGGAGCCTCCATACTGTTTTCCATAATGGCTGTAGTAATTTACATTCCTACCAATAGCGTACGAGCATTCCCCTTTCTTCGCCAGCATTTGTTGTTTTCTGTCTTTTTTGACAACAGTCATTTTAACTGAGGTAAGATGATATCTCACTGTGGTTTTGATTTGCATTTTCCTGATGATTAGTGATATTGAGCATTTTTTCATATACCTGTTGGGTATTTGTATGTCTTTCTCCTCTTGAGAAATACCTATTCAGATCTTTTGCTAATTTTTTGCTCAGATTTTTTTTTTTTTACTATTGATCTGTTTGAGTTCCTTATTCCTGTTCAGGTTATTAATTTTTTGTCAGTTGAATAGTTAGCAGATATTTTCTCCTATTCTGTAGGTTGTCTCTTCACTTTGTTTGCTTGCAGAAGTTTTTAAGCTTGAGGTGATCACATGTCAGTTTTTGCTTTGGTTGCCTGTGCTTTTGAGGTCTTACTCAAAAAAATCTTTGTCCAGACCAATGCCCTGTTGCATTTCCCCAATGTTTTTTTCTGGTAGCTTCTTAGTTTTAGGTCTTATGTTTAAGTATTTAATCCATTTTGATTTATGTATAAGGTGAGAGATAGGGGTGTACTTTATCATTCTTCTGCATATGAATATCCAGTTTTCCCAGCACCAGAAGACTTGACTGTCCTTTCCTCATTGTATGTTCTTGGCGTCCTTGTCAAAAATGAGTTGACTAAAAAATATGGATTTATTTCTGCCATCTGTGTTCTGTTCTCTTGGTCTATATGTCTGTTTATATGCTAGTACCATGCTGTTTTGGTTACTATAGGTTTATATTGTAATTTGAAACCAGGTAATGTGATGTCACCAGCTTTGTTCCTTTTGCTCAGAATTGCTTTGACTTTTATGGGTCTTTTGTTGTTTCTATATGAATTTTAAGGTTGTTTTGTCTATTTCTGTGAACAATGTTATTTTGAGAGAGATTGCATTGAATCTGTAGATTGCTTTGGGTAGTATGGACATTTTAATAGTACATGATTATTCTTCCAATCCATGAACATAATTCCATATTTTTTTGCTTTCAGTTTTTTTCATCAATGTTTTATAGTTTTAATTGTAGGTATCTTTCACTTCTTTGCTTAAGTTTATTCCTAGGAAAATAAATCATTATATAGAAAAGATACCTGTGCTTGTATGTTTATTGCAGCACTATTCACAATAGCAAAAATATGGAACCAATCTAAGTGCTTATCAACAGATGATTGGACAAAGAAAATGTGTGTGTACACACACACACACACACGCGCACACACACACCCCATAGAATACTACTCAGCCATGGAAAATAATGAAATCATGTCTTTTGCAGCAACATGGATGGAACTAGAAACCATTATCTTAAATGAAATAACTCAGAAATGGAAATCACATATTGTATGTTCTCACTTATAAGTAGGAGTTAAATAATATGTACACATGGACATAGAGAGTGGAATAATAGATCTTGCATATGTGGAAGGGTGGAAGATTGGGAGGAGAGTAAGGAATTAGAATTTACTTAATGGGTACAGGTTACAGTATTTAGGCGATGGCTACACTAAAATCCCAGACCTCACCACTGTGCAGTGTATCTGTGTAACAAAACTACACATGTATCATATATATATATATATATTTTAAAAGGCAGATTCCCGGGGTTTCTTTTGTAGGTATTGTAAATGGGATTGCTTTCTCGATTTCATTTTTAGATTGTTTGCTTTCGACATATAGAAATGCTACAGATTATCATATGTTGATTTTGTATCCTGCAACTTTACTGAATTCGTGTATCAGTTCAAATAGCTTGTTTGCTAAAGTCTTTATGTTTTTTGAAATACAAGATCGTGTCATCTGAAAACCAGGACAGCTTGACTTCTTCCTTTCCAATTAGATACTCTTTATTTCTTTCTCTTGTGTAATTGCTCTGGCTGGGACTTCCAGTACTATATTGAATAAGTTGTGAAAGCAGGCATCTTTGTCTTGTTAGATCTTACAGGAAAGGCTTCAGTTTTTCCCTGTTCAGTGTCATGCTAGCTATAGGTTTGTTGTATATGGCCTTTATTGTTTTGAGGTATGTTTCTTCTATAGCCAGTTTGCTGAGCGTTTTTATCATAAAGGAATGTTGAATTTTATTGAATGCTTTTTCAGCATCTATTCAAATGATCATATGCTTTCTGTCTCATTCTATTAATGTGATATATCATATTTATTGATTTGCATATGTTGAAACCATCTTTACATGTTTAGATATGAATCCCGCTTAATTATGATGAATGGATTTTTAATGTATTACAGAATTTAGTTTTTTAGTATTTTGTTGAAGATTTTTTCATCATGTTCATTAGTGATACTGGCCTGTAATTTTCTTTTTGCTGTTGTGTTTTTGTCTGGTTTTGGAATCAGGATAATGCTGGCCTCATAGAATGAGTTTGAAAGTATTTTCTCCTCCTCAGTGTTTTGAAATACTTTGAATAGAATTGGGGTGGTTCTTCTTTAAGTATTTTGGGAAATTCATCAATGAAACTGTCAGGTCCTGGACTTTTTTTTTTTTTTTTGATGGAAGACTTTTTATTATTGCATCTATCTTGTTACTTGTTATCAGTCTCTTCAGGTTTTCTATTTCTTCCTGGTACAGTCGTGTCAGGTTATGTGTGTCTAGGAATTTTTCTGTTTCTTTTAGACTTTCCAACTTATTGGTGTATCTTTGTTCATAGCAGTCTCTAATGATCCTTTAAATTTCTGTGGTATCTGTTAAAATGTCTCCTTTGTCATATCTGGTTTTGTTTGAGTCTTCTTTCTTTTTTCTTAGTCTATGAGCATACCACCATAAAATTGCCTATTCTCATCTGATATATTCTTTCTGAGAGTATTTGGCCAGGTTAGGGAAATCACTTATGCCTTTTGACCAAGGATCCACAGCAGTCCAACCAAATTTATTTGGATTTTGATAATTTTATAGATTAAGTCATATTATCACGAATAATGTTAGAGATTATGAAACTAATTCAAATAAATATAATAGCTTTGTTGCAAACTATATTGATTTCTGAAGTGATTTTTAAAAACAAATTAAAACCCTATGAAATATAAGTGGCAAAACCATTTCCCAGTTAAAAAGAATCTGCTTCTTAAAAGCTTCCTGAAGATTTAACAGTCATCTAAATTATTTGACCTAAGGTTGAATAATTATTTCTAGAAACATCCACTTGAGAGGGTTGTACCTGGAATGTGCCAGTACTATTCATTTTCTGGCTAGTCATTTAGTATGCCAATGAGCAAGTATTTATTGAGTATCCACTATGAATGTATAATTGGAGAACAAGAAATATAGTCCACCTCTACGAAGGAAGGTGGTCCCATAAGACTGTAATGCCATATCTTTTCTGTGCCTTTTCTGTGTTTAGACACACAGATACTTACCATTGTATTATAGCTACCTACAGTATTCAGTACAGTCACATGCTGTACAGGTTTGGAGCCTGGGAGAGATAGACTATACCACCTTATAGCCTAGGTGAAGTAGGCTATACCATCTAGGTTTGTGCAAGTCACTCTATGATGTTCTCACAACAGTGAATTACAACAATGCGTTTCTCAGACTGTATCTCACCATTAAGTGACATATTACTGTATAAACTTGCTTCTCTCAAGAACATCACTTTCATTTAGGGGAAGTCAGATAAACACACCATCAAAGAATAAGGTTATTTTAATATATTTTGTGACTATATATTTGAAAAAATCCAGTATAATGTACTTGCTAAGCAAGTATGAATTTTAAAATAAATTAAATTTGCTTGAGATTGAAGAATCCACATGGTTTAGTTTTAGCCATTCTGACTGGGCTGAGATACTGAGTCCATGCTCTCTGTCTGCTGTATCCTGAGTAATTTGTGTCACCAGAGTAGTATTTCTTGTGCTACTGACCTTGAGAAACTTCTTATTTTGTGGTGAAAGAATATATGAAGCCTTTAGAGAGCAGTGACTCCGGTGTGTAAGCAAGTGTTAAATGGGATGGTGTAGATTTATAAAGACAAGACTGTGAGACTTGAAGTCATGAAGAGGCATGAAAACTGGAAAGTGTTTTCTTGGAGTGGTTGAACTAGGCCGCTGATACTAGTGTGATCCCCAGACCAGTAACATGAACATCACCTGGGAACTAGTTAGAAATGTCATGGGTCGGGTCTCACCCCAGACTTGCTAAATCAGAACCTCTGGTGGAGGAGCCTGGAAGTCTGTGTTTTGGCTAGCTCCCCAGGTAATTCTGATGCTTGCTAGTTTGGGAACTACTAGTAGCTCCAGGCACAGCTTAAATTCTAGTGTCTCAGGGAACCCTTTCCAAACCCCCAGAGGAGATCACATACTCTAACTACATGCACTTATTGTACATTGCCCTTTCCTTTTAGCACTTGTATAACTGATTTCAATAATTATGGTCTAATTAGTTGCTTACTATTTTTGCCCCATTTAGATTCAAAGCTCCGTTATAGCTGAATCTGTGTCTAATGCTTAGCAAGCGTTACGCACATACTAGATATGCGCTTATCTAGCAATAGATAAGGAGAATCTATCTATTCTCCTTATGGAGAATAAACATGGGAGAATAAATGTGGTGCTGTCATGGGCTGAGGAGCAACATGAGCAAAGGCAGGAAAGCAGAGCTCCTGTGATTGACTTTCTCCCAGAGCCCCGAGACGGGAGGAGCTGGCACAAACAATTCCAATTAGAAGCCAGTTTCACGGAAAGCAGAGGTTAGTGTAAAGCCGGTTGGCTAGCATGACAGTTCAATTCAAACAACAGTTTGGATACAATGAATATGCTTGTTACTCCTTTTTTTAAAAAAGTTTTTGGGTTTTTAAATTGTTGTTGTTCATTTTTGTACCAGTAATTTTGATGTGGTATGCTATGAGGTAGTTTTGCTACAGATTATAAATCTTGAAATTATTTTTCTTATTTTAAGAATGCAAGAAGATGGTTTAAAGGTTTTGTCTTTTAATTCCCATTTCATATATTAGCCTGTTGGTGTTCTACATTGATTGTAATAGGAAAAGTAGAAAGAGCATAAATATTCAAAATTAGGTATTTAATTGATAGCTTAAATAAAGTATGGTGAGTTGCAGAACTATATATAATTCTTTTCTGTGAGATAATAATCAACACATAAATGCTAATAAAATATGTGATTGTGGTTGTTTTGGATGTGGGATTTATAGGTACATTTACATTGTTCTTGTAAATACTGTTTTTTAATAGGAAAGAAATAGAAAAATATTTTAAGGGCATCTGGAAATTTTTTGTTGTTGAAGGTTTTGCCCCAACTTCTGTTTTTGTTCAAAGGATAATGAACATTTAGTCTACATTTATGAATGCTCCATTATTGATGATTTCCTTTTTTCCCCTCAATAATAAATTATCATTAGTCATTTAGATTGTCACATAAGAAGCTGATGGCTGAACTGGAATATAGAAAAGCACACAGCTCAGTTTTGGTCTCATTGGGTTTACAAATTAATTTATTTTCCTCAGTTTTACCAAATATCTAGTATGTGCGTAACGCTTGCTAAGCATTAGACACAGATTCAGCTATAATGGAGCTTTGAATCTAAATGGGGCAAAAATAGTAAGCAACCAATTAGACCATAAATATAACTGAAATCAGTTATACAAGTGCTAAAAGGAAAGGGCAACGTACAATGAGTGCATGTAGTTAGAGTATGTGATCTCCTCTGGGGGTTTGGAAAGGGTTCCCTGAGACACCAGAGTTTAAGCAGAGGCACAAAGAATGACTAGAGTTGATTAAATAGAAGGGAGAGGAAGGAAGTGATGGAAAGGCTCCCATGTAGAGGAGGAGGATGGAGAAGTGGTCAAGGATCTGTCATGCAAGGCCTTTTGGGACATGTATAAAGATTGAGGATTTCATGCTGCAAGCAATGTCAAGTTATTGAAAGGTTTGAAGGAGATTTGATAATATATATTTTGAATGAATTTTCATAGTATTGTTTGGTTTGAAAATATCAGTGAAGTTTCAGTCTCCCTGGTTGATTGATGCCTCTCCAAAACATCAGCACACTTATCTGATGGTTTGTCATGTCAGTATCAACTGATGACTTAAACATATCTTAATGCAGTGGCTCAAATTTTTAAAATTGAAGCAAAAACTTTTTATATCTATATTACGTTTGTGGAGCATCAAAGAATAAAGTTTTGCTGGAAACTATTTTTAAATTTTAACTTTTATTTTAGATTCGTGGGGGGGGTACATGTGCAGGTGTTTTACATGGGTCTGTTGCATGATGCTGAAGTTTGACAATTGATCCCATCACCCAGGTAGTGAGCATAGTACTCAGTAGGAAGTTAGCATAGTACTCAATAGGTAGTTTTTCTGTTCATGTCATTTGCCCACTTTTAATGTGGTTATTTGTTTTTCGCTTGTTGGTTTGTTTAAGTTCTTTATAGATTCTGGTTATTAGACCTTTTTTGGATGCATAGTTTGCAAATATTGTCTCCCACTTTCTTGGTGGTTGTTTCAGGGGTCTCTAGAGGGACAGAACTAATAGGGTGTGTGTGTACACACACACACACACACACACACACACATATATAAAGAGGATTTTACTTAAAGTATTAACTTACACAATCACAAGTTCCCACAGTAGGCTGTCTGCAAGCTGAGGAGAAAGAAGAGCCAGTCTGAGTCCCAAAACTGAAGAACCTGGAGTCCCATGTTCCAGGGCAGGAAGCATCCAGCATGGGAGAAAGATGTAGGCTGGGAGGCTAGGCCAGTCTCACCTTTTCACGTTTTTCTGCCTGTATTATATTTGCTGGAAGCTGATTAGATGGTGCCCACCAGCTTAAGGGTGGGTCTGCCTTCCCCAGCCTACTAACTCAAATGTTAATCTCCTTTGGCAGCACCCTCACAGACACACCCAGGATTAATACTCTGCATCCTCCAATCCAATCAAGTTGACACTCAGTATAAACCATCACAAGTCCACCCCTTGTCAACTTGAACCCATACACGTCTCCTGCGATCATAGGCAATGTTCAAATAAAGACAATAATAAAGTCATAATTACGCCTAACATAATACAGCTATCCTTCGTACAACAGGAGATGCACCAATCTCCAACCCAAATACTATTCCATAAAGTGAACAATACTTCAATGCCGATATGAAGTCAGTAAATCTTACGTAACATGATAAAAGAAAAGGAAATAAAGATATTAGTACAAGTGTATACACGCACAATCATGTTTTTAACAAAAGGAGGAGGAAATATTCATGACAGTTGCAGTCCTCATTTCTGCCACTGGTCATGTGGTCGTAGCTGGTATGATGACTACCTTCTTCTACTACCCATTCTGTATTTCCTTGGCCTTCAGCAAGCACCTCAGCAGGTCATGGTTTTTTCCCTGGTGGAGTGACCCAAACCTTCATTCCTGAGGGGTCTGGACCATTTGTAGTCCTGCCTGGATTGGGCTATTGTAGTTTCTCATTGACTTTAATCACAGGGCTTATAGTTTCCCATAGACTTTAATCACAGGGCATGGTAATACTAAGAGATGCCCTAACGGATCTCCTGTAATCCATGCATACTCTTCCTTACCTTCGTTGTGGAGTAATAGACTGATTTCATCTTGATAGTCTGGGTCAGTCACCCCAGTCAACACTGTAACTCCATTCTTAGCTTGTTGACTTAAAGGTAGGAGGAGCCCAGAGTGTCCCTGTGGCAATCTTCCAGTTTAATGGAATCGTTGTTGTGAGTCCTGGTGGCAGTGTTTCTTCCTCTGGAAATAAGACCTCTAGGAGAGCAGAATGTAATGTCTCAGGAACAGGAAGCAAAAATTTTGCTAATGGATCACTAGGGGTGATGGTGAGTGGTGCCACTTCCACTTCCACCCCTTGATTCCTGGATCCATTAATCCTGAATATGGGAGAAACAGTACCATATACTGGACACTTATTCAGAGCATACACAGCCTTCTGGAGAACTTTGCCCCAGCCCTGCAAAATATTGTCACCTAGTTGGTGTTGTAATTGTGACTTCAAAAGGCCATTCCACTGTTCTATCAATCCAGCTGCTTCAGAATGATGGGGAACATGGTAAGACCAGTGAATTCCATGAACATCAGCCCACTGCTGCACTACTTTAGCCATAAAGTGAGTGCCTGGGTCAGAGGCACTGCTGTGTGGATTACCATGATGGTGGATAAAGCATTCTGTGAATCCACGGACAGTAGTCTTGGCAGAAGCATTGCATGCAGGATAGGCAAACCTATATCCAGAGTAAGTGTCTATTCCATTGAGAACAAACCTCTGCCCTTTCCATGATGGAAGAGGCCCAATATAATCAACTGCCACCAGGTAGCTAGCTGATCACCCTGAGAAATGGTGCCATATCGAGGGCTTAGTGTTGGTGTCTGCTGCTGGCAAATTGGACACTCAGTCCAGTGTTGCTGAGCCCATGCGTAACCTCCATCCCTGCCACCATGGCCACTTTGTTCATTGGCCCATAGGGCGATGACAGGGGTGGCTGGGGAAAGAGGCTGAGTGGTGTCCACAGAATGGTTCATCCTATCCACTTGATTACTAAACTCCTCCTCTGCTGAGGTCACCCATTGGTGAGCACTCACGTGGCATACAAATATCTTCACAGTTTTTGACCACTCAGAGAGATCCATCCACATACCTCTTCCCCAAATTGCTTTGTCACCAATTTTCCAATCATGCTTCTTCCAAGTCCCTGACCATCCACCCAAACCGTTGGTTACAGTCCATGAATCCGTATATAATCACACATCTGGCCATTTCTCCTTCCATTCAAAGTGCACAACCAGGTGCACTGCTCAAAGTTTTGCCCACTGGGAAGATTACCCTTCACCGCCGTCCTCTAGGGATATCCCAGAAAAGGGCTGTAGTGCCTCAGCTATCCACTTTTGGGTGGTGCCTGCATATCGTGCAGAACCATCTGTGAACCAGGTCCTAGCCTTCTCTTCTTCTGTCAACTGATCATAGGGAACTCCCCATGAGGCCATCGGTACAGACTGACAGACTGAGGAAGAGAAGGCAGATGGCAGGAGTGGAGATCATGGACATTTTAGCCACTTCCTCATGTAACTTACTTGTGCCTTCAGGACCTGCTGGAGCCTGATCATGTATATACCACTTCCATTTGATGATAGAATGCTGCTGTGCATGACCCACTTTATGGCTAGATGGGTCAGAAAACACCCAGTTCATGATGGGCAGTTCAGGTCGCATGATGACTTGATGACCCATAGTCAAAACATTCAGTTTCCACCAAAGCCCAGTACCAGGCCAATAGCTGTCTCTCAAAAGGAGAGTAGTTATCTGGTGGAGATGGCAGGGCCTTGCTCCAAAATCCTAGAGGCCTCCGCTGTGGTTCACCTATGGGGACCTGCCAAAGGCTCCAAACAGCATCCCTGTCTACTACTGACACCTCAAGCACCATTGGATCTGCTGGGTCATATAGTCCAAGTGGCAGAGCAGCTTGCATGTTAGCCTGGACCTGTTGCAGAGCCTTTTCCTGTTCTGGACTCCACTCAGAACTGGCAGCCTTTTGGGTCACTCAATAAATGGGCTGGAGTAACACAACCAAATGAGAAATGTGTGGCCTCCAAAATCCAAATAGGCTCAGTAGGCATTGTGCCTCCTTCTTGGTTGTAGGAGGGGCCAAATGCAGCAACTTATTCTTCACCTTAGAGGGAATATCTTGATAGGCCCCAGACCACTGGACCCCTAGAAATTTTACTGAGGTTAGGAGATCCCTGAATTTTAGTCGGATTTATTTCCCATCCTCTGGCACACAAATGTCTTACCAATAAGTCTAGTGGGTTTGCTACTTCTTGCTCACTGGATGTAATCAGCATAATGTCATCAGTGTAGTGGACCAGTGTGATACCTTGCAGAAGCAAGAAGTGATCAAGGTCTCTCCGAATAAGATTGTGACACAAAGCCGGAGAGGTGATATACTCCTGAGGTAACACAGTAAAGGTATATTGCTGGCTTTGCCAGCTGAAGTCAGATTGCTTCTGCTGGGCCTTATGGACAGGAATGGAGAAAAAGGCATTTGCTAAGTCAGTGGCTGCATACCAGGTACCAGGAGATGTGTTAATTTGCTCAAGCAGTGAAACCACATCTGGTACAGCAGCTGCAATTGGACTCACCACTTGGTTAAGCTTACGATAATCCACTGTCATTCTCCAAGATCCGTCTGACTTCTGCAAAGGCCAAATGGGAGAGTTGAACGGGGATGTGGTGGGAATCACCACCCCTCGTCTTTCAAGTCCTTGATGGTGGCACTAATCTCTGCAGTCCCTCCAGAGATGTGATATTATTTTTGATTTACTATTTTTCTAGCTAGAAGCAGCTCTAATGGCTTCCATTGGACCTTTCTCACCATAATAGCCCTCACCCTCCCAGTCAAGGAGCCAATGTGGGGGTTCTGCCAGCTGCTAAGTACATCTATGCCAATTGTGCATTCTGACACTGGGGAAATGACCACAGGATGAGTCCAGGGACCCACTAGACCCAATGTAAGTTAGACCTGAGCTGAAGCTCCATTAATTACCTGACCTCCATAAGCCCCTACTTTAACTGGAGAACCACAATGATGTTTGAGTCCCCTGGAATCAACATCAGCTCAGAGCCAGTGTCCACTAGTACCCAAAAGGTCTGATCATTTCCTTTCCCCAGTACACAGTTACCTTGGTAAAAGGCCGGAGGTCTCCTTGGGGAAGGATGAGAGAAAGATTCACCGCATAAACTGTTGGTAATATAGTGGGGTCCTTCTTCAAGGGGACCCGTCCTCCCCTTCATTCAAGGGGTTCTGGGTCTGTAAACTGGCTAAAGTCTGGAAATTAATTGAGGGGCCATAATTGTCTGTTTTTATAATTTAAATTACTCTTTTGTCCATTTGACCTAGAAGTTTTCTCCTTAGAAAAATTAAGTAGGAATACAGTAGACTTCCTATCAGTTTCACTTCTAGGAACACCATGATTAGTTAGCCAATGCCAGAGCTCTACACGAGTAAGAATATTCTGATTGCTGTTTTGTCTCTGCTGTCCATTATAGTATCTACACCCACTTTGCCTTTGACCGTTGAGTACCACCACTTGGCCCCTGCCACCTTGGGATCCAGTTATTTCCATTGTATTTAAATTTGGTATTTGAGTGACTGTGGTTCCCGCTGTTAGATTTGATGTACAGAGAAGAGCAATTACAAGGCTCTTCAAAGATGCAGGTGCTGCCCTCACAAATCTATTTCGCAAAGAATTGGTCAAGGGTATATCTTCGGGACCCTCTAAGGCTGGGATGAGTAGGTCTAAAGTGTCTAATCCACTCCACCATCCTAATTTCCCTAAGCCTTTGGATCCCTTCCTCTACGTTAACCCAAGGGAGATCAGGCATTTCCATCTTCCTCATAGTAGGCCATTTTTAATGCATATTTCAACTAACCAAACATATAAACTGTTAGGACCTTTTTTAACTCCCCGAGCTGCAACATTAAAAATAGACTCCCTACTTAGTGGGCCCAAATCAGTAAATTCAGCCTGATCCAATTTTATGTTTCTTCCACCATTATCCCATACCCTTAATATCCATTCCCATGCCTGTTCTCCAGATTTATGTTTATATAAATTAGATAACTCAAACAGTTCAAGTGTAGTGCACCTCCTCATGGGTCACACTCTCAACTTTACCTCTAGGGGCTCGCCGGGACTTCAGACTATTATAGGTCTAGAAGCAAAGGAGTATTGGGGGTGGCTCCTGAGGAGAATCAACATCATTTTCCCTGGCAGCTGCCTCGGGAGGCCATCACTGTTGCCTCAAGCAGTGCAGGGTTTATCTCCTGAGACAAAGGTGGAAAGGCTGATGGCAGCATGGGTCAGGGAGGGGATGTTGCCACCACTGGGGATGGGGAAGCTGTTTCTTCTGGCAAAAAAGGTTCCTCAGAGTTTACAAACTTGGTGTCCCCAGCTTCATCAGGGTCCTCCTCTATGTCCCCATTCCAAGTATCAGGGTCCCATTCTTTTCCAATCAATGCCCTCACTTTAACAGCAGACACCTGGCGAGGCTGTGCATGCATCTTTCATTGCAGGTTAGCCACTTGCATGATAAGAGCTTGTGTCTGTTTTTCCACAATTTCAGCTCTTCCTCTGCAGGAGATAAGACTGACTCAGGGCAATCTTAGCAGATTTGAGGCTTTGTATCTGCTTCTGAAGCCAGGAGACAGAATCCCTGGGTTCATCATTTTTTTCATCACTTTGTTCAATGAACTTAGGAGCAACCAACCAACTTCATTATGTTCCTTGGTTCTCCACATATGGTCAAAGGTATTATGTATAGAGTCACTAAACTCCTTGCCTCTTACAAGCGGTGAATCAGGAGTGTCAAATGTATTTATTTTGCATAACTTTCTAAACAGTTTATGCCAAGGACTATTGGTGTTCTCCATATTGTTAGAAGTAGAATCCTTAGCGTTTTGGGGTCTAATCATATTAAGCAGCCAACTCCAGGAACCCCAAAACCAACGAAAGAACTTCATTTTTAATATTCTGTTCCTCTGGAACCACTCCTGGTACAGAAATCTGTATTAGTCAGGGTTCTCTAGAGGGACAAAACTAATAGGAGATATATATCCATAGTGAGGAGTTTATTAAGTATTAATTCACACGATCACAAGGTCCAACAATAGGCCCTCTGCCGGCTGAGGAGCAAGGAGAGTCAGTCTGAGTCCCAAAACTGAATAACTGGGAGTCTGATGTTGCAGGGCAGGAAGCATCCAGCATGGGAGAAAGATGTAGGCTGGAAAGCTAGGCCAGTCTCACCTTTTCATGTCTTTCTGCCTGCTTTATATTCGCTGGAAGCTGATTAGATGGTGCCCACCTTATTAAGAGTGGGCCCGTCTTCCCCAGCCCACTGACTCAAATGGTAATCTCCTTTGACAACACCCTCACAGACACACCCAGGATTAATATTTTGTACCTTCAATCAAGTTGACACTTAGTATTAACCGTCACAATGGTCTGTTTGTTAATAGTTTATTTTTCAGTGCAGAGCTCTTTAGTTAGGTTTTTTGTCAATTTTTGTTTTTATTGCAATTACTTTTGAAAACTGAGTCATAAATTATTTGCCAAGTCTGATGTTCACAAGGGTATTTCCTAGGGTTCTTATAAGATTTTTATAGTTTTAGGTCCTATATTTAAGTCTTTAATCTCTCTTGGGTTAATTTTTAAAATTTGGTGATAGGTTGGGGTCTAGGTTCTTTCTTCTGCATATAGCTAGCCAGTTAATACAGCCTCATTTATTGAATAGGGAGTCCTTTCTCCATTGCTTACTTTTGTCAACTTTGTTGAAGATCAGATTACTATAGGTTTGTGGCTTTATTTAAGGGTTCTCTATTCTATTCATTGCTCTATGTGTCTGTTTTTGTACCAGTACTGTGCTGTTTGGGTTACTGTAGCCTTGTTGCATAGTTTGAAATTGGATAGTGTGATGCCTCCAGCCATGTTCTTTTTGCTTAGGATTGTTTTGGCAATTTGGGCTTTTATGTGGTTCCATATGAATTTTAGAATAGTTTTTTCTAATTCTGTGAAAAATGACGTTGATAGTTTGATGGGAATGGCACTGAATCTGTAGATTACTTTGGGTGATAAGGCCATTTTAATTATATTGTTTCTTTCAATTCATAAGCATAGAATTTTCAGTTTCTCTGTGTTATGTAATCATTTCTTTCAGTGTTTCATAGTTCTCTTTGTAGCTATCTTTCACTTCCTTAGTTAGATGCATTCCTAGGTATTTTTTTTTATTTTTGTGGCTATTGTAAATGGGATTGCATTCTTGATTTGGCGCTTGGTTTGAATACTGTTGGTATATAGAAACACTATTGATTTTTGTACATTTATTTTGTATCTTGAAATTTTATTGATGCCATTTATCAGTTCTAGGAGCCTTTGGTAGATTGTTTAGGGTTTTCTACATACAGAATTATATCATCAGTGATGAGCGATAATTTGACTTCTTTTCCTATTTTGGTGTCTTTTATAATTCTTTCTCTTGCCCAGTTGCTCTGGTTACATCATCCAGTACTATGCTAAATAAGAGTGATAAGAGTGGACATTCTTGTCTTGTTTCAGTTATTAAACTAGAAGCAAAAGCTTCTAGCTTTTGCCTGCTAGTATGATGTTGGCTGTGGATTTGTTATAGATGGCTCTTAACTACTTTGAGGTATGTTCTCCCAGTGCCTAGTTTGTTGAGGGCTTTTATGATGAGGGGATGTTGGATTTTATTGAAACTTTTCTGTATGTTTATTGAGATGAACATTTAAAAAGACCTTTTTTTATGTGGTCTTTTATGTGGATTTATCCCAAGAATAAAGCCTACTTGATTGTGGCGAATTAACTTTGTGATATAATGCTGGATTTGGGTTGCTAGTATTTTGTTGAGGATTTTTCCATCTATGTTCATCAGGGATATTAGACTATAGTTTTCTTTTTGCATTGTGTCTTTGCCAGATTTTGCTATCAGGGAGATGTAGTCTTTGTAGAATGAGTTACAGAGCAGTCCCTCCTCCTTGAATTTTTTTTGGAGTTGTTTCACTAGGATTGGTACCAGCTCTTATTTGTACATCTGTTAGAGTTTGGCTTTGTATTCACATACACAGGACCTTTTCTGTGGTTGGTAGGCTTTTTGTTATTACTGATTCAGTGTGGAACTCATTGTTGGTCTGTTCATGGCCAAATGTGGAAGCAGCAAAAGTGTCCATGAACAGAAGAATGGATAAACAAAATGGGATCTAGTCATAGAATAAAATATTATTCAGCCTTACAAAAGAAGAAAGTTCTGACACATGCTACAACGTGGTTGAACCTTGAGGAAATTATGCTCAGTGAAATAAGCTAGTTACAAATGGACAAATATTATATGATCCCACTTATATGAGTAGTCAAATTTATAGTGCCAGAAAGCACCAGGTGTAGCTACCTTCGTGAATCATCTTTGCTAGATCATCTGGATAACTTCCTGCAGCTTCTATATCAGCTCTTCCTGCTTCACATTGAGCTTTTATGTTGTGGAGATGGCGTCTTTCCTTAAACTTCATGAACTAACCTCTACTAGCTTCAGACTTTTCTTTTGCAGCTTCCTCATGACCTCTCTCAGCCTTCATAGAATTGAAGAGAATTAGAGCCTTGTTCTGGATAGGCTTTGACGTGAGGGACCATTGTGGCTGATTTAATCTTCTGTCTTAGATCACTAAAGCTTTCTCCTATCAGCAATAAAGCTGTTTCTCTTTTGTATCACTCATGTGTTCACTGGAGTAGAACTTATAATTTCCTTGAAGAGCTTTTGCTTTGCATTAACAACGTGGCTAACTAGTGCAAGAGGCCTAGCTTCAGTCCTGTCCCAGCTTTTGACGTGCCTTCCTCACTAAGCTTAATTATTCCTTGCTTTTGATTTAAAGTTAGAGGTATGTGACTCTTCCTTTTGCTTGAACAAAAGGAAGGCCATTGAGGCCATTGTAGGGTTGTTAGTTGGTCTAATTTAAATTCTGTTGTGTCTCAGGGAATAAGGAGGCTCAAGGAGAGAGATCGGGGAACAGCCAGTTGGTGGAGGAGTCAAAACACACACAATGTTTATCAATTAAGTTCACCATCTCATGGTTTGTAGCTCTCCAAACAATGACAGTAATATCATCAAAGATCACTGATTACAGATCACTATAACAGATATAATGATGAAAAAGTATTTTGAATATCGTGAAAATTTGACACACAGACACCAAGTGAGCACATGCTGTTGGAAAAATGGTGCTGATAGACTTGCTTGCTGCTGGGGTGCCACAAACCTTCAATTTCTAAAAAAAAACCATAGTATCTGTGAAGCACAGTAAAGCAAAGCACAATGAAATGCAGTATGCCTGTCCTAGGGCTCTTCCCAGAGCCTGAAGGGGGCTTCTACAGTGGGAGGTTTTAGAGAAAGCTTCCTTTTCTCACTGGTCTGTTTCTGGGGATGTAATTGTCCAGTCCACCCAATACACTGATGGCTCTTAGAGTACAAAGGGTGTGTCATATTCCAATCTTGTTTCTTAATTCCTGGCCAACTAGTAACTCAGTTAATGTTGAATATATGAATTCAGTAATTGACCGACAGACTCATTTTAAGTGATTAAAGGGCCATTGAGGACTTCAAAAGAAACATTTATCTTGTTTCACTATTTGGCCTATAAGTAGCTCTGGGCCTGGAAGTTAGGAAATTCTTAGTGCTTGATCTGAAAAATCTGTGGGCTCTACTCTCCTAGATGCTCTGTCAAATCACTAGGTGCCCAGGGTAGTAGCTGTCCTCATGCCCATCCCTCTCCTTCATCATACTCCCCTTGGAATTTGTTCAAACTGTCAAGCACGAAGTAGTTCCAAGTCTCCTCCTCAGATGTTATACATATTACTAATGTCAAGAGCGTTCTCTATGGTTTATAAAATGATTTATTTGGTAGGATTGAGATTATTTTTAAAAGTAGAGGTGGTACATGAAATTTCTTATGTTACATCTTGGAACTTAAAACAATTTTCAGATCACATTTGGGCTGTTTATTAGGAATTTTATGATAGAACGTGCTTCAAACTATTCTTCCTTTCCCATGAGAAACAAAAGGAACTCTATATAAGTCAAGAAGTACTTAATTACTTTCTAGAAGGAACTTGATGGTGTTATCACTTAGCATTGATACTGGTTCTGGGGATATCGTGATTGTCACTTCAAACAGAATTTTAAAACTTGAAAAGGCAGCTTGGTGCTCCTATGTTTTAGGTCTGGATTCAAGAGAAATAAAAGCAAAGTGAAGGCCACTGAGTTCCTTTCCACTTACTTGATTTTCTGAAGTAAACTTTCAAAACTGTAGAGCCTCAATACAAAAAGGAGGTGAGCATTTTGAAAAAGATAACTGTCAGATAGGACTTAGGCATTTCTTCCCTACCCTGTTCATCACCAGCCAGTGGTGAGAATATTAAAAAGAAAACCAGAAAAAATCGAGCCACATAATTTTCTACACTTCAACTTAAAAATATATAAATATGTATATTAAACAACAGTCACACGTGTTATCATAGGCACCTCAGGAGTTTTCAGAAATCACTTTCATAGCTTGAAAGAAAGCTAGGGGGTGAGTTTGTTCTGTTTTCTTCATATATCTGGGAATACTTTTAGCATGAAGCCAAACACGTGTTCTATGAAGCAAGGCAAGGCAAATAGTTAAACGAATTGAGCAGCAGGGAGTATTTTGCTACTAGCCACAGGTTGAAGTAGATGACAGTACACAGGAGGACTTCAATCTTTCCTCTGCTCAGCCTTCTCATTTTTCTTCTGATGTGGTTTTTTTTTTTTCCTCTCCTCATCTCAGTCTCCATGAGATTTCTCAATTATTACCCTGGATGAGATAGACATTTTGGTATTTGTTCGTTTGTTTAAACAAAGTGATGCCATTGGTTTTAGAAGTTGTGATTTCTGTAACTCCTAAGATTCTAACTCTTTTAGATTTTTGTTTAATGATATCTCAATTTATTCAAAACCCATAGACCATGGGTCTGTTTATTCTTCCTCTTGGGGGTAGTCGGTCAGCCGTATATCGTAAGTTTGAACTGAATACCTTCATTGAAGTTGAGGATCCAGTTTCTTCTATCAAATGCAAAAATACTTGTTCCCTATTCTAGCTTATTCTTAAATGCCACTGATGTCAATGTGAAAATGTTCTTTTTATAAATCCAACTAAAATGATAGTTCCATGACAGATTACAGAAATGTACTAACATTGTCTCACCCTCATCTTTCTTTTTATTCAAAACCCTTTCCATTCCAGTAAGTACAGTAGTTTCCCTGTATGCACTGATATGCATTTCATGAACCCCAGTGGATGCCTGAAACCACTGATAATACCAAACCCTGTTGCCATCAATTGGAACTGGTTTCTGTACATGACTGCCACCCTTACATGTTAATGCCTTTCTCATCTTAGAGAAGCACTTATCTTGTGCTGCGGCTGTAACTTGTGTAGTTTGAGGTCGGATGGCAAACCAGCACAGATTTATTTTTCCTTCTTCACGGTTTCATGGACAGAAAATTTGTTCTTACTGCTGATCTTAGCAACCTCAGCAGACAATTGTTTTTTCTTTCCTTATCAAGTTGAGAACTTTCACCATTTCACTTAAAGGAAGTGCTTTACGGCCTCTTGGTGTATCTGAATTGCCAGCATCACTACTGTTGTGCGTTACTGTCATTATTAAGTAAAGTGAGGGCGACTTGAACACAAACACTGGGATACCAGGACGGTTGATCCCGTAAGCCAGACAGCTACTGACTAAAGGGTCAGGAGCATCTGCAGCGTGGAGACTCTGGACAAAGGGAAAATTCATGTCGTGGGCAGAATGGAGCTGGCCAGTGTGAGATTTCATCATAACTACTCGGAATGGTGGAGAATTTAAAATTATGAATTATTTATTTCTGGAATTTTCCATTTAATATTGTGGTTGACTGTGGGTAACTGCAATTGCAGAAAGTAAAACTGCAGATGAAGGGTTCTACTGTAAAGATTACTCTTCATTTGACCCTACCTACTCATGTTTGGTCATTTTAATTTGTGCCCTCTATTTAATGTCCTTAATTAATTTGTTCTGCTCTCATAATTTATGGATTTGAACGAAGCTGTGATTTTTAGAAGTCAGTGTTTTCTAGCAACATCAGAGTGTTTAGCAAAATATTTTGTTCAGGCTTTGGAATCAGACAACTTTAAAATTGAATTTGGGATCTGCCACTTAATATTTAGCTGAATAACCTCATTTAATTACTTAACCTTAACTTCCTTGAGTTTGCTTCTCATACCTAAAATGGGAATAAAACCAACTTCATAGGAATGATGTAAGGATTAGCACCGGACACATGGAATCACTCACAAAATGATAGCTGTATATATTAAAAACTCAACCTGAATATATTAAAAATAATTGACTTTGTATTTTTCTCGTGTATAGTTCTATGAATTTTAACACATATGTAGATTCCCGTAACCACCACTGACCTCAGCATGAAGAATGGCACTTTTTTGTGCCGTCCTTTATAATCCTGCCCTCCATTCACCCCGTCCTTGGCAATGACTTCTGTGTTAGTGATCACTATAGTTCTGTGTTTTCCCAAATGTCGTGTGAATGACATCATGCAGTGTCGAGCCTTTTTGAGATTCATCCGAGTTGCTGTCTGTACCAATTGTGTGTTCCTTGTTATTGCTGAGTAGTATTTTGTTGTATGGATGTACCACAATTTATCGGATTACTTTCTAAAGCCTATTTGGATTATTTCCAATTTGGGGGAAATTATGGATAATATTAATGCTATTTTAAATAATACTTTAGAATGAGAGATTTCTCTTCATGGGAAATACTGGGTCCTAATTGCTTTAACTGGTGTTTGTGTTGAACTATCTTGTCTTATGTTTTTGTCTCTGATGAAATTTGAATGATAAACTAAATCTTATTTTTGATAGAGACTGTGAGTCTTTTGAGTCTATTTAAGACTTGTAAGATGTATTTGTGAAAAATGTCATCTATTTCATATTTATTTTACTAGTTTCAATTTCATAGACATGTAGTTTATTTACTAGTTTTCTAATTAAATTAAAAGGAAGAATCAGTTGGTGGCATAACTTGCCAGGCATTCACTAAGTTTCTAATATCTTATGTAATGTTGGACACAAGAGGTGTGTATTAAATACCCATTTAATGAATCAAGATAGAATGATTGAATAATTCAGAAGCACTGTAATGTGTTTAATGAGATTTTTTTTGATTCATGGTAATGTGATGAATATAAGGTTGTACTTTTTAGCACATTATGTTAAAAATATAGTTCTTTATAGTAATTGGAAGCTGTATTCTTTAGAGTAATTATATATTGCTTATCACAGTGAATCATTTTTAGTATTCAAGGATACATTGTCTAAAAGTAGGTTTTATTTTACTCTAATGTGGCCCTGTTGCCGTTTGTAAGAACATGGTTAAAGGGAGTAATTATGTATGTAATTTAAAGTAAAACATGATATTTATGATTATTTGTTAAAAATTTTTCCCTAGTGATTTTGTTTGGATAAATAATGAGGAAAAACAAGTGACCTATTCATAAGCCCCAGAAGCTTTCACGTTAACCTCACTCTTTTATCCATTTATGAAAATTACTTTTTAGAAATATGAAGGCTGCTTATAATTTGTCCTCGTATGCTTAACATGTGAGAGGGTGTCAGATCATTAAGGGCTTTTGTTCTGTTAGGCAAATACCGCTATCAAATAAGGTTTTATGTACAATGGTAGTAGAAAGTTCTATGATGTAGGTCCATAAAAACAGGGGCAGGAGAGCCTCTTTTTGATGTGCGCGTATCTTTGAGAATACTATGACTCATATATTAAGAATACTATGACTCATAAATTAAGGAGGGGATTTAGGGAGGAAGCATGTACATAATCTTTTAAGATGTGTTTTGAAGGAGAGGAGATAGGGAATGGCATATGGAAGGTGACATTTTTGTTATTTTTAACATGGGAGTATTAAGAGACTGTATGCTTATGGGAAGTGCTTCAATAGAGAGGGAAAAATTGTAGATGGAAGACGGAGAAGAGATTGCTGGAGCTATGGCCTTGACCAGGTGAGAGAACAAGATACAGCACTAAGTGAAGGGGCTGGCCTTAGATAGGAGGAAACTATTTGGAATATTATTTGAAAATGTTCTGTTGCCTAAGGCAGGATGAGATAAATTCTTAAAGCCAAGGAAATGATATTTTAGCAGATTTTTTATTTCTTATTTACAGTTTCACCGAGTTCCTTTGGAGTAGATTGCTCTCTTCCATAAATCAGAGAATCTTCTGATAGGTCAGTTTTATCTTGTTCAGTGTTTTAAAATATAAATAGAACAGCAGTGGGTTAAGAAAATAAATTTACTAAGCTCCCCCTTTTAAAGCCAATGATACAGTCTTAAATATAAGAAAATAGGCCGGGCGCGTTGGCTCACTCCTGTAATCCCAGCACTTTGGGAAGCCGAGGTGGGCGGATCATGAGGTCAGGAGTTTGAGAGCAGCCTGATCAACATGGTGAATCCCCGTCTCTACTAAAAATACAAAAATTAGCCAAGCATGATGGCGCATGCCTGTAGTCCCAGCAACTTGGGAGGCTGAGGCAGGAGAATCGTTTGAACCCTGGAGACGGAGGTTACAGTGAGCTGAGATTGTCCCACTGCACTCCACCCTGTGTGACAGAGTGAGACTCCATCTCAAAAAAAAAAAAAAAAAAGAACAAAAGCATATATATGTGTGTGTGTGTGTGTATACTATAAATTTTATTTTATGATAAAATGATTATAATATTAAACCAATAATTTTATATAAAAGTATACATTTTATGTTTTTATGTAAGTACAAGAAAATTTAGAATTTCATGTAATTATTTATTGGATGTTAATGACATTGCAGAGATTACAATAGGTATAATTAAATATAGCAAATAAAAGCACTATAGAAGTATTGAGAACATAGTTAACCTCTGAAGACTAACATATTTATATCCTAAACTGTGAACTTATGACCTTAAAAACATTTTAGAAACATTAGAATGCAAAGTACAAATGTCATGGGCTGTCAAAGCATTAAGTAGCTTCTGAAAAATATAGTGTTCACTCCTGAGAGAATATAAGTAAGACAGATAACATCTTAGTGTTATTCTGAAAATAGTTTTGATCCGCATGCCCTCTGAAAGGGTGTCTAGGAGCCCAGAGGTCAGTGAACTACACATTGAAAATTGCTGCTCTGTAGTAAAAATGAATAGTTTGGATAAAAGGATTTCTAGCTAAAGCTAAGAGGAGACAACAGGAAATCCTCTCCCCAAAAGGCAATTATGAAGTGGAAAATATGGACAAAAACAGCCATTTTAGTGCTCTGGACATCATTCAAAGGCAATACACAATCCAAGAATCATTCATACCTTAAAAACTGCTGACCTGCAGTAAAAACTGTGGGCATCATGGTGTTATGGCCTGGAGCTACTTCCGGTACCCCCTGACTCTAGTAGTTGGTCCAGAGGTTCTGACAGCTTCTCTTCTGCAGTTGCAGGGACTCACTCAACTTGGAGTCATAAGCAATAACCTCATCCCCCATCAATGGCATTTCGGGGGCCAGCACCTAGCGGAGGGCCGGCCAGGCTCTACTAGCCTGTGATTTCATTCAAGATTGGGGTAAACCTGTTTCTGGCTGAAGATATGCACATGTGCAGTGGAAACTGGAGAAGGTCCCCATCTCTTCACAGCTCCCAGTGGTCACTCCTTGGAAAGGGTCCTAGTGGAATGTAAAACCAAGCAGGTTTACACACTGATACAGGCTTATAGTAATTAAACATCTTCCCACAGCAAACACTGCCTTCCAGATCACTGTACTGGTGAATTTTATTAAATACTTAAAAAGAATAATGCCAATCCATCACAAACTGTTTCAGAAAATAGAGAAGGAAGAAAAGCATTTCAACTTCTTCTGTGAGTCTTGTATTAACCTCGTATCAAAGCCAACTAAGGTATCACAAGAAAAGCACCGATAAATGTTGTTCATGAACATAAATGCAATAATCCTTTTAAAAAATTAGCAAACCAATGTAATATGTAAAAAATACGATACAGTATGGACAAGTGGGATTTATATCAGAAATACAAAGTTGGTTTAATATTACTAAATCAGTTAATGTAATAGAACATACTAGTAAAAATTCAAAATAAAATTTCATGAGAAAAGTTCTCAGCAGAGTAGAAGGACAGTTGTTAACTTGAGCAATAAGGCAAAAGAGAAGGGGATCCAGATTTGATAGGAAGAACTAAAACTGTCTTATATTTTTTACAAATCACAACATCTTTTATGGAGAACATTCAAAACACTTCACAAAAAACTACAAAACTAATGAATAAATTAGCAAGGTCTCAGGCTACATGGTCAATGTACAAAAATAAGTAGTATTTCTACATAAAAATGAACAATCTGAAAGAAATTAAAATTCACAGTAATATCAAAAAATAAAATACTTAAGACATTTAGCAGAAGTGCAAAATTTGTAAACTGAAAACTATGAAACATTGCTGAAAGAAATTAAAGAAAATCGAAATGAATGAAGACAGATTTACTCTTTATGAATTGTCTGGATAACAATTCTCCCCAAATTGATCCATAATTTCAAAGAAGTCCTTATGAAAATCCCCGCAGGTCTTTTTATAGAAATTGATTAACTGATTTTAAAATGCATATGGAAATGCAAAGGACCTCTTAGAAGAATCATAATAATATTTTAAAATGAAGTTCAATATGAAGGATTTGCATTACATGATTCAAAAATTACTGTACAAACACTGTATGTTAGTTTATTTTGTACTGCTGCAGAGATAGGCATACAAATCGATGAAACAGAATTGAGAGTCCAGAAATAAATCTGTACACGGTCAACTCACTTTCAACAAAGATGCCAAAACAACTGATTTTTGGAAAGGATAGTTGGTAGGGGACAATTATATATTCATACATTATATAAACAATAACTATAAAGACTGTATACTTTTCTGTCATATCATAAGCTACATTAATTTAATATGAATCATATGCCTTACTGTAAGAGCTAAATTCTAAAATTTCTTAGAAAAAAGTATGGTCTTTGGTGGGGTAAAGTTCTTATATGTGCCACCAAAAGCACAGTCCAAAAAATTTTAAAAAAACAGTAAATTGTAGTTCACTAAGAACTTGTATCCAGAATATATAAAGGATTCTTAAACAAAATAATAAGACAACCCATTTTTTTAAAAGTCAACAGATCTGAGTATGAATGATCTCAAAGAGAATATATAAATGGCCAATAAAGGATGCTTAATCTCATTAGTTACTATGGAAATGCAATGAGATACTACTCTGTACTCATTAAAATAAGTATAAGAAAACAGACAATAACTGATGTTGGTGAGCATGTGGTGAAATGGTAATCATTATACATTACTTTTGGGAAAATAAAATGGTACACGTATTTCAGAAAACAGTTTGTCAGTTTCTTAAAAGGTTATACTTAACATACAACTGATCAGTTTTCCTCTTGAGAATCTGCTAAAGGGAGAGGAATACATGCCTGCATCAAGAAATGTGTATGAATCTTCATAGCAGCATTATTCAGTATAGCTCCAAACTGGAAACAATTCAAATGTCTCTCCACTGGTGAATAAATAAGTTTGATACATTCATGTAATGGAATACTATTTGCAACCCCTGTCAGACTAATAATGGATTTCTCAGCAGAAGACCAAGGTAACAGGCAAGGAGAGAGTAGAATGATATATTCAAAGTGCTGAATTTTTTTTTAAAACTTGTCAACCTAGGCTACTAGTATTTTATTACTATTAATAAATAATAATTTATTACTATAATTACTATTGTCAGCAAAATTATCTTTCACAAATGAAGGAGAAATAACATCTTTCAAAGACAAGCAAAAGCTGAGGGAATTCATCATTCCTAGGCCAGTCCTACAAGAAATGTTCAAGGAAGTCCTAAACTGGAAGCACAGATGACATTTACTATCGTAAAAACATATAAAAGTATAAAACTCACTGGTAAAGCAAACACAGAAATCAGAAAGAGAAAGGACTCAAATGGAACCCCTACAGAAAACCACCAAACCACAATGACAAACAATAAGAGAAAAGAAAGGAACAAAGAATATACAAACAACCAGAAAAAAACAATGTGACAATAACAACTTCCCATGCAATAATAACTTTGAATGTGAATAGATTAAAATCTCTACTGAAAAAGTTATAGACTGGCTGAATGGAAAACAAAACAAAACAAAATGATCCAACTATATGCTGCCTGTAAGAAATGCACTTCACCTGTAAAGACACACATAGAGTGAAACTAAAGTGATGGAAAAAGATATTCAATTCAAATAGAAACCAAAAGCTAGCAGGAGTAGCTATACTTACATCAGATAAAACAGACTTTAAGTAAAAAACCATAAAGAAATACAAATGAGATCATGTAGAATGATAAAGAGATCAATTCTTCAAGAGGATATAATAACTCTAAATATTTGTGCATGCAACACTGGAGCACCCAGATTCATAAAGCTAATATTACTAGATCTAAAGAGAGAGAGACACTCCAATACAATGAGAGTGGGGAATTTCAACATCCGCCTGTCAGAAGTCAGCATTAGATCCTCTAGGAAGAAAATCACCAAATAAACATTGTGTTTAAACTGGTGTTTGGATCAGCTGGACCTAAGGTTTACAGAGCATTTTATCTGATAATTGTGGAATACCCATTCTTCTCATCAGCACATGGAACAGTCTTCAGGATATACCACATGTTAGGCCACAAAACAATTCTCAAGATATTTTAAAAATTTTGAAATCAAGTATCTTCTCAGACTACAATAAAACTTGAAGTCAATAAAAGAAAGAAACTTTAGAAACTAGACAAATGCATGGAAATTAAACAAGATACTCCCAAATAACCATTGGGTCAATGAAGAAATTAATATGAAAATCAAAACATTTATTGAAACAAATGAAAACGGAAATACAACATACCAAAACCTGTCGTATACAGCAAAAGCAGTACTAACAGGGAAGAAAATAGCAACAAACACCTACATCAGAAAAGTAGGAGTTCAAATAAACAATCTAATGATACACTGCAAGGAACTAGAAAAGCAAGAATAAACTAAATCTAGAAGTAGTAGAACAAAAGAAATAAATATTACCACAGACCTAAGTGAAATACTAAAAAATTATAAGACTAAAAATAACTAAAAGGATCAATGAAACAAAATGTTGGGTTTTGGAAAAGTTAAAAAAAAATGATAAACCATTAGTTAGACTAAGAGAGAAGACCTAAAGAAACAAAATCATAAATGAAAATGGAGACATTACAACCAACTGATACCACAGAAATACAAAAGATCATCATAAACTGTTATGCACAACTATACACTAACAAACTGCAAAACCTAGAGGAAATGGATAAATTCCGGGCTGCATGCATTCTACCAAGATTGAATCAGGAAGAAATAGAAAACCTGAATAGACCAATAACTAGTAGCAAGATTGAATCAGAAATACAATGTCTCCCAATAAAGAAAAGCTCAGGACCCAGTAGATTCACTGTTGAATTCTGCCAAACATAGTGAACTAATACCAGTCCTCACACTATTCCAAGAAATTGAAGAGGAGGGAGTTCTCCCCAACTCATTCTACAAGGCCAGCATTACCCTCATACCTAAGCCAGACAAGGACACAGCAAAACAAGAAAACTACAGGCCAGTATATCTATCTCTGATAAACATAGATGCAAAAATCCTCAACAAAATACTAGCAAACTAAATTTGACAGCACATCAAAAAGGTAATACACTACAATCAAGTGGAATTTATACTAGGGATGCAAGGATGGTTTAAGATATGCAAACCAATATACATGATACATCAGTTGAATGAAGGACGAAAACCATATGATCATCTCATTTAATAAAATTCAGCAAACTAGGCCTAGAAGGAACATATTTCAAAATAATAAAAACCATATATGCCAGACCCACAGCTAACATCATACTGAATGTGGGAAAGCTGAAAGCATTTCATGTAAGACCTGGAACAAGACAAGGCTGCCCACTTTCAGCACTCCTATTCAACATACTACTGAATGTCTTAGCCAGAGAGCATCAAGCAAGGGAAGGAAATAAAAGGCATCCAAGTTGGAAAAGAGAAAGTCAGGTTGTCCCTCTTTGCAGATGACATGCTCTTTATATTTAGAAAAACCAAAAGACACCGTCAGAAAACTTGTAGAGCTAATAAGCAAATACAGTATAGTTGCAGGGTACAAAATCAAAAAGTCAGCAGTGTTTTATACACCAATAATGAAATAGCTGAAAAAGAAATCAAGAAGCCAATCCCATTTACAATAGCTATAAAAAATTAAATATAATACCTAAGAATAAATTTAACCAGGAGGTGAGAGATCTCTGTATAAGGAAAACTACAAAACACTGAAAGAAAGAAATTGAAAAGGATAGAGGATACAAACAAATGGAAAGATATTCCATGCTCATAGATCAAAATAATTAATAAAATGAGCATGTTGTCCAAAGCAATATACAGATTCAATGCAATCCTTATCAAAGTACCAATGTCATTTTTCACAAAAATAAAAAAAAAAAATCCTGAAATTTGTATGGAACCAAAAAATAGCCAAAGCAATCCCGAGCAAAAGGAACAACACCGGAGGCATCACACTCCCTGCCTTTATATTATATTGCAAGGCGATTGCAATCCAGACAGCATGGTATTGCTATAAAAATAGACAAATTATACAATGGAACAGAATAAAGAACTCAGAAATAATTTCACATGTTTATAGCCAACTGATTTTCGACACAGGTTCCAAGAACATACGTTGGGGAAAGGACAACCGTCTTCAATAAATGGTGCTGGGAAAATTGGATATCCATATGCAGAAGAATAAAGTAGCCAGAAGAAAGGACTTGAAATATTACAAACACATAGAAATGATAAGTACTCGTGTACCCTGACTCGATCATGACACATTCTGTGCGTGTAAAAAATACTTATATATACCTCATAAATATTGAAAATAATATATATCAATAAAAGACAACAATAAAAAATAAAGAGTGAAGTATGAATATACGCTTTGACATGGATGAACCTGAGTAAATTTGTGCTAAGTGGAAGAAACCAGATGTAATTGACTATATATTATGTGATTCTGTTTATATGAAATGCCCAGAAAAAAATCAATCTGTGAAGATGGGAAGCACATCGCTGATTGCTGAGCTCTCTGTAGGTGCAGGGGTCTGATTTAAATGGTTATGAGGAACTTTCTTTGATGAGGATGGAAGTGTTTTGAGACTGGACTATTATGATAGCTTCACAACTGTATAAACATACTAACACTGAATTTTGTATACTTACAGTTGGTGAACTTTATGGTATGTAAATGAATCCTCAGTAAAACTGTTGATGACAAAATGCAGTGAGGTATCACTGCATACCTCTTGCAGTGGCTAAAATTAAACCCAGTTACTATAGCAAGGGTTGTCAAGGATGTGGAGGCCCTGGACTTTTCAAACGTTGATTGAGGGAGTGTAAAATGCTCTCACCAGTGTGGAGAATAGCTTGGCAGTTTCTTAAAAGTTATGTAGACACTGAGCATATGAGCCCCATTCATTCCTCTCTAAGGTATTTACTGAAGATAAATGAAAGCCTGTGTTGTTGCAAAAAACTCATACAGGAATAAAACCGGAAATAACTCAGGTCCACCAAGAAGTGAATGGATAAACTGTGGTATATTCATGCAAAGGAATGCTACTCTTCAATAAAAAGAATAAATTATTGATACAGGCAACAGTGTGGATGAATCTCAAAACAGTTACACTGAGTGAAGGAGACCAGAGAGAAAAGAGGACTGTACTATGCTACTCTGTTTATACAACACTCTAGGCAATGCAATGTAATATACAGTGACAGAAAACAGATCAATGGTTGCTTGGGATGGCAGTTGGCAGGGATTATAATGGATCTGCGGAAACTTTTGGGGTGATTTGTGTGTTTTTTCAGTTGTGTCAGTGGTTTCACATGTGTATGTGAACTTTGCAACCTTTTAACTTTAAATATGTACGTGTCGTTTTGTCAAGTATACATTCATAAAATCGTTTTTGAAAATACAAGTAATGGCCTTTTAAAATACTACTTTTCAGTTTCAGAACAGTCTCTTTCTTCTGGGCTTTGGGTAGAAATATTCCTTGAAATATATCTACATAAGTTGAAATTCAAGTGGTTTGTTTTAATATATGTACTTTTGTTTTTTGAGGTGGTTTATTTGAAGTCTTAAGAAAACATTGTTTCATTTTAGATGACATTTTGTATGTAGCCTCAGAATTTCTTGATAAGACTTTAAAATATGTGTAGGATTTTCAAAGCCTTTTTGAGACTAAAACCGTAAAATATTTGTATCACCCTGAAAGCCCCCAAAACAATAGGGCCCATCAGTAGAACTCGATAATTCCCAAGAGGTGTGTAGTTAAGTGTTAGTTGGAAAATGAAGTGGAGAGGAAGAGAAAAAGGGGAGCTAAAAATCATTCAGCTGTGATTATGTGATTTTTGAGCCATTCAAGTTAGTAATAGGGATCTGGACAAATCTGGCGGGAGATAGGCTGAAACTTGGATGATTGTAGAACTTCTTGAAGAAACTTACTGGACTTGGGCTTGGTGTAGTTGGATACTGGGGTGTCTGTCTTCCAGGTAGATCATGATAGTAGGAGTCTCATGAAGAGTGCATATAAGGGGAAAAGGAACATTAATTTACAAGTACTGTGTTAGCTTATTTAATCCTCACGACAGAACTAAGGAGTAGGAAGTCAGGCAAGTTTGTCCTTTGGTTTCTAAAGCCCTTCCTCCTTGTACTGGGCTACTGTATAGTCAGTCTACTCCAAACGGAACTCTAGCTAGCCTTGATTGCAGGAACAAAGTGAGTAGGACCTCTTCCTCCTCAGAATAACTTCTACCCAAACTGAGAGCCTTGTAAGTGTTACTACCCAGCATGTCTGAGCCCTAACCAAACATGTTGAGATATAGGACAAAATTTCAACTCCAGCATGAAACACAAGTACAGGGTAGGGAAACAGAAATAAAAACCTAGTTGTAAGGCAGCAGGGTGGCAGGTAGTTTCAGCCAACCACACTCTTTCCAGGATCACCAAATGGTGCTTTTCAAAAACATAAATTCTAAACATCAATTACTAAAGGGGTGAAGACTGCTCAATACCTCCTGAGCTGATGATTACTGATTAGAAGAAAAACAGAGAGGCTGTGCTTCCGGGACAAAGACATCAGAGAATGCAATGCAAAGTAGGGCGAAGAGATAAGTCTTTGATTGTTATGGCAGTATTTCAAGTGTACTAGAATGAACCAGAGAAACCAATGTGTTATTTATAGCTGGTGCCAGTAAAAATACTCTACAAATAAAAAGCTGTGAATATGTTGAATCATTTTATAACTTTTTTGAATGACAGATAAGGCACCTGTCCTTACTTTAGCTTAAAATCCTTGAAACCAAGTGTCAAGGCAAAGCCTATGAGTGCCGGAAGTTTTAGTGAGATTGCGTACCTTCCAATCAAAGATATATTCTCAAGAACAATTTTTCTTTTCACCATATCAGACGTGGCACTGTTACTTGGAAATGTGTTGAACGTGCCCACAATTGCTTATTTAGCCAATATGACTGTTCATCTGTACTTATTTTCTATTATACGTGATGTAAAATCTCCTCTATAGAAAAGTAACCTCTATTGGGAACATTTTTCTTTTAGGAGAATATTCAACATTTTTAAAGTGGGGAGAATATTGAATATATACATGCCAAAATATTTATCACAACATTGCTTACAGAGATAGAATACTGAAATCAACCGTAATGCCTATCTAAAGGGAAATACTGAATAAATTGTGATATATTTATTGTATGAAATGTTATACGTGTATTCAAAAAATTGATTTGGAACTCTATGGTCTAGAAAGGAATGTCTGTGAAATTCTAAGTGACAAAATTAATCTGCAATATAACATTATAGTACAGTGCCATTTTAGTGGGGAAAAAAACCAACAAAAGTACTTATATAGTTATGTTGTTATGGGAATGGAAAAAAGCGGGAAAAGACATTTTCCCGACAGGAATACTGTCTGCCAGTGGTTACCATGAGTGGAGGCAGTGTAGAGTTAGAAAATAAAATTGAAAAATAAGACAAGTAATATTATTTTTTTCACTATATATTTGGTATTGTTTTATTGTTTATATTTTTATGCATGTTACTTTTAGAATATTTGAAGAATTTTATTTTTTTTCTTGGAATTCAGAATTTAAAATGTTTTGTGTACTGACCAGCTTTTGAATGCAACCAATCTGTAGCCTGATCATGGTGAAATCAGACTGGAGTTCATGTGATCCTTCTGAGATTATGTGTAAGATTTTTAAATGTGTGTTGTTTTCTCTGAGAGAAGCTCTATGGCTTTACCTCAAAAGAATTTAGGCCCCCAAAATAGTTTTGTGCAGTTTTTAGCTATAATAAGACAACAGACATATTTCAATGTACCGAGTTTTAATATGTTGGAGACCACCAACCGATTAACTTTGCACCATCAGTTCAACTCATTTTTATGCAGAACTCAGGCAAAGCTTATAGTGACCTAGCTGCATATTTATTTGAACTTTTTAAAAAAGTATCATATTAGTAATATTTTGGCTCTCATCATCATTTTATTTGAAAGTTGGATCAGTGTATGTTTAATCACAAAATGGTATACAGTGGTTGGCTTATTATGTTTGTATGTTTCTTGTTATAAGAAATGTGAGTAGTTATATATTTATTGATTTAACTTTTAAAGAAAACAATTTGTAAATATATTTGAGCCATTTTAAACTGGAGTCTTTTGAATTTGTAAGGCAATGTGTTTTTTATTATTTGTTGGCTTTATCATGAGATGTTTCATAATTTATAACATTTAAAGTAAATTTTTACTAATAAAACACTTGTATTTGGGTTTGGTTATAGGTAATAGAAAACAATGGAAGGTAGAAAGAAACATATTAGGTGACTTACAAAATCATTAGAAGGACTCGAGGGATCATCTCTAGGCAGAGCTACGAAGAGAAGCTTTTAGGCCCCAGAATTTCACATCATTGGCTGTGACTGCTGAAGTTGCTCCTTGTCTATAGGAAGCTCAGGCGACAGCAATCTGGTGGCTGTGGATTGATACTCCTCAGGAAAGTGGGAACCGCAGGCCCTGCCTTTCTTCTCACTTAACTCAGTTCTGAATTCAGTCTCACCTTAGTAATAGTACATGATAAGATGCTCGGAAATCTGAAAATGTAGTTTTTAGCTTTCCAGCCTAAGTGGAACAAAAGGGAGCTCCCAGAGGAGGCTGGAATTTATGTTAAGCCAATTATGATATCTGCCACCATATTTCTTTTAATCTATTTAATATATTAGGTTATTATTAGTAAGATTTTATGTTATGTTAATATATTAGGTTATTATTAGTAATATATTAGTAAGATTTTATGAATCTTACTTGGAAATAAAAACCAGTCTTACTGAGAAACATTTGAAAAATCAGCTGCAAAATTCAAATCACAGTGTTCAGTACCAAAAGCTTTAGATTTTCTGATAATAAATGAATGACTGTCTCTAAGCACATTGACTTGAAGCCCCAAGAAGCTGTTGGTGTGGCTACAGCTGTGCTGGAGAACCATCGTGAGTCTTAGAGACCTCAGCATATTGGGCCAGGATCATACTGGAGATGAAGAATATTCAATCATTTATCTAAGTTAATGATGCTGTCATTTATTTTTAAACAATTCTGGATATTTAATGCTATCACGGTTTAATTTTTTTATAGTTTTAATAAAAGACATCATAGTATTTTTTATAGTTTTAATAAAAAGATCATAATGCTGAGCTCTAATTTATTTCACTTTAACCACATGACCTTTTTTCTCTCTTTAGTGGTTATCTTCTCAAATTTTCCAAAATAATATTCTAAAAAAATTCTTCCTCCTTAGGCTACAACTGTTTTACCTATCTCTACTTGGTAGGATTCTAGAATTATTCCCTGTCATCAGTTTTATGGATTTTCACAGAGCCATAAGTCGCAGTGCTTTTGAATTATACAGCCTTTTCTGCAAATAAATGTTTAATTCACTTTTGTAATTGATTATAATTAACAGGTGCTAAAAAAAGAATTTTATGACAATAATTTTGGCTTTCTTTGTGGAAATACAGTAGCAAGATTGACTTGGATATGCAAAATAACATAATTTATTACGTAATCTTATTCTGCTTTTGGGTTATATTTCCCACTGTTAGTGGAAAACCATCTTATCCATAAAGATCTTTCAGTTACTTATTTTTTTTTGCATTAATTTCATTTCTTTTGGATACTTGGTCTTATAGATACTTAGTCTTAGGTAAATATCTAAAACTAGGATTTCAGAAAACGCCAAACTATTTTCCAGAGTTGGTTGATCTAAGAGTTCCTGTCTTTAATGGCTTCTTTCTAACTTTTCTTCATTCCAGTGAACAGGTGGATATATTGGGAAACTTAGGGAACATCATAGTAGTGAAGAAAAGGAGCCTTTGGCTTTTCAATGTTGATCCTCTGGGTTCTTATTGAATCTCGTGCCACGTTTCCAAGGCCTGTTATTTCTTGATGGGCAGAGACCTGTGGCTGTCCTTGCCCAACAGGCCTCTGCATGGACTCTTGTTGTTCCTGCTGGCCCCTTAAGTTTTGGTTAAAACTCCCTATTGCCAGAATAACTCCCATCATTCCCTGTGCAGATTGCTTTGGTTTGCTTGCCATCCAGCCCGCTGCATTCTTCCACGTGGATGTTGATACTGTGCAGAATGATTTGAAGCGGTTTTAAGGGAAAGGAATAATATGAGTCACGTTGAGAAGTTCTTAGTAAATGTGGAGGAATAACCTTGAAGTTGTTTGTGGCTGTGAAAAGAATGGAGGGGATGAGGGACACGTGAACATCTCCCCTGCTGCTGCCCTCAGCTGGTGTTGAAGCGTGGATCCAGGAGTACACCCTAGACAAGATGGGATCTTGAATGAAAACCCAAGCCAAGAATGGAAGAAAGAAATGGTGGGGCTTGCGTCACATCGAGTTCAAGCCTATGGAGAAGACACACTTTTCTTGTTTCTTTGTTTAATCAGCTTTATTGAGGTATAATTTACATACAATAAATCTGATCAAGTTTAACTATATAGTTTAATGAGTTTTCATGAATGTATATTATCCTGTAACTACCACCCCAATCAACGTTTCTGTCATCTCAGAAAGTCCCTATATACCTCTCTGCAGGTAATGTTCCCTCCTACACCCTCCACCCTCCTCTAGTTCCTGGCAACCTCTGATCTGCCTTTTGTCATTATAGTTCATAGAATTTCATGTAAAGACACTCATGTAGTGTGAAGTCATTTGCGTCTGCTTTCTCTCACCTAGCATGATGTTTGTAGGATTTGCATAGGTGGTTGTGTGGACCAGTACTTTGTTCATTTTCTTGACTCAGTAGTATCCCATTATTCAGATACACCACATGTTTAGCAGTGTACTATAAAATACCATTGCTTCACATTCTTTTAATTTTCTCCATTCTAATGGGTACTTGGTGATATCTCTTTTTATTATAATTTGGATTTTCCTAATGACTAAAAATGTTAAACGTTTTAATGAGTTTTTCATTTCTGCATCATCATTTGTGAAGAATCTATTCAAATCTTTTGCTGTTTTGTATATTTGAGTATTCATCCTCTTAGTATTGAGTTGTAAGAGAATTTTATGTGTTTTAGTTATAGGTCTTTTGCCAGATACGTATTTTGAAAATACTTTCTCCCAGTCTGTGGCTTTTATTTTCTTAACAGTGTCTCTTGAAGAGCCAAAGTATTTAAATTTGATAAAGTCTGTTCTATCAATTTTTTCTTTGATGATTTGTGTCTTTTATGTCTACTGTAGGAAATCATTGCCTAACTCAATATATTCTCCTGTTTTCTTATACACATTTTACAGTTTTCACCCTTATATGTGCATCTGTTTATTTCACATTAATCTTTATGTATTGTGTGAGGTAAGGGTTAATTTGTTTATGAATATCCATTTCTTCCAGCACCATTTGTTGAAAAAGATTATCCTTTCTTCATTGAATCACTTTGGTATCTTTGCCTAAATTCACATATATGCATATGTCTATTTCTAGATTCTGTTTTGGTTCGTTGATTTACATGTCTCTCATTATGTCAGTACCACACTGTTTTGATGAATGTAGCTGTGTAGGAAGTCTTGGAATGTAGCATAACTTCTACAACTTATTTATTTTCAAAAACTGACATTGCTCATCTGGGTCATTTGCATTACCATATATATTTTACAGATACCTTGTCAAGTTCGACAGAAGGCCGTTGAGATTTTGAATTGCCTGTATTTACTCTACAGATCAATTTGGGGAAAATTGGTAACAATTCTGATCCTTCAACAGGGTATCCTTAACTATTTATTTAGGATTTGAAGTTTTCTTACCTTGCATTTTGTGACGTTACTGAACTCACATATTCATTCTAGTAGTTTCTTGCAGATTCCTCAGGACTTTTTTTTTTTTTTTGAGACGGAGTCTCGCCCTTTCATCCAGGCTGGAGTGCAGTGGCGCGATCTCTGCTCACTGCAAGCTCCACCTCCTGGGTTCACGCCATTCTCCTGCCTCAGCCTCCCGAGTAGCCTCCTGAGTAGCTGGGACTACAGGCGCCCGCCACCACGCCTGGCTAATTTTTTGTATTTTTAGTAGAGACGGGGTTTCACCGTGTTAGCCAGGATGGTCTCGATCTCCTGACCTCGTGATCTGCCTGCCTGGGCCTCCCAAAGTGCTGGGATTACAGGCGTGAGCCACTGCGCCTGGCCTCCTCAGAACTTTTTACCTAGGTGTTCATGCCATGAAGGGGTGGCCTGCCCCTCCACACCTGTGGGTGTTTCTTGTCAGGTGGGATGAGAGACTGAGAAAAGAAAGAGACACAGGCACAAAGTATAGAGAAAGACAAATTGGCCCAGGGTACCGGCGCTCAGCATGTGGAGGACCCGAGCCGGCAATGGTCTCTGAGTTCCCTCATTATTTGTTGGTCATTATCTCTACCATCTCGGAGAGGGGGATGTGGCAGGACAATAGGGTAATAGTGGGGAGAGGGTCAGCAGGAAGACATGTGAACAAAGGTCTCTGTGTCATAAATAAGTTAAAGAAAAGGTGCTGTGCCTTGATGTGCACGTACACAAACATCCAAACATCTGGGTGCCGTAAAGAGCAGTATTGCCTTCAGCATGTCTCACCTTCAGCCCTAAGGCGGTTTTCTCCTATCTCAGTAAATAGAACATACAATCGGGTTTTACACCGAGACATTCTATTGCCCCTGGAGACATTCTATTGCCCAGGGTCCAGCAGGAGACAAATGCCTTCCTCTTATCTCAACTGCAAAGAGGCCTTCCTCTTTCATTTATCTTCCTCAGCACAGACCCTTTATGGGTGTTGGCTGGGGGATGGTCAGTTCTTTCCCTTCCCATGAGGCCATCATGTGGGGAGAAACCTTGGACAATACCTGGCTTTCCTAGGCAGAGGTCCCTGTGTATTGTGTCCCTGGGTACTTGAGGTTAGAGAATGGTGATGACTTTTAACAAGCATACTGCCTTCAAGCCCTTTTTTAACAAAGCACATCCTGCATAGCCCTAAATCCATTAAACCTTGAGTCAACACAGCACAGGTCTCTGCGAGCACAGGGTTGGGGCTAGGATTACAGATTAACAGCATCTCAAGGCAGAAGAATTTTTCTAGTACAGAACAAAATGGAGTCTCTTATGTCTACTTCTTTCTGCGTAGACACAGTAACAGTCTGATCTCTCTCTCTTTTCTGCACAATGCCATCTGTGAGTAGTCAGTTTTTTTTTCCTTTTCAATCTATATTGGATACAGAATAATATCTATTATATATAATGTAAACTATGTTATTAGTATGTATGTGTGTGTATGTATATACAGTTTTTAAAAGTTTACTGAAAAGGAGTGGTGAGAATATTGAATAATGTTGAATATAATTCGCATATTCAGCATTGTAGAATTACATATTGTTGAATAGGAGTGGGGCGATCAGATGCTCTTGCCTTGTTCTCCATCTTAGTAGGAAAGCATTTAATCTTCCACCATTAGGTGTGATGCTACCTGTAGACTTTTTACAGATTCTCTTTATCATGTTAAGGAAATCCCCTTAAATTTTAGTTTGCTGTGAGCTTTTATCCTGAATGAACATTGACTTTTTTTCCCTATGTGTTTAATCACTGGGATCACTGTCTTGCATTGCCTTGTGTTCAATGTCTAAAAACTTTCATTTCACATATTTTCTTCTGATTTTCTAAAGTTGTTTATTATTAGAAGGCAATTTCTGTAGCAGTTAATCATTCATGAGCAAAAATGGAACATTATTTTTAATACTATATATAGTTTTCTTTCAACATGTGGATAAAATTGACTTTTATAAAAGTATAAAGTTTTGTCACTTCAAGCTATAGACAAAGGGAAATGAATATTCATTGATCATTGCCATAAGCTGCTAATAGTTTTAAAATAGGTAAAAAGTCTTAATTCAGAATTGTCCATGAGCTATAATTTCCTAACTGATACAACAGAAATGCTGAAGAAGTAGGATGGTGTTAACAAGAGCCGCATTGCTGAACATTGTGGACTATTCATTTTTTTCCATTCCTAGTCTTTATTAGTTAGTATTTGTCTCAAGGGCTCTAAGCATTTGTCTGGCTTCTTATTTCTTTGAGTGGTATTGATAATAAATAAAACGTATGTCCAGTGTACATTTATGTATTTTGTAGTGAGGCTGCATTCCTTCTGGAGATGTAAGTGTACTTGAGGCAGGATCCTGCTTCACTGCCATGGAGTAAACAACCTCCTCCTCTGCTGCTGGTCCCCTGGTCCCCTGATCAGACTCTTCCCCGGCTACTGTTGGCCTGATCAGACTCTTCCCCCTGGCTTTTTTCCTCTGCCTGCCTTGTTAGATGGTCTGAAGGAGAAAGAGAACCACTCATTATTTTTACCTATCTGTGGACATTAAGAATGTTTTTTAATGAAAAGTACTCTGGTCTTGTAATTTTCAGTGTTCACAGAATCCAAGAAGAGACTTAATATTATAAATTTCCTCTATCTAGTGCACATTTGATCTAATGTCAGATAAGTGGAATGAATGTGAAACTACTACATGCAGACATAATAGAGCTGCTATTTTAATTTTTCCTTTGAACAGTTTTAGAAGAGAAGTTCTAAGATGTACCAATGAAGTTAGTAGTAATTAGAGCAATCATGTACTCTAATAATAACAAAAACATTTTCAAAAGTAAGGTGATAGATTTGCAGACAGCTAGGAACTTTTACAGCACATGACCCAGATTCTTCAAAATGAGACAATTTAAGTCAGCAACTTTAAACTTCATTCTAAGTTCTTAATGTTTATATTCCATTTAGTGCCAAGATCTTCTACTATTAACACTTTCCAGTTAAGATCTCTGCTGATAGAGTAATGTGTGATAGCCAAATTTCATGGAATCTTGTATACCTCAGAGAATTGCTAGAATCTGGAGGTGAACAATACATTCTGGGATTTTTTTTCCAACTTCAGAAAAGTACCAGGTCACACTTTCATGCTAAACTCTTACTCTGTTACTGATTTTTTTTTTTTTTTTTTTTTTTTTTTTTTTTTTTTTTTTTTTGGAGACAGGGTCTTGCTCTGTCATCCTGGCTGGAGTACAGTGACAGGATCACGACTCCCTGCAGCCTTGAACTCCTGGGCTCAAGTGATCCTCCTGCCACAGTCTACTGCCTCAGCCACTTGAATAGCCAGGACTATAGGTGCATGCCACTGCGCCTGGCTATTTTTTAATTTTTTGTAGACATGGGGTCTCATTATGTTGCCCCACCTGGTTTCGAACTCCTGGCCTCAAGCTATCCTCCCACCCTAGCTCCCAAAGTGCTGGGATTACAGCTGTGAGCCATGGTGCCTGGCCTAAATTGTTATAAATATAGTAAGAAAGCTTTGGACTTCTCATTTCCCCACATCCTAAATACTAAAGCAACATAATAAAAATGTTTCTAAAGAGTCACAAAACATTGTAAGAGTTTTAGGAAGGCTTAGTAAATTTTTATTCATAATTATAAAGTTTCTTAGATGTTTATAAATAGCCATTTTAAACTATGAATTTTCAGGTATTATTGAATATCCAAGTTAAGACAGTGAATACTGCCTCAAATGTCGACAGAGTTTACATTTATTTGTTTCTTCTGTCATGATCATAGATACGTTTATATGTTTCAACAGCTCTTAAAGCATCAGTAGATAAATTCAGATAAATATAACAAAAAATTCCATGTCTTGGCCTCTCTGGGGTAGATTTTCTCAGGTTTCTGACGGTGAATCTTAAGGTTGGTTGCATTTGCTCCTGGGCCTGATAGCATCTAGATTCAAGTTACAGAATCAACACAGTTGTAGATCATTCAGAGATGACTAAGTTCTATGAAGTAAACTATGGAAAAGAAGAGTCGTATATACGTGGTTGTGTCATGATGACTTTCTTGAACTTTGCTTTTATGTCCTTGGTAAGTCAAATCCAATTTATATATGATATTTTCTTTTAGATATGAGAGAAAGGGATATCATCATATGTAAATATTAGTTATACTAGTATATATATTCATATTTCTCATCTCTATAAAATAAAATATAAGGAAGGCACTTTACAAGTTGTTACATTTTCTATAGGAGAAGAACACGTGCAGTTCACACTATGGCTGTTTTAGTCATCACTTTTCATTTATGGAATTGGAAAGCTTCGTGTTACTCTCACTGATGGTGATGGGATGGGATGGGATGGTGTCATTCTGTTTATATATAATTAAGTACAAAAGATTATACTACAACATTGTCAGAAAATGTGATTACAACAAGTTATTAAAAATCATTATAATCTCTCAGAGAAGAAAGTGATTGATTTTCCTTTTTTTTGATATGGCTTGTGAACTTATATGTAACCCCCATTTTTTATTTCTGATGAAAAATATCACAAGTATGTAGTTATTTATATTTTCCAACCATCCAGTGATTTGTAGTTTATTTCACGTGTTGTCATTGGTAACTCTGCAAAGTAGTGGGTTTATTAGCACAGATCAGTTAACATGGTACTCCAGTTCTTGATTACATGACTCATGTTCTTCCACAAACGCTTAGCTTTTGATGCTTAAAACATATATAGTAAGAATGAAAATAAAAATAAACTGATTTTGGAAACTGTATTTAATAGTTAGACAAAGAGATTTTAAACCTCTGGTTAAAAGTAGCGATTTCTAGCATTTTAGCACTCTTTTTGTGACCAAATAAAAATGTTCTGTATGCAAAATATTATTATCTGTGTCTTAATAATCACAGAATCATTTTGGAATGATTTTATTTTTCAGTAATGTAAAAGAAATACTAGACGTGGTCTCTTATTGTCAAGAAATTTATATTTAGTTAAGAAGTTAAGTCCTTCACGTGTGTCCAGCTATCAGTGGAAGGCAGAAGAGAGTTAATGTTAAGTTGAATGGACAGGAACAAAACAATTTATTGAGCATTCTCTCTGTGTAAGAATTATCCATATCTCATTTAATCCTAACATTATCCTAAATCATCTCATTTTAAAAACATAAGGGAGGCAAGTTTGAAAAGGTCAAGAAACCCATGTATGGTTGGTAAGTGAAGCTGAGATTTGAAGAAAGATCTATTGACTCCAAACCTGTCTTCCTTATTTCTGTCGTATTCTGATTTCCTAACAGGAAAAGAGCATAGAAAAGTTCTGAGAAAAGAGAGATCAGTGGGCTTATTGCTCTTGAGAGGACCTCTCAGACAGACTAGAAGTTGAGCTGAGTCTGGAAGGACTTAGTATTTGGAAATAAGGGGGTCATCTTCGGTGGCAGGAGTATGGCAGGCACACTTGCGTCTCAACGTCTTTATGCAGGCTGATCCCTCTGCTTGGAGTTTTCTTCCTGGATGGCTGCTTTGCTTATTTTTGCTTACCTTCTCCAGGAGACTGCCGCAACCACCCTTTTTTTATACTGCGTCCTGCTCCCTATCCTCTTCCCACATTGCCTTCCAATTCCCCTTATCCTGGTCTGCATTCTCCCAACCAAGCATTTCCAACTCGCTGTATGATATAGTTATTTATCAAGTTTATTGACAGTCACCTGCATTTAGAATACAGCTTCATGAAGACAAGGATTATTGTATCTTTTTTATTCTCCAAGATATTGTAAGCATAAAGAACTCTGACAGGCACTTAGTAGGTGCTCAGTAAATATTTGAAGATAAAAGGATTTTGAGTTAATAGTGAGCAAAACATATTTGAGAGTCTAGTGAAACCAGCCTTATTTGAGTGAAAAGAGTCTTATATATTGTAGATTCCAGCTGGATAAATAGAGTCAAACCAGATTAGAGCAAAGGAATTTATTATTTTGTAAGAATGAGAGTTTTCTACAAGATTTTATTTTAAATAACAATGTATTAATTTAATGATGTAAAAGTAATATCCTTGTAACACTTTGTTGCATTTAAAAAAATACTCGAGTGTTTTTAGTTTTACCTGGTAAAATTGACTTAATAGGGAAATTAGCTATCTTGCATATTAAAAAAGTCCCTAAGTAAGGCAGGTTTCAAGGTTGGCTGATTAATTTGGCTAGAAATGTCTCTGAAGACTCAATTTCTCATTTCTTTCCCTTCCTCTTTTTCTCCTTCCTGTCCCTTTCTCTCTCCCTTTCCCCTCCACCCCCTCTCCTTCTCTCTCTTTCCCCTCCTGTCTCCCCTCTGTCTTCCTTGCTGTGTTGTTGTTGATTTCAGGTTGATGCCTCTTGTTATTACAGGGTGGCTGCCACCACTGGCTAGGTCTGAGAAGCTTTCTTGTTTGTGATTCTCTCAAAACCACGAAATTTAAGTCATTTTCTTCAGTCTGATTGGAGACATTTATTCGGTGTCTGGCATGAAGTAGACTTTTGGTAAATACTTGTGGATGAATTGTTAAAATTGCATAATTGTTAGAGATGCTAGAAATGGCTGGTGGGAGGCTGAATGTGCTGCTTCAACTCCTAAGATACGGATATATATTAAAAAGATGAGTGGTTTATGAATGTTCATAGAAATACTTATCTCCCATAAAGAGAAGATACGTGTGCTTCACTTAGAAATATTAAAATAACTACAGCCTGAAAGGCAAATTGAGATGGATAGTGTTGAAGGATAGAGGTGCAGTGAAGTCAGTCACAAAGTTCTCCATAGTATCAGTGTGTGACTTAAATTTCTTTTCCCATCCTGTGGAATGAGCACAGAAAGCAGGCTACTTACTCATGGAAGATTTAGTAAAAATGACCCTATGTTAAACCTCAAGGAAATTATCAGTCAATTAAAGTAGAAATTGTTCAAAATGCATTCTCAGTAACTTTGTAGCTAGTTCATATGAAAATCACAATTTAGAATTTGGAATGCAAAATGTGGTTTTCAATATTAATTTCTAATATAGGCATTAAATGATCACCTTTCTTTATTCTGGATTTCTTCTTTATTAAATAAATAAATAAATATATATATATATATATATGCACACACCATGGAATACTACTATGTTTGTTGTGTGTATTACACACACACACACCCCCCCCCACATTTTCTTTATCCACTCATTCATTGATGGACATTTGGGCTGGTTCCATATTTTTGCAACTGTAAATGGTGCTGCTATAAACATGCATGTGCAAGTATCTTTTTTCTATAATGACCTCTTTTCTTCTGGGTAAATACCCAGGAATGGGATTGCTGGATCAAATGGTAGATCTACTTTTAGTTCTTTAAGGAATCGCCACACTGTTTTCCATAGAGGTCATACTAGTTTAAATTGCCACCAACAGTGTAAGAGTATTCCCTTTCCACCACATCCACTCCAACATCAGTGATTTTTTAATTTTTTTGTTATGGCCATTCTTGCAGGAGTAAGGTGGCATCTCATTGTGGTTTTGATTTGCAGTTCCTTGGTAATTAGTGATGTTGAGTATTTTTTCATACGTTTTTTGGCCATTTGTATATCTTCTTTTGAGAATTGTCTATTCATGTCCTTAGCCCACTTACTGATGGGATTGTTTTTTTTTTTCTTGCTTATTTGAGTTCCCTGTAGATTCTGGATATTAGTCCTTTCTCAGATATATAGATTGCAAAGATTTCTCTCACTCTGTGTGTTGTCTGTTTATTCTGCTGATTATTTCTTTTGCTATGCAGAAGCTTATTAGTTTAAGGAAGTCCCATCTATCTTTGCTTTTGTGGCATTTTTGCTTTTGGGTTCTTGGTCATGAAGTCTTTGCCTAAGCCAGTGTCTAGTAGGGTTTTTCCAATGTTATCTTCTAGAATTTTATGGTTTCAGGTCTTAGATTTAAGTCTTTGATCCATCTTGAGTTGATTTTTGTATAAGATGAGAGATGAGGATCCAGTTTCATTCTTCTACAATTATCCCAGCACTGTTTGTTGAATAGGGTGTTCTTTCCCCACTTTATATTTTTGTTTCTGTGTCAAAAATCACTTGACAGTAAGTATTTCGCCTTATTTCTTGGTTCTCTATTCTGTTTGCATTGGTCTATATGCCTATTTTTATACCAGTACCATGCTGTTTTGAGGACTTTGGCCTTATAGTATAGTTTGAAGTTGGATAATGTGATGCCTCCGGATTTGTTCTTTTTGCTTAGCCTTTCTTTGGCTATGCAGGCTCTTTTTTGGTTCCATAGGAATTTTAGGATTATTTTTTTCTAGTTCTGTGAAGAATGATGGTGGTATTTTGATGGGAAGTGCATTGAATTTGTAGATTACTTTTGGCAGTCTGGTCATTTTCACAGTATTGATTCTACCCATCCATGAGCATGGGATGTGTTTCCATTTGTTTATATTGTCTGTGATTTCTTTCAGCAGTGTTTTCTAGTTTTCTGTGTAGCAGTCTTTCACCTCCATGGTTAAGTGTATTCCTAAGTATTTTATTTTTTTGCAGCTATTATAAAAGGGGCTGAGTTCTTGATTCAAGTCTCAGCTTGGTCGCTGTTGGTGTATAGCAGGGCTACTTATTTGTGTACATTAATTTTGTATCCTGAAACTTTGCTGAATTCGTTTACCAGTTTTAGGAGCTTTTTGGATGAGTCTTTAGGGTTTTCTAGGTATATGATCATGTCATCACCAAACAGTGACAGTTTGACTTCTTCTTTACCAGTTTAGATGCTCTTTCTTTCTCTTGTTTGATTGCTGTGGCTAGGACTTCCAGTACTATGTTGAATAGAACTGGTGAAAGTGGGCATCCTTGTCTTGTTCCAGTTCTCAGAAGGAATGCTTTCAGTTTTTCACATTCAATATAATGTTGGCTGTGGGTTTGTCATAGATGGCTTTTATTACCTTAAGGTATGTCCCTTTTATGCCAATTTTGCTGAGGGTTTTAATCATAATGGGATGCTGGATTTTGTCAAATGCTTTTTCTGCATCTATTGAGTTGATCATGTGATTTTTGTTTTTGATTCTGTTTATGTGGTGTATCACATTTATTGACTTGTGAATGTTAAACCATCCCTGCTATGAAACCCACTTGATCATGGAGGATTATCTTTTTAACATGATGTTGGATTTGGTTAGCTAGGACTTTTGCATCTATGTTCACCAGGGATATTTGTCTATAGTTTTATTTTTTGGTTGTTATGTTTTTTCCTGGGTTTGCTATCTGGGTGATACTGGCTTCACAGAATGATTTAGGGAGAATTCCCTCTTTCTCTATCTTGTGGAATAGTGTCAACAGGATTGGTACCAATTCTTCTTTGAATGTCTGAAAGAATTCAGCCATGAATCCATTTGGTCCTGGACTTTTTTCTTGGTAACTTTTTAATTACCATTTCAATCTCGCTGCTTGTTATTAGTCTGTTCAGAGTTTCTGTTTATTCCTGGTTTTATCTTAGAGGGTTGTATGTTTCCAGGAATTTATCCATCTCCTCTAGATTTCCCAGTTTATGTGCATAAGGGTGTTCATAGTAGCCTTGAATCATCCTTTGTATTTGTGTGGTGTTGTTTGTAATAGCTCCCGTTTGTTTCTTATTGAGCTTATTTGGATCTTCTCTCTTCTTTTCTTGGTTAATCTTGCTAATGATCTCTCAATTTTATGGATGTTTTCAAAGAACCACCTTTTTGTTTCATTTATCTTTGTATTTGTTTTTTTGTTTCGATTTCATTTAGTTCTGCTCTGATCTTGCTTATTTCTTTTCTTCTGCTGGGTTTGGGTTTGTTTTGTTCTTTTTTCTTTAGCTCCTTGAGGTGTGACCTTAGATTGTCTACCTGTGCTCTTTCAGACTTTTGATGTAGGCACTTAATGCTGTGGACTTTTCTCTTAGTACCACTTTTGCTGTATCCTAGAGGTTTTGATAGATCATGTCACTATTATAGTGTAGTTCAAACCCAATGATCATTCATTAGCAGGTAATTTAACTTCTCTGTATTTGTCTGATTTTGAGGGTCCCTTTTGGAGTTGATTTCCAATTTTATTCCATTATGGTCTGAGAGAGTCCTTGCTATGATTTTGATTTTCTTAAATTTGTTGAGATTTGTTTGGTGGCCTATCTGATGGTCTGTCTTGGAGACAGTTCCATGTGCTGATGAATAGAATGTATATTCTGCAATTGTTGGCTAGGATGTTGTGTAAATATCTGTTAAATCCATTTGTTGTAGGATGTAGTTTAAGTCCATTGTTTCTTTGTTGACTTTCTGTCTTGATGACCTGTTTAGTGCTGTCAGTGGAGTATTGAAGTCCCCCACTATTACTGTGTTGCTGTCTATCTCATTTCTTAGGTCTTTTATAAATTTGGGCGCTCCAGTGTTAGGTGCATATATATTTAGGATTGTGATATTTTTCTGTTGGACTAGTTCTTTTATTATTATATAATGTCCCTCTTTGTCTTTCTTAACTGCTGTTGCTTTAAAGTTTGTCCTGTCTGATGTAAAAATAGCTACTCCTGCCACTTGCTTTTAGTGTCCATTTGCACATAATATCTTTTTCCACCCCTTTACTCTAAGTTTATGTGAGTCCTTATGAGTCAGGTGAGTCTCTTGAAGAGAGCAGATACTTGGTTTGTGAATTTATTTTGTAATTTTTTGGAGACTGGGTCTTGCTCTGTGCCCCAGGCTGGAGTTCAGTGGTGTGATCTTGGCTCACTGCGGCCTCTACTTCCCAGGTTCAAGGAATTCTTATGCCTCAGCCTCTCGAGTAGCTGAGATTACAGGTATATGCCACCACACTCAGCTAATATGTGTATTTTTAGTAGACGTGGGGTTTCCCCATGTTGGCCAGGCTGGTCTTGAACTCCTGTCCTCAAATGATCCACCTGCCTTGGTGTCCCCAACTGGCATGAACCACCACGTCCAGCCTTGGTTGGTGAATTCTTACCTATTCTGCCATTCTGTGTCTTTTAAGTGGAACATTTAGGCCATTTGCATTCAATGTTAGTATTGAGATATGAGGTACTATTGTATTCGCCCTGCTATTTATTTAATACCTTGGGTTTTTTTCATTGTGTTGTTGTTTTATAGGTCCTGTGAGGATTAGGCTTTAGAGAGGTTCTATTTTGGTGTATTTTGAAGATTTGTTTCAAGATTTAGAGTTTCTTTTATTAACAGCAGTTCTCATAGTGCTGGCTTGGTAGTGGCGAATTCTCTTGGCATTTGTTTGTCTGAAAAAGTCTCTATCTTTCCTTTGTTTTTGAAGCTTAGTTTCACTGGATACAAAATTCTTGGCTGATAATTGTTTTGTTTAAGGAGGATAAAGATAGAATCACAATCCCTTCTGACCTGTAGGGTTTCTGCTGAGAAGTCTGCTGTTAGTCTGACAAGTTTTTCTTTATAGGTTACCTGCTGCTCTTGCCTCACAGCTCTTACGATTCTTTCCTTCATCTTGACTGTAGATAATCCGATGACTCTGTGCCTAGGCAATGATCTTTTTGCAATGAATGTCTCAGGTGTTCTTTGACCTTCTTGTATTTGGATGTCTAGATCTCTAGCAAGGCTAGGTAAGTTTTCCTCAATTGTTCCCTCAAATATGTTTTCCAAACTTTTAGATTTATTTTCTTCCTCAGGAACACCAATTATTCTTAGGTTTGGTTGTTTAACGTAATTTTAAACTTCTTGGAGGCTTTGTTCATTTATTAAATTCTTTTTTCTTTGCATTTGTTAGATTGGGTTAATTTGAAAGCTTTCTCTTTGAGCTCTGGAGTTCTTCTATTTGTTTGATTCTATTGCTGAGACTTTCCAGTGCATTTTGCAATTCTCTAAGTGTCTCCTTCATTTCCGGAAGTTGTGATTGTTTTTTATTTATGCTGTCTATTTCACTAGAGATTTTTCCATTGATATCCTGTGTCATTTTTTTTGATTTCTTTAAGTTGGATTTCACCTTTCTCTGGTGCCTCCTTAATTAGCTTAATAGTCGACCTGAATTCTTTTTCTGGCAATTCAGAGATTTCATCTTGGTTTAGATCCATTGCTGGTGAGCTAGTATGATCTTTTGGGGTGTTAAAGAACCTTGTTTTGTCATATTACCAGAATTGTTTCTCTGGTTCCTTCTCATTTGGGTAGACTGTTGTCAGAGGGAAGGTCTGGGACTCAAGGGCTGCTGTTCAGATTCTTTTATCCCATGGGGTGCTCCCTTGATGTGATTTTCTTCCCCTTCCCCTAGGAATGGGGCTTCCTGAGAGTCGAACTGCAACAATTATTATTTATCTTCTGAATGTAACCACACAGCAGAACTACCAGGTTCCAACTTGTCTCTGGGGAGTGTCTGCAGAGAGTCCCATGATGTGATCCATCTTTAGGTCTTTCAGCTGTGGATACCAGCACCTGCTCCAGTGGAGGTAGCAGGGAGTGAAATGGACTCTGTGAGGGTCCTTGGTTGTGTTTTTGTTTAGTGCACTGGTTTTGTGTTGGTTGTCCTCCAGCCAGGAGGTGGCACTGTCAAGAGTGCATCAGCTGAGGTTGTATAGTGAGAAGACAAGCTCGCCCTAGGGTCGCCTTTGGGTAAATATTCAGGTTTCTACAGCGATGGGCAGGGTGGGCTTTGTCTTTGGTTACCAGGGCAGGTAGAGAAAGACCATCAGGTGGAGGCAGGGTTGGGCATGTCTGATCTCAGACTCCCCTTGGGCAGGGGTTGCTGTGACTGCTGTGCGGGATGGGAGTGTGGTTCCTAGACCAATGGAGTTACGTTCCCAGGGGGCCTCTGCTGTGACATATAGGTCACCAGAAAAGTGGGGTAAAGCCGGCAGCCACAGGCCTCACCCAGCTCCCGTGGAGCCTGCAGCTCACACCCACCATGCCCCGCAACACACTGAGTTTATTTCCAGACAGGTGGTGAGCAGGGCTGAGAACTTGCCCCAGGGTACAAGCCTCCATCTGAGAAAGCAAGTGAACCCACAGTTCCTCGGCTGTCTCATGGAGCCTGCAGCTGCAATCCACCTCCTACAAAGGGTCTGTGGATTCTCTAGGCTTGCCTGGGATGTTCCTTTGGTAGTTCTTGGAGCAAAAGTTCACGATGTGGCTTTACACAGGCTGCTCTGTCCACCGAGTGGGAGCTGCAAGTTAGGCCTGCCTCCTATCCACCATTTTCCCAGATTTTGATTTATAAAGTATTTAAAATTAATTTCTTCCCTTGAAGGCTATCCTATTAAGTACTTGCTGTGAACGCTGTGCTTACTATAAAATCCCCTTAGCGCATTTATTTTTCCCATAAACTATCCTTGCTAAGGCTTTTAAAAGGTATTAAAATGAGGTTTGGATCAAAGATGCTTTATCTTTCTCTAAAAACTAAATTTCTCTTTAACAAGCATAGACATTTATTTTCTGAAATTATTTCATCTATTTGTTTCCTAATTTATTCATCCCACTGGTATGCAAGTTTATTGAGGTCAGAGATAAGTTCCTGGCACACAGTGGTTCCTCAGTAAATATTTGTTGAATAAAAACACATGTTTATAAAAATCCTATGCTGCATAAAAATTAATGTCCTCTGGAACTTTTTTTTTTTTTTTTTTTTTTTTTGCCAATTTGTTCCTCATCAGTGCCTCAAAATTTGGTATTCCTGGCAATTTTCTTCTTTTCCATGTTCCTCTAACTTTTTATTTCAAAGAGAGCTTCATTGCTGATCTGAGTGAAATGCTGTTCTGGTACTTCACCGCTGAGTGTGTGCTGCAAGTGTGCAGGGAAAAGGGAACATTCTACACCATGTGTTCTTAACCTGAAATTCCTGTAAGATCTGCAAGGAATCATGAACTGCATCAGTGGGAGGGGGCAGTATTCTCTCTGTGTTACCTTGAAAATGGTCTTTGTGCTGGGGGAGGGACACTCTTTTTCAGTAACAATTTATATTGTTAACTTATTTCACTTTGAACTTGTAAGGTGGCAGAAGTTAGGCACCTTGCCCAATGTAATATCACTAGTGACTGCAGGTTTGGGCTTCAAACCTTAGTCCATGCTCTAAACCAGCGGTTCCCAACCTTTTGGCACCAGGGACCAGTTTTGTGGAAGACAGATGTTTCACAGACTGGTCGGAGGAGTGGTTTCAGGATGATTCAAGCATGTTACATTTATTGTGTTATTTGTATTATTATTATGTTGTAATATATAATGAAATAATGGTACAACTCACCATGATGTAGAATTAGTGGAAGCCCTGAGCTTTTTTCCCTGCAACTAGACAGTCCCGTCTGGGGTGACGGGAGACAGTGACACCTGAAGTGTGTCACTTATGTCCAGGCTACTCTGTAATCTCATTTTAGTCGCTGTCACTGCAGAAAACCCTGCTTCACAAAGACAGGTTGTTGGACACGGAAGCAGGCTTTTCAGTGCTTTTGTGGCAACCTCAGGATATTCTACCTGGACTTTCATCCAGAACATATGGAGATTTGAAGTTGTCTCAAACATATTTTTAAAGCCACTGTCATTTGCCATCTCAAGCAGTTGATCCTCTTCTAGCACAGAGAGTCAGTTTACCGGGCTTATTCACAAATGCGTCGCGGATCCATTCCTTCCCAGTTGGGGGTTCTTTTGTGGTTGGTAGTATTGGGTAGGTGATCACGTGTCAGCCGTGGGAAAGAAGGCCCTGGCTCCATCTCTTTCACAATCTCTGCTAATGTTTGAAACATGTCAGAAATCCCAGTGTTCACTCGTCACCCTCGTAATTCCACTTTGGCTTTGAATGCAGCTGCTTTATCTGCCGACTTGAACACAGCTGTCATTCTCCCCTGAAGTGACAGATTGATTTCATTGAACAGGTTAAATAGGTCACACAAGTAAGCAAGTTTTGCAGCCCATTCTATGTCACTGAAATGTGCTGCCAATGGTGACTTTTTTTCTAAAAGACATCTCTGGGGTGGTTTCCAAAACTCTGGCCAGCAATCTACCTTTAGAAAGCATCTCACTTCCGTGTATGAGATGTGTGTGCTCTGCGTCCATCTCCTCACAGAGCTGTGCGAACAGACGTGAGTTAAGGGCACGTACTTTAATGTGGTTGATACTTTTAATCACATTCTGCTGAACGTTGTTCACGTGACATTTTTCAGCTCGCCAGCCTTTCTCTATGGATGACACAGTGCACAGACTCACATTCAGAAGCGACCTAAGGAGCTCCAGCCACACAATTGTTTAGTATGTAGTACTTATATACAGAAGCGACCTGTTTGACCTGAGTAGTGAAACCAGAAAGCCATCCAGTCGTGGCAGCTGCTCTGTCCATGTGTATACCAACACAAAATGACCAATTTAGTTTTTCTGATATGTAATCATTCACAGACTAGAATAGTTCTGCAGCTGTGGTGTTCGTTGGCAACAAAAGTGCACATAACATATCCTCATGCACATCCCCCCGAAAAATATATCACACATTAACAAGCATTGTTGCCTTGCTGTCAACATTGATAGACTCGTCAACCTGGATTGTGTGCCATTGGTGATTCATTAATCCCCTTTTACAGTTGTGTCTCAGTATCCTCTGCTATTTCATTAATTCCTCTAGTTACGTTGCTAGCCGAAAGAGGAACACCTGCCACCTTTCGAACTGCAGCCTCTCCTAAAAGTTGACAACAAATGTCCTTAGCAGCAGGCAGGATCAACTCTTCACCAACAGTAAAGGGCCTGTTAGCTTCAGCAACGCAGTTAGCCACTAAGAGTGATGCTCTCCGCCGGGCGCGGTAGCTCACGCCTGTAATCCCTGCACTTTGGGAGGCTGAGGAGGGTGGATCATCTGAAGTCAGGAGTTCGAGACCAGCCTGGCCAACATGATGAAACCCTGTCTCTACTAAAAATACAAAAAATTAGTCAGGCATGGTGGCGGGCGCCTGCAGTCCCAGCTACTCAGGAGGCTGAGGCAGGAGTATTGCTTGAACCCGGAAGGCAGAGGTTGCAGTGAGCTGAGATCACGCCATTGCACTCCAGCCTGGGCAACAAGAGTGAAAATCCATCTCAAAAAAAAAAAAAAAGGATGCTGTCAGTGTAGACACATTTGATGAAGTTGGTGGCCTTCAATAATTGCCTGTGTTCTTGGTGTACACATTTTTTAATTTTTTTGAAAACTCCAAAGACTTGTCTTTTTTTTTTTTTTTTTTTGAGACAGAGTCTCACTCTGTCACCCAGGCTGGAGTGCAGTCATGTGACCTTGGCTCACTGCAACCTCTGCCTCCTGGGTTCAAGTGATTCTCCTGCCTCAGCCTCCAGAGTAGCTGGGATTACAGGCATGTACCACCATGCCCGGCTAATTTTTTGTATTTTTAGTAGAGACGGGGCTTCACTGTGTTAGCCGGGATGGTCTCGATCTGACCTCGTGATCCATCCGCCTCGGCCTCTCAAAGTGCTAGGATTACAGGCGTGAGCCACCGCGTCCAGCCAGGCTTGTCTTTTAATGCAGGGTGCTTGGTCTCCGTGTGGTAATGCAGTTTTGAAGGTTTCATGGCTTCCTTGGATAGCTGGTCACCACATATACACAGTGGACTTGAAGAATGTGCATCACCTGTTGCAATGAACCCATAATTTAAGTAGGACTTGTTATTTTCTATTAAATGCAGCTTTCTTTTCATTGGCAGTCTTGGAGTCTTCTGCTTTCTCATGATGAGGTCTTCCCCCTTTTCAAAGAAGCTCTACAGTGATGTTTGTCTTTTACTCATCTTGGCTAGGGTTGGCTTGTGGGCTTCCCAAAACTGTGACTGAGACAAGTGCATAGTGTGGGAAAGAGGTGCAGATGGAAGTGGTAAATAAAATAATAGGCAAGTCACACGTGGACTAAATAAGTGTCAGATTCTGAGTTAAAGCTGCCACCAGATGCAGCTGTGCAATTGAAGCACTCAGCTCACTTGCCACTGTAAAGCCTGCCACCAGCCAGATGCAGCTTGTCACTTGCCCCTCACTGATAGAGTTTTGATATGAGTGTGCAAGCAGTTAATTTCCTGTGGTCTCTGTGCTGTCAAACCTCTCTGCTAATGTTAATCTGTATTTGCAGCCACTCCCCAGCGCTAGCATCACCACCTCAGCTCCATCTCAGATCATCGGGCACTAGATTCTCATAAGGAGCACACAGCCTAGATCCCAAGCAAGCAAGTGCAGTTCGCAGTAGGGTTTGCGCTCTATGAGAATCTAATGCCACTGCTGACCTGACAGGAGGCGGAGCTCAGGCAGTAACGCAGTGACAGAGAGCAGTTGTGAATACGGATGAAGCTTCGCCCGCTTGCCGCCGCTCACCTCCTGCTGTGTGGCCCAGTTCCGGCCTCCTGCTCTAAGCCACTGTCTATCATATGTGTTCCCACAGTGCAACTCTACTCTAGAAGAGAAAGTAAAGTTTCTGTCTTCAACATGCTTAAATTTTTCTTGGGCAAGAGAGTTCAACTAAATGAAAATTCCAACTATAAGAAATAGGAGGCAATGTTCCCTTACACAGGAAATCCCACTGTGTTCCTTAATTTTCTCAGTTAAGTAGAATACTATAGTTCTTAAATATACTAGACTTAACATTGATTTAACTAAAATTGAGTGTTAAGTTGGAGACATTGATTTTCTAAATCAGCTCCTAAGGGGAAAAGCCAGAAATCAGCCATAGGTAAATTTTTTTCTTTCAAATACTTTAAATTGCCCATAAAGCAAAAAATTATTGATTTTATAAACACATGTCACAGGCTATCTTATGCACACTCAAGTTTGAGAAGTACTAACTAAGCAAGACTAAGAGAAAAAGCCAAAGGAACATTTATTTACAGATGTCTGGACATTCACACTGTCCTTGAACTAATTTTCAGATCTGTAGTGGTGACTAGCAGAGGGTAGAAAATTCCATAATGTCATAGCTAGGTGACTCTATGCGGTCTTGATATTAAACCTGTTCACACATTGCTCCTTTTAATTATATACCTTTTAATTGTTTGACTTTTTCAAACATTCTCATTAAATATTTTAGATCAAAACTTTAAAAAATTAAAAGCACATATGCCTCTGTAACTTTAGAATCTGTTAATAAATTTGTTGTAATGATTAAATAGTCTCATCTTCAGAGAGGCTTAGGAGAGGATTAGGAGTTGAAGAGTAAATGAAATATTTCTATGGTGCCACTTCAATGTAGAAGATAAGATATTTTCCCTATGACAATTGTTACATGTGTTACATTCTTAGGGAAGTCAGAGGCCGTACTCTAACCATTATGCAACAATGATAAGAAAATATATGAGCAAGTGTGTATTAATACAGTAATACAAAAACTAGGTACTGTTGATTTGAATACCTGCTGTCCTATAGCATTGAGCTACATTCCATTTTTGGTATGTTAAGTTCATTCTGATGGTGACAGACAACAGGGTTTGATTGCTCAAGAAGACACAGGAACCAAAATGATAGTGCTTGCAGATCTGAAGTTTATTACAGGAAAAAGACAGCAAGGAGCCTGTTGATGCCAGGCTGAGCTCCAGTGGCCCCTCCTCTTAGGGACACACACTTTCTCACAGATCAGAATCAATGACCTGTGTGTGCAACACTCAGAACTGGTGGACCAAGAGGAGGTATCTGCCAGCTTGTTTTATACCCTGTTGGTCACACAGGCATCTTCTTGCCTGTAGCCAGCCCCAGTGGGAGAGCCTTCCAGGGATTCTCACCTAGACCCTGTGCAAACCACCCCAGTCTCACTTTACCAATCACCAATGCTGACAAGCTGGTATAAACAACCCCACAACTCCTCAGACACACGGAACAAAGCAGCACTATTATTAATGACTATGTTTCATGCCTTGACCAGAGTGCCATGCAGGTACATTTCTTATTTCAACAGAACAGCTCACACCAGCTCCAGGTCTGCTGGAACTAACCTTCGAAGCACGAGTGTTAAAGGTCATTTGGGATATTCATGTGGGTTGTATTGTGTAGAATATTGAAGTGTTATAAACCCCACTTTAGGTATGTGTAGTTGAATATACCCCAGTGTAGCTATTCTTGCAGGCATATCATATCCATTTTAGAACCTCTAGAAAGGTAAGGCGGTGGTGGTATTTCATTTTCCCTGTGAAATTAATGTATACTTCTTAACTCGTAATATGTTATGTTCAACCTTTACAGTTTAAAAAATCAAATTCATAGATTTCGTAAGAGGAAGCATTGCAAAAAAACCCTTCAAGTTTATTGAAAGCAAATGACATGTTTTGTATTTTAAAACCTACTCAGTCGCTAATTGTGTTTTTCCCTCTTCCTTCTCTATCCCCAGATGAATCAGCTCCTAAGGAAGTCAGCAGGGTAAGTGATGTGAATATTATTTCTACTACTGCAGTATAGGAAATGAATCTGTTTTGTTTATCTCTCAGTACTCTAACACATTAAAGTATCAGAAAGATTATGGCAAAAACTGAGTTTCCTCTCCAAAGTATCACTCATTAATATGGAATAAAGTCAGTAGAGAGGGTGCAAATTGAAGGCCTCAAGACTGAGTACGGCACACAGATGCATTTTGTTCGGCTGCACGTGCCTATGGGGTTTTCTGAGTCAGTTGCCAACATTTAGAAATTGAGACACTGTATGTAAAGATTGGATTTCTGGCTTCCCTTGAACCAGAAGGTAAGATAACTCTCACAGGGCAGCAGTCTTCCCAGGGTGGGAAGCGGAAGCTGCCTTCAGCTGCATGATGCTCTCCAGGCAGCCCCAGTCCTCCATGTAGCTGGCTTTACTCATGTCCGCTACCTGCCCAACCTCTGCCTTTGAGTTCATGCACTTTCTTTTTGGGAGAACAAAAGATGACAACTCGTGTTGAAAGCAAGATATTGCTTAGAAATTTTATAAATATTAAAGGTACTGTTTTCATGGCCTAGTTAAGAGTCTTAGCAAGCTTAAAAACTATGGCAGGTGAGTACTGAAAGCATTTAGTATACTGGTTATGCTATAAAATTATAAGTGATTAATTACATTTGGAAAAAAGTGTCTTAGTTTTTTCTGTATTACACAGATAAAGATCTTAAGTGTGGATGAAATATTGAAAATAATCAGTTTGAATGGAACTTAATGCAACCTTAGAGATCAGTTTTTATTGTAAGACATAAATTGAAAAACTTAATAGAATCACATATGCAGATATATTCCTTTATTTTTGATCATCTGAAGAAAGAAATCTCTAAAATGACCTGGGCCAGCGCTGGGGGTTGGGGGTGTGGAGATAGGGGAGGGAAGAATTCCTTGTGTCCATAGCAATGTAGGATTCTCTTGAGGTCTCTGTGAGTCTCAGGGTTTCACTGGGTGCCTTCGCTATTAATGTCACATTTGTGGAACTCACAATTGAAGAGTTCCTTGGTCTGGACGCTTAAAAGGTACCAGGAAGTGACAGAGGGGTGGACCTAGAATTTTGGCAGCTGCTAGGAGCAGCAGAAAATGCTGAAAAGTGATGCTTGAGGATAAGATGGGGACTCTGAAAAGTGAACTTTGGCAGAGTCATAAAATATTACAGTGTTGATATTGGCAAAGCTGCCATGTGTTCAGACAGTGTCATTGACAATACCACATACTGTTTTATAAGGCCATTAGAAAAAATGATGAAACTTTATGTAGTGATTTTTCTTCGCTATTATTCATAAGATTCTCTTACATTATGCCAAATTTGGAGAAAAGCGCATCTCTGAGAAATACTAAAGGTATGAGCTGATAACCTAGAAATGGTATCAGTTGCCAAGATCTCTATAACGTTTTTTTGAAAAAACGTACCCCGTATCTTGATCAATACTTATTTGACTAATACTCAGAGTTTCCTTATGAAATAGTATGCCACTATTTTCAATAAAGATTCAGATTTAGAAATTCCTCGGGCAACCTTTTGGTAGGTGGTGACTGGCCAGAGGGCTTCTGCTCTAACACATCCCTGACAGAAGGCATGCTCTTTAGTTCCACTAAAGGTGCTGGTTACACTCTCAGGCAGTTCTGTTTTGTTTTGGTTTTGTTTTTTCTTTCCCCTTTCTCTTTCTCATATACTTTTTTTTTTTAATTGAGGCAAAGCCTCAGTTCATCACCCAGGCTGAAGTACAGTGGTACAGTCAGCTCACTTCAGCCTTGACTGCCCGAGTTCAGATGATCCTCCCACCTCAGCCTCCTAAATAGCTGGGACTACAGGCCTGTGCCACCATGCCCAGCTAATTTTTTTTTTAAATAGAGATGGGATTTTTCCATGTTGCCCAAGCTAGTGTTGAACTCCTGGGCTCAAGTGATCTTCCTACCTCAGCCTCCCAAGGTGCTGGGATTACAGGTTTGAGCCACTGAGCCCAGCCTAGGCAGTTCTAATTATGATGAAGTACTTTCTCATTTAGAACCAAGCAGCCTCCCAAAATGGCCATTCTCCAGTATTTGTTTTGACTTTTATTTCGTATCCAAACCCTTTGAGTATAGGGATTATGTTATGTCTTTTCTAGTAAAACATCTTAGTTTCTAAACTTTATTTTCCATATGCCTCCTTAAGATGTGGGTTGACAGTCTTTGGACAAACTATATATTATTAATATATCTTTAAAACATTGCAGCCTTAACACTACAGACTAATTGCGTCTTGACCCTGGTAAAATGAGGTGGGACAGATACCTGTCTTAGTTTGAAACCTATGTATCTGTCAGTACGGTTTTAATGGAGAATTAGTTTTTTAAAGAAGCTACATTCCATTTCTGGTTATTGAGCTTTGAGTAAACTATCATTATTTTTTCATGAAGTCAGACCTGTAGGTTTTATGTCTCTTCCCCTTCCCTTTTCTCTATTTTCCTTTCCTCTCTTTGTTTCCCTGTCTTCTTACCTATCATTCAATGACCAATATTTTTTTAGCATTTCTGTTTTAGGCATTGTTCTAAGGTGCTGTGGATACAATGGTGAGCAAAATCGACAGTATTCAGGTTCTCATAGTATAGAGGGGAGTTGTGGAAACAGTTCAGAAAATTTATGGATGTGTATATGTGTGTTTGTGTACATCTATCAGGCAGTGATAAATACTATGATGAATACATGGAAGAATAAAGCAGAATAAGGGGCTTCAGAGTGATGGTGGTTCAGAGGGTGCTTATTGGCTTATTGCACATATGCAGTGGTCAGGAGAGGTTAATTTCATAAGTGAAATTTGAGCGGGAATCTGAAGGGAATGAGAGAATCAGCAGAAGGAGGAGACAGGAACTGCAGAGGCCCTGAGGTAGGCCATTGTGACAGGTGCAGAGTGAGTCATGCGGAGACCAGTAAGAAATAAGGTTGGAATGGAATTGGGGGTATTTAGGTCTTCTAGCTGTCGAATTGAGAGTATACACAGTAAGAGTGGAAACAGGTAGACCCAGTGGTAGTCTAGGAGTGTAGGCAGGGGAGGATGATGGCTAGGATTAGGGTTGTAATGGTGAACTAGGATCAGAGGTTGGGTGTAGAAGAAGAAAGAGCAGACAGGCTTTGTTTATGGGAGGGTAAACCAAAAAGTATCCAAGACCTGTTACAGTCTACTTAGAAGCTGATTTTGACAAGGTTAAGGACATGCCTATGACAACCTCAGGAGGTTCTGAGGTGTGTCCAGAATAGTTGGGCTACAGCTTGGTTTTATACATTTTAGGGAGACATAAGATATCATTCAGTACATGTCCCTTGGTTTGGTCTGGAAAGGTAGGACAGCTGGAAGCATGGGGGCCAGGTAGCATCCAGGTCATAGTCGGATTCAAAAATTTTCTGATGGGCAATTAGTTGAAAGAGTTATTATCAGAGACCTGGAATCAATAGAAAGGAATGTCTGGCTTAAGGTAAGGGTTTTGGAGCCCAAGCTTTTATCATGCAAATGAAGCCCCCAAGTAGCAGGTTTCAGAGCTCTTATCAGACCAGACAGCTACCAGAATCTTAGACTCTCCTGGATCAGAGAAAAGACCTGGAAAGGGAAAGGGTTTCTCTACAGAATGTAGATTTTCCCCAGGAGACAGCTTTGCAGGGCCATTTCAACATATGTCAAAGAAATATATTTGGGGTAAAATACTTCAATTTCTTTCAGGGCCTGCCGTCATGTGATGCTGCTATACTAGAGTCAGGCTGGAGTTTGATGTCTTATAGCTACAAAAAGTCTGTTTCATCAGTCTTAAAACCTTTTTTAGTGTTAATGCTGGTCAGCTGTGCCTGAATTTCAAAGGGAGAAGGTTGTAATGAGACATGTCCAACCCCCTCCCCCCCATCATTGCCTGAACTAGATTTTCAGGTCTACTTTGGAATGCCCTTGGCTAAGAGGACAGTCTTTCAGTCAGTTGGGGAATGTACTGTTTTATTTTTGGTTTGTAGTTGTATATGGTGGGTGAGAAGAGAGGAATGAGTAATGACTCCCAACTTTTTTGATCTGAGCACTTGATAGAATAAAATTTCTCCTTACTGTTATGCAGAAAACTATAGGAGGAATGGGGTTGATTGAGATTGGAAAATTAGTAAGTTTAAGGAATCAGATACGGAATTGGAGATTTTTAGAAAGCAAGTGCATATATGGTCAAATTAAAAGAAAAGTTCGTAGGTAGAGATATGCATTTGGGAGTTCGTGGTGTATAAATGATGTTTAAGGCCGTGGGAGTAGGTGACACTTCTTAGAGAGCTTGTCTGTGGAGAAAAGAGTCAAGACCCAAGCACTAAACTGGACACTCCACTTGTTGAGTGGTGGAGAAGATGTGGAAAGTCAGCAGAGGAGAGAAAGAAGGAGAAATCAGTGAAGTCAGAGGAGACCAAAAAGTTTGTCAGCAGATTTTGTTTTAGAATTTTAGCTGCAGGACTGTACCTTTATTTCACCTTCATTCCATCTTTTGATCCATCTCAGCTTATTGAGATGAGTCTCAGTTTTATTTCTGTTATCTAACATATTATTTATTTCTCTATGTTTCGAAGTCTCAAATTTGATGTTTTTTCCAAGCTGCTTTCCTGTGCCCCCTTTACAATAATTATCATCTAGGAAATGCTGAGTGTGGAAATGTCACCTATGAGAATAATGTGAGATTGTGTCAAATGCACTTTTGAAACTACTGTATCTTAACCTACTGTATTTTTCTAATCAGTCATTGTCATTCAGTCAACAAATATTAGGTGAGTCCCAATTCATCTAGGCTCTTGAGATATCTCGAGGACAAACTAGACAGAAATCCCTGCGCTCATGGCATTTACATAGTGTGTGGTAGAGTCAGTAAAAATAAATAACACAGGCACCGTGCTCAGTGGTAATGAGTGCTGTGGAGACAGAAAAGCGAGAGGCAGGGTAAATGATGTGGGACCAGGCAAGCTTGGCTCACTGGGAACACATTTGAGGAAAAACCTAAGGGAAGTGAAGGAGTGAACCATGCTGAGAACCGGGTAGGAGCTTTCCATGCAGATGGTACAGGAAGTGCAAAGGCCCTGAGACAGGAATATGCTTGGCACATCCCTGGAGGCATAGCAAGGCAGCCATCTTGGCTAGATCTGAGTGAGTGAAGGAAGGAGCCTTGGTCGGAGATGATGCCGCTGGGGGGGATTTGAGGGATACTCTGTCAGTCAGATCTCTGTTGGTCATTTGTTCCCATCTAATCCACAATATTAATCCTTTACTTTATTATTACTATTACTCTTTTTAAGTGGTTTCAGCTCCTAAGTCAAAAAGATTTCTGACAAGAACAGGGAGATAAAAATGTCAGAATAGGAAGAGTATTTGGATGCTGAGTTGCTAGAAAATGCCAAATTCCAGCCAGGTCTAGAATTTGTGGGTATAGACTTTACCCCCAAAATGCTCCAGTATTTTTCATCACACTCTTGTATTTAATGTTTTCAAGGAGAAATCTGAGACCATTCTGATTCTTTTTCTTAGTAAATGTTGCCTTTTTCATTTCTGAATGTATTTATAAGTGTCTCATTTGCTCTTTGAATTTGTTACTTTCACTAGGTCATGTAGATGCTTTAATTTTGAGTAATTTAACCTAGTATGTGGTGAGCTTTCTCAATTGTTTTAAAAGTCCTTTTTAGTTCAGGGTATTATGCCACTTGTTTCTTGGTGCATGGGGTTCTTTCACATTTATTTCATTCTCTTCAAGGTCACTAGAAATACCCATGTCTTTCTCCTTTCCTGGTTCTTTTACTACACATTCTAGAACCTCTCAGATTTATTCTCTTTGTCATTGACTTGAACTTCTCTACTGTTTCTTGTTCTGCTTAAATTCATAATGACTCTTTTAAAATTAAAGGTTACTTCTGTATTTTGGGTGTTTCTTCTTCATTTCAATCTGTCTTATTATACTGTTGATAATCTCTCATTGTTAATTCTTTAATTATCTTGAGAGTGCAAAACAGATGCTTTCTTTATATTCATTTTGCATATCTTCCGTCTCACACGACATCCCAAATTCGCTTCTATCCTCTGTATTCTAGTATAATACTAACGCTTTGGATATTTTTGGTTTTTTTTTTTCTTCTTTTTGTCTTATGTGTTGAGGAGTCATTTGCTGATTTTTTTTTAAATGTATTTATCCTTGAGTGATTTTAGGTCTGCTCTTCATTAATAGATTATCCTTATGTCTGTTTACTATTCATGTAAATGTCCTTAGCATCCTCCTGTTTAGTGTGTTGGAGGGCTGGATAGTGAGCGTCGGTGGCACCAGTTCAGTCTGGAGTGACTGAGGGGAACCCCGAGGAAACTAGAGTTGTGGACATTCTCACAGGGGGAGTTGATCACAGTGATTTTTCTCTAGGTTGGTTGAAACAAATTGATGCGCTGGAATCCAGATTTCATTATCTTGTTTTCCTTTTAACCCAGCATGGTAAACAGTATGACTGTATCCATTTTATTTAGTGTTTCTGTATGCCAAGTTTCAAAAGAAATGCTCAATTCAGTTAGTGAATCATGAAGTTTCTCTGGATTTCTATTCCATGTGTTTCTAAATACAGGGCCCTGTTGCAGACATGAGCATGAACTCACATCCAACTCTCAGCATATTAAATGGGATCTTGTGTCATTACTTCCCGCAGAATATTTTTTATGGACTTGATGCAACAGTGTAATTTTCTTGGGAAGGAGACGTTTTCATTAAGTTCTTAGTGAATGTTTTCAAGTTGGCTTCACTGGTATGTCCAGCCAAATTGTCTTGAATTTTATGGCATGCAGCAGCCAAAGTCACCTCGTTTCTTCACTAATTCAGCTTTTCTCCTTGTTTTTCACTTTTCTTTGTTTATTTCATATGAGAATGGGGAGATTTTCATAGGATGTCAACTTTAAAATACTTATTTTTCCTGGTGTAGCCAGTGTTTTCTTCATATTTATAAAATTTCTGTTAATGCATTTAAGAAATTTCTGAATTATCTATTAATACTTATGACCATATATTCTACAGATTAATTTTATATTATGTTATAATCAGTTTTGTTATAGGAAACAATATTATCAGGAGGGCAAGAAGGTTTCGGTTAGGGCAAAAGTGTGAAAAATGGTTTCTTTCAGAGGAGTTTGAGAATGGAAGGGGTTTGCACATGCTAGTGAGTTCCAGGGCATGGTGGAAGGAATTGGTCAGCAGCAGGGGAGTGGGCAGGTGGGCCAGCCTGGCAGATGTGTGGAGTAGCAGGGGATGAGGTCCAGGGATGCGGGTGCATGTGTAGAGCTTAATTTTCCTGTTGTTTGATGGAAGCTCGAAAAAGCAGTAGCCCAAAAACACTTAGAAACTCACTCGCTCTATTTCTCTCTCTCTTGCTTTTTTCTCTTTTTCTCGATCTCAATGTCAGGCACTTATTTAAAATTTTTCCTTATGGAGTCTAGTTTTATTTGGTTGAAGCCATACTTCTCTGTAATAGTAATGTCATTAAAAATTTAGGATGTTAGATGTATGTCTGAATACTTACAAATACTAAGAGTGGAATTAGAACCTCATTTAGCCTAACAAGAAGTTGCGTAAAATGGATTTTTTTTTCTTGTTTCTGACTTTTATTTTAGGACCGAGGGTGCATGTGCAGGTTTGTTACATGGGTAAATTCCATGTCACAATGTACCCATGTAAATGGTGGGGGTCATTGTAAAGATTAGTTCATCACCCAGTAATAAGCATAATACTCGATGGTAGTTACTCAAATTTTTCCTTCAAAATGTTTTTACTACAAATTCGAACTGGAAGAGCAATGCTAAGTTTACACAGAAGGAAAAAAGTTTATATGAAGGTGAACATTACTTCTTTAAGGAATGTTTTGGTGATTTCACACAGGAGTGTCTCCCTGCTATTCAGATCTCTTATTAATTTGTATCTTGTATGTTATTTCTTCTTTGCAATTTAACTTTGGTTTTTTTGTTTGTTTTGCTTAAAATATTTTATAGTGTTGGGCCATGAGGGACTGGATGGTAGAAGTTCCTTAACTGGCATCTGTTCTTACAATACTGCTTAAGAACCTCCTGGCTGCAGAAGACCTAGGGTGGGATGCTTTGTTGCCTCAGCTCTTTCAAATGTATCCCCTCTCAGAAAGTAAGAGAGAACTCTATAAAAGACATTCCCCCAAAAAGGAGGATTAACATAATCAACTGTATCCTGTGACTTCAAATGAAACTTTGGCAACGTCTGACTAGTTGTGATCATAATTATGCTCTACAACTAATCAGTCACTGAATATAGAATTTAGAATTTTCAGAGTTTCTGTATGAATCTGTTCATTACCTTAATTGAGTGAATGACTTGAAAATTAAGAGTACCTGAGCCTTGTGGAAATTGTTAAACCACTGACCAGATAATTATTATACAAGCACATATTATTCTGTGAATAGAATTTTCTTAAAGTAGATTGCAGTAATGTTAGAGAAGACACTCCCAGTGTATGGTTGTAAAAGCCATCATTTCTTTAGTGATTATTTAGTTATTTTATTTTTTTCTATTAAATATGAGCTTTCTTGGCTGTTTGGCCACAGTGTTTTCCTTTGCTTCAAAATACAGGCTTGATGAGATTTCTTTACATGGCAGGTGTTCTACATTTTTTTTCTCTCCACTTAATTGTCAGCTGTAACCTTGCCTCCATCACTCTTAATTATAGTGGCCTCTATATTTTTGAGAAGACGGAGGTTATGTGATATAAGCCCTTGTTGTTATTCTGTATATCAAAATGTCTTTCCATGGACTCTCTTCTTATTTCTGTATTTGGGGTTGAGTATCACACTGGAATTTACCTTCTGAAGACGACTTCCAACACCTGGGCTTGGATCCTGTTCCTATCAGCTTTGTCTAGAGCTACATTAATTCAGTTAAAATCATTTCTACTTGCATTTTCAAGAGATCAGGACTATGTCTCTGAGAAGTATTGAAACCAGTCTAATCCAGTCAGTTATATCAGTTGGGAATGTTTATTTCTAGTGTCTTCTTCACATGCATATATTTACTTGGTAATAATTACAATGCACATATTATTTTGATTTCTGTTTTTTACTATGCTATAAGCATTTCATGATTTTATGCAGTCTAAAATTATCTTTAGTGACTAAAAATGCCCCATTGAGTTTCTGTGTGATAATTTTTTACTTTTTCATTCTATTGGTAGATATTTAGATTGTTTTAAAATTTTCATAGACTGGTTATATTTATGTATATAGCAGTTTTATTCTTGTGAAATATTTCCTAAGGAACAATGCTAGGATCCAGGGTTACTAGGTCAAAGGACATGACTTATTTATGACACTTAACACACACTGTTAAGTTGGTTTAACTAAATTACTGTTACAGTTGAAGGTTTCATTGTAGTCCCATTAAAATAACAATTATATAACTTTTCACGTGTAAATGGTATGACACTCTTTTAATGTTTTTATTTAAAGCAAATACACATACTTCTGTATGTTAACTAATTGTATTTCCTTTTACCAGAATGCATCTCTATTTCTTCTATGTGTTATACATTCAGAAGAACTTCTCTGGTATAATGTAAATGACACTTAGATTTGAATTCCTAATTTGACATTCTAATCTGAAAGACCTTTTGAAAAACGGCTTTTTAAACCCAAATGTAAAATGGGGATAAAGTCTACCAAACCTGAGAGATATAGCCAGAATAAGATTAAAATTTATGTCCTTACAATTATTTATTAGAAAACCCAAAACAAATTTAAAAAGCACAGGGGATGAATTAATGAAATATGAGAAGAAATTAATGGAGCAAAATTTAAAATATAGACTTGATTAATAATACAAAAGATAGCTCTTTAAATAGATCAATTCCATAAAATAGATTGTCTTTGGCAATCTATTTCAGAAAAAAGAAAATATAGGCATTAGGAATGAGAAAGGGAATATTAATATGGACACCAGGGAGATTATTAATAATTAAAGAGAGAATAGCAAATACTATATACTAATGTAATTGCAAATTTATATGAAATGGCCAATGTTGAGGAAATTACAAATTATCAAAATTGAAGAAGAGTTAAGAAACCTGAATATACTGCTATAGTGAAAAAACTGAAAAAATTAGGAAAAGACCACCTAAAATGACCTGAGGCCCAAAAGCTTTTGCTGAGTAATTCCACCAAACATTAAAGAGGAGAAAATTTCTACATTATATGAAGTGTGCTAGGAAAATAACTCATCTCAAGTTATTTAAAGCTAGGAAAATAACTCATCTCAAAAGGGAGTATTATTTTTGACACAAAAATTAGTGTATTAAACAAAAGAGAAAAAAGCATTAAATTAAGAGACTGTTAACTAGTTTTATTAGCGCAAACAAAAGTTCAGAAATCCTAAGTAAATGATTTCAGCAGCGCTTTAAAATAATTTTTCATTGCCAGGGGTGATTGGCAAGTAGAAGGCTAGTGTAGTAAGTCTAATAAGAAATTGGACCAGGCTGGTGGTAATGGAGGTAGGGGAAAATGCTTGGGTTTGATAGAATTCTGCATTTATTTTGAAAGGAGGGCTAACAAGAATTATTGATTAATCCAGATATGTGATATTAAAACAGAGGGAAGAAAGGAAAGGAGGCATCAGGGTTTTGCCTGAGCCAATGGAAGGCTGGGAGGCCCTCCATGGGAGGGCCTGCAGGATGGACAGGTCAGGGTGTGTGTTCAGGGGGTGGTTCCTAACAGACAATCAGTTTTGGATGTGCTAAGTTGGAGATGCCTAATAGATTTCCAAATGGGAGATGTTAAGTAGTAAGTTGTATATATGAGACTGGAGTTTAGGTAAACGTTCTGGGTTAGAGATATAAATTTGAGATCATTAGTAATATGATGATTTAAGAACCATCCACATACAGATAGTAGCTAGAGTCATGAACCCAGATGAGATCACTTGACAGGTGAGTGTGGCTCAACCCTGGAACATAACATTTAGAAGCCTGAGACTTCTAAGGGAGGAAGAAGTAGAAAGGAAGACTGAACACAAGAGGTGGAAAGAGAATCAGGGGCATATGTTTCTTTTAAATAAAAAATTATTTAAAATAAAATAGAGCAATCAACTATGTCAAATGGTGCTGGAGTTCTAAGGGAAAGGAAGACTGAGAGCTGACCTTTGGGTTTGGCAGTGTGGGGTCATTGGTGACCTCACTGAAAGCTGTTTTCTTGGAGCAATTGGAATTTGTGAGAGAAGAGAAATTGTAGGCAGCAATAGATACAATTGTTTTATGGAGTTTTACCTGAAAAGAGAGGAGAGAAATGGGTGGTAAATATATAGGAAAGCTATAAAGAGGCAACAAAAAGCTCCGGTTTTGTTTTAGTTTTTTTCTCTTAAAATATGGGATAAATGACAGCATGTTTATATATTTGTGGAAGTGATTCAGTAGAGAGAGAAAGTTTGATGCAATGGGACAGAGAGGGGAGGATGGTCTAAACAGAGTCTTTAAGGGCTTAGAGAGGCCCTGTCAGCCTCCCAGGTCCTCCCTATTGCAGCTTTACCTGTTCCTTCACAACTAATTACCATTTACTCACTTTCCATTTCTCTTCTTTCTATATCATTTGAAAAGAGGTTTTCTAATTGATTACCAGAAAAACAAGCGTAACCAAATACAACAGAGGAAGAACTAGAAAGAAAACAATTTGTAAGAGGTAATACTTTTCTATGAATGAGTAGAAAATCTGGCTTTTAATTTTTAATCAGGTGAAGTATAAACCAAAGTTGACTTACTTATCCTCTAAGGGAAAGGCACCAATCAGTCTTTTTCAGGACAAAGTTTTTAATACTGGATTTTATGAAAATGCAAATAAGTTTATATATCTGATTTACAGCAATTTTCAATAAGTTTCAAAGGCATAATATTATAATGTGGTTCAGTGTTCAAAAAGTGCAGTTGACCGTACAGAAGGCTGGATTAGATCAGACATAAGTTAGAATTACGTGGAGTCAGTTCTCGTTACCTGTCGCTATGGTTTGTGTATGGTTTGTTTGGCCCTAACAAGTCTCCTGTTGAAACTCCACTGCCTCCCTTGCTTCCTCTCTGGTCATGTGATATCTGCACACACTGGTTCCCCTTTGCTTCCTCCAGGAGTGGAAGCAGCCTGAAGCCCTCACCAGCAGATCCGTGAGCCAAATAAGCCTTTTGTATTTATAAATTACGTAGCCTCAGGTATTCCTTTGTAGCAGCAAACATGGACTAAACACCAATGCCCTCACTCACTGCAGCTGAAAACCACAGGGCTAAAGTGATGGGACCCAAGGGTGGAACGGAAAGCACAAGGAGGAGTGGACAGAAAGCCTGTCTCTTTACAGCACCCTAAGTAGAATTTTCTTAAAGCCAGGCTTTGGCTAAGTGGTGGGCTTTGAATGGTCCAAAATGATACTTATAAACAAATACCTGGAGTGCAGGCAGGTATCCTATCTTGTTGATCATCAACACAGGATTTAGAAGCCAGAGGAACCAGTTGACAGATACAGTGTTCCAGTAAGGTAAAGTGAAATTCTGACATCTTGGATTTTGAAAATCAAAGAGCCCAATAAGAATTTCTCACCCAGATGGAAAACCACTCATTCTTGATGATAACTTCTCACCCAGATGGAAAACCACTCATTCTTCATGAAGAAGAACCCCACAGGAAGACTGCAAGAAAAGTCCGTATTCATCTTATTACACAAGTTGAAATATCTTCTTCAGGCATTCAAATTTATGTTTTGTGAAAACCGGAGAGAAAAATTCTTCGCATAAATTACGGATTGGTTGTTTTAAGCTAAATTTCTTTTCAGGAACTTTGCTGCTCCTTATGAACTACAGCCATAGCAACCTCAGAAACCCGTGTGGAGCGTCACTCCTAAGCATGTTGGCTTCCTGAGCATATTAGTGTAAAACACTTCTCTACCTAATTGAATACAACACCCTGCTATATGGAAATAGTTCCTACTGACCCCTTAAATACTAGGAAATGCTTGCTAAAGACAGTGATCTGTTTGTACTTAAGGCAAAACCCATAATCTTAACAACAGATTACAGACGCGAACCGTTTGTCTTTTAAAGTCTGTTCCCGATTCCATAATAATAAAGTGATGCAGATGATACATAGAAGATGCATATCTTATTACTCACTATGCTAGTAGGCAAGGAGTCATTTTATCTAAAAAATGATATCAAGTGATTATGATAAAAATGTTAAAAGTGGGAACTAAACACATTCCTCTTTCGCAAGACCTTAAATTACCACCTGTTTTGCCACACCATTCTTGGCAGCCACAAGTCTATGCTAGACTGTAGATTTTGCAAACTGCTGCAACAGAGGAGCTGTTTTAGGCCCATAAAGATGGGTGGTCCCAGTCCATAAATTCAAGGGCCGTTTAAAGGTTGTTTGGGGAGCATTTCTTCATTGTGTAAAAAAGAATATAATAACAATCCAGTAATGGAGTAGCTATGCATAAAATCCAATCACACCTAGATTGTGGTTTGTTAAAGATGGCAACAAAGGCATCAGATACTTTTTTGGTCATAAGTGTTTTCACAAGTTGATAATTTCTTGTTTATCTGTTCCCCTCCCCCAATAGGATTTAAACTCCATGAGAATAGTAGCCTCATCTGATAATGCTTGACACACTGCTAAATAAATATTTGTTAAAAACCTTACATATAATCATACCTAGAAGGTATTGTGGGTTCAGTTTCAGACTGTTCCAATAAAGCAAATATCACCATAAAGTGAGTCACAAGAATTTTTTGGTTTCTCAGCGCATATAAAGTTATGTTTATACTATACTGTAGCCTGTAAATTGTGTAATAGCATCATGTCTAAAAATGCAATGTGCATTCACTAATTAAAAATAATGCCCAGGTGCAGTGGCTCACGCCTGTAATCCCAGCGCTTTTGGAGGCTGAGGCGGGCGGATCACGAGGTCAGGAGTTCAAGACCAGCCTGACCAACATGGTGAAACCCCATCTCTACTAAAAAAAAAAAAAATAAAAAAAAATTAGCCTAGCATGGTGGTAGGCACCTGCAATCCCTGCTACTCAGGAGGCTGAGGCAGGAGAATCGCTTGAACCTGGGAGGCAGAGGTTGCAGTGAGCCGAGACTGTGCCACTGCACTCCAGCTTAGGCAACAGAGTGAGACTCTGTCTCAAAAAACAAAATAAATAAAATTATGTATGGCTTTATTGCTAAAAAATGCTAAAGATTATCTGAGCTGTCGGCAAGTTGTAATCTTTTTGCTGGGGGAGATTCTTGCCTAGATGTAGATGGCTTCTGATGTATCAGCATTGTGGTTGCTGAAGGTTGGGGTGGCTGTGGCAATTTTTAAAAATAAGGCAAAAATAAAGTTTGCCACATCAGCCGACTCTTCCTTTCATAGAAGATTTCTCTGCAGCATGCAACGCTGTTTGAAAGTATTTTTGCCCACAGTAGAACATTGGGGTTCATCCTTTCAAACCCTGTCTCTGCCTTATCAACTAAGTTTATAGAATATTCTAAATCCTTTGTCATCATGTCAACAAATGTTCATAGCATCTTCACTAGGCATAGAAAGTGGGATTGCAGGCATGAGCCACCACACCTGGCCAAGGATTAATATTTTGAAAGGAATTTTTTTTGGAGCAGTAGCTTTCAACAGTGGGCTTAAAATGTTCAGCAAACTATGCCAAAAACAGATGTGATGTCCTTGTGCCTTTGTTCTTGCATTTCTAGAACACAGGCAGAGTCAATTTAGCATAATTCTTATGGGCCCTAGAATTTTTGCAGTGGTCACTGAGCCTTAGATTCAACTTAAAGTCATCAGCAGCATTTGTCACTAATAAGGGAGTCACCTGTTCTTTGAAACTTTGAAGCCAGACATTGATTTCTCCTCCAGTTATAAGGGTCCTAGATGACACCTCAGTGTTGTAAGAATGTTTCGTCTGCTTTGAAAATCCACTCTCTAGGATAGCCACTTTCATCCATTATCTTAGCTAGATATTTTGGATAACTTGCTGCAGCTTCTCCATCAGTACTTGCTGCTTCACATTGCACTTCTCTGTTATGAAGATGGCTTCTTTCTTTAAACCTCATGAAGTAACCTCTACTAGCTTCAAACTTTTCTTCTGCAGCTTTCCCACATCTCTCAGTCTTCTAATTGAAGGGAGCTAGGGCTCTGGATTACACTTTGCTGTAAGGGAATATTGTAGTTGGTTTGATCTTCTATCCAGACAACCAAATCTTTCTCCATATTAGCAATAAGGCTGTTTCTTCTTATTATTCATATGTTCTTTAGATTAGCACTTTTAATTTCCTTCAAGAACTTTTTCTTTGCGTTCACAACTTCACTAACTGGAGCAAGAGACCCAGTTCTCAGCCTGTCTTGGCTTTTGACGTGTCTTCCTCACTAGGTTTACTTATTTCTAGTTTTTGATTTAAAGTGAAACACATGTGACTCTTTCTTTCACTTGAACACTTGGAGATCATTGTAGAGTTATTAATTGGTTTGTCTAATTTCAACATTGTTTTGTCTCAGGATTAGGGAGGTTCAAGGAGAGGAGGGGAGATGGGAGAATAGTTACAGATGATTAAATATCACTGACTGTAGATCACCTTAACAGGTACAATAATAATGAAAAAGTTTTGAAATACAGTGAGAATTACAAAATGTGACATAGAGACATGAAGTGAACACAGGCTGTTGGAAAAGTGGCGCTGATGGAATTTTTTGATGCAGGGTTGCCACGCACCTTCCATTTGTAAAACATGCAATATCTACAAAGAGCAGTAAAGCAAAGCACAATCAAAATGACGTATGCCTGTGCTGACATTCAGAAATACATCTGTTGGGTAAAGTACTTAAACTACATCTTTTCTTTCCCTTAATTTTCTCATTATTCAGCTGCCCTTGAATGCTTAATCCTTTTCTACTAGCAATCTTAAACTTAAAAAATGTTTGCTGTATCAGTCAGTGATTTAATACTATTTTATCTCAAGGATCCCTTTTCGCTAAACTTGTTAGTGTGAAAAGCCCTTTTCATCTTGTGAACCTTTTTGTCCTAAATGAGATTCATTAATTTATAAAAAGCCCTTTGAAAATTATAATGTTCTTTTGGAATATTAGTTTTTATTATTTCTGTTTTATTGAACTGAGCTAATGATGTGTTTTCAAATTAGTGCCTTGTTGATTTGCAGAATCCCTGCCTGTGTGCTTTCTACTTCGACATGAATTCATTGTCCAGGGACAGTCCTGATAATCAGCCATGATCGTTCTGTCCTCATGCCCTGCTTGTTCCTCTGCTACCCTCTCTTTTAGTACTTCCTCCTGCAGTTTCTGTCATCTGTGCTAGCATTCTTTAAGATGCATTCTCTAAACTTCGGAACTATGCTACTCCTAAATCATACCTGATATGGTTTGGCTTTGTGTCCCCACCCAAATCTCACCTTGAATTGTAATAATCCCCATGTGTCAAGCACTTGACCAGATGGAGATAATTGAATCATGGGGGCGATTTCCCCCTATTCTCATGATAGTGAGTGAGTTTTCACAAGATTTGATGGCTTTATAAGGGGCTTCCCCCTTTGCTCAGGACTCATTCTCTCTCCTGCCGCTCTGTGACGTGGTACCTTCCACTATGATTGTAAGTTTCCTGAGGCCTCTCTAGTCATGTGGAACTATAAGTCAACTAAACCTCTTTTCTTTATAAATTAGCTAGTCTTGGGTATGTCTTCATAGCAGCGTGAGAAGGAACTAATACAGTGCCTTGTTTACTCTCTTGTAATCCTTTGAAACAGCTCTGTGTAGCATTTCTTCTGTGCTCAGTTACACTGTAGAACAAGTGAAGGTGGCTGCTTTTTCTCTTTTCCCCATAGTGCTAGGATAGACTCAGGGTGAATATCTACTGGCCCTTTATATGCTGTTTAGGATTTTAAAATTTTTTAAAGTAAGCATTTGCAAAGAATCAGTGGCCTCCTCTGTGTTACCCCCAAGCTTTTCCACCTATACCTGTGTAGCTCGCAGATTTCCTTCATGGGTCATTATAGTTGCTCATTACAGAATGGTTAGATTTTTAGCCTGTGCCATTTGTGTGATATAGATCACCTTTATTTTTAACAACTTTTTCTTTAAAATGCCTAAATCATTTTGATAACTCAATTCTTAAGAATATAAAGCACTGAAAAAAGGGGGGTAACTTCTTGTAAAGTTAAACATACATTTATCTTGCAATCCAGGAATTTTACTCTGAATTTGCTAAAGGTAATTGAAAACCTGTGTTCACAAAAAGACTTCCATAAGAATGTTCATAGCAGGCTTTATTCATAATAGCTCAAAACTGGAAACAAACATCCCAAATGTCCAGCAATAGTATGGCAGATAAACAAGTTGTAGTACATTAATACAATGGAATGTTACCAGTAATGGAAAGGAACACACTACTGAAACACATAGTACCATGGCTGGTTTGCCCTGACATCCTGTTGAGCCAATGTAGTAGGTTCAAAAGAGTACATATTGTATGATTCCATTTACAAATAATTCCAAAAGCTGGCAAAACTAATCTATGGTGGGAAAAGTCAAAAAGAGTGGCTGTTTTGAGGACAGGGATTGATTAGAAAGGACTATGGGAGGGAGTTTATGAAGAGTTGAAATGTTCTTTCTTGGTAGGATGTATGTTACAAGGATTTATGCACTAGTACCATTAAGATTTGTATATTTCAGTGTCTGTAAATTTTACCTAAAAAACTAAAAAATATTAACATCTAGTTAATACATTTACTATTTGAAGTGGTATGGCTTAGCAATTCTAAAACTACCTCTGTGTATTCTAGACTTGAGAAAATATATAAGTATGTTAAGGATATTGACAGCCAGATTTCACATGTTGGGTGAGGTAATTACAAATATGGAAATAGGAAATAGTGGAATGTATACTGTAGTGTTTGGTTGGAACCGGAGGTATCAGAATGAGTCATGGTTTTTCATCTCTCCTAATATATGTATATGTAAGTAGACAAATACATGCAGAATGACAATTATCAGCTTACACATACCTATGTGTGTGTTTGTGTGTGTATGTGTGTGTATGTATATGCCGAGACCAGCTCGGTTGGGGAGACCCTAACCCAGCAGCGCTAGAGGAATTAAAGACACACACAAAGAAATATGGAGGTGTGAAGTGGGAAATCAGGGGTCTCACAGCCTTCAGAGCTGAGATCCCCGAACAGAGATTTACCCACATATTTATTAACAGCAAGCCAGTCATTAGCATTGTTTCTATAGATATTAAATTAACTAAAAGTATCCCTTATGGGAAACGAAGGGATGGACCTAATTAAAGGAATAGGTTGGGCTAATTTTCTGCAGCAGGAGCATGTCCTTAAGGCACAGATCACTCATGCTATTGTTTGTGGCTTAAGAATGCCTTTAAGTGGTTTTCCGCCCTGGGCGGGCCAGGTATTCCTTGCCCTCATTCCGGTAAACCCACAACCTCCCAGTGTGGGCTTTATGGCCATGAACATGTCACAGTGCTGCTGCAGAGATTTTGTTTATGGCCAGTTTTGGGGCCAGTTTATGGCCAGATTTTTGGGGGGGGCTTATTCCCAACATGTCCCCCTTCTTTGATTTGCAAATCGATAAAAGCAAAGGCAGCTTTGTGACGGTCAGCTACTTCTCGCAGGAGTCAGGATCCACATCTGCAGACTATACAAACAACACAGATTTATGAAAGCACAATCATCATTGAAATTACAAAGCTTCCAAGTGTTTTTATCCATATTAATGGGTTACTAGCTGCTAATTTGTCTGCAGCTCCTTTAAGCACTCCAGTTCCTTGCATTAAGCTCAGGCGTGCCTGGGATGCTTTAAATATTTGTTCTTTTAATTTTGCTGTATCCAAAAACCAGTTTGTAGATTGTCCTTCTAGAAGCTTTTTTATTCTTTCCCAAATTTTGATCTTACTAAGAGCTATTAATAGTTTCCACAAATCCTTATGTTTAGCTCCTACAATGAGCCATATCATTTGAGGTTGAGGTGCCACTATACCACCATGGTTCCAGATAATAGGAACTTTTGCTGTATTTTTTGCCATTTCTACCGTCTGACTGTTTTGTTCAGATCAGCTGAACGTAGTGTGGCTGTGGCTCGCAGACTGAGAGGTGCAATTCAAGCTAAACATCCCCTTAGGGGACCAATTAGTAATGATTCCATAGGAATCGTTGTGCAGCACCTCTGCCTGTTCTGCAATGCAATCTTACTAAACAAGTATGTTCATTTTTTCTAACTGGGTCCAATCCTGTTTACAAAAAGGTTTTTGAGGGTGGTATGCCTCAATTATAGTAGCAGATTTATTATGGTAAATACTGAGATCAGAAAGCATGTGTAACTGTGTTATAGAGTGATTGCATCTAGGCATTATTGCCAGCCAAGATTGATAAATATGCCCAATAAGTATAATTGTTCTCTGTGTCAGCCCTTGCTGAAGGAATACTCATGGCAGTGGTGATCACTGCTATCATAGCTACCATTAAATTACTCATTGTGACTGGTTGTACTGCTTTCCTCAGGTTTTCTTCTGCCATCTGTGACAGCTTCTTGATCTGTCCCCATGTGGGTGGCTGTGTTTGACGGGTGTTGCTCGTGACAGTTGGGGACCTCCTCAGCGTCAGTCTCGACATGGCTGCAACTAGGGGGTCCTCGGGATCCTCCCAGAATCTCTTCCTCGGCATCTGGCTCATGATAAGGTTTTAGGTGTCTTGATGGCATCCAAATCGGCTGTTGATTTGGTCCTGGAGAAGCACAAGCATAACCTTTACCCCAAGTTATTTTACCTATTTCCCAACGTTTTGTTATTGGATCTCTCCACCAAATCGGTTGTTCTGCTTCTGTCTTTGCATCTGGTTTCTGTAGATACTGTTCAGGTGCTGATAACATCTGGCCTTTGGACAGGCTCAAAAAATTTAAAGTTAATAATGCTAGATTCAATTGCATCTGTGGGGTTCCATATTCTCTATTTCCCCCTTTTGCAACTGCTGTTTTAGAAAAAGATTCATTCTTTCCATTATGACTTGTCCTTGAGAATTGTATGGGATACCAGTAATGTGTTTAATATTCCACATAGAGAAAAATGTAACTAGAGCTTGGCTAGTATAGCCTGGGGCATTATCTGTTTTAATAGAAGCTGGAATACCCATCACTGCAAAACACTGCAAAAGGTGACATTTAACACAGGCAGAAGACTCTCCTGATTGGCCTGTAGCCCAAAGTGAGAAAAGATATCCACACATACATGTACATAAGCTAGTCTCCCAAACGAGGGAACATGTGTGACATCCATTTGCTAAAGAAGAGTTAGGTTCCAGTCCTTGAGGATTAACTCCTCCTGTAAAAGATGAGGAATATACCATTTGGCAAGTTGGGCATCGTTGGATAATATTTTTAGCTTCTTTCCAGGTAGTGCTGTATCTGCGTTTGAGGCCAGAGGCATTAACATGGGTTAAATTGTGAAAGTGTCTAGCATTAGATATTGCATTAGCAACTAGGTGATCGGCCATTTGATTCCCTTCAGTCAAAGGTCCTGGAAGAGGTACATGAGCCCTAATGTGAGTGATGTAAAAAGGGTGCATTCTACTTCTAACTGCTGTTTGCAATTGGGTAAATAAAGTCATCAGTTGTTCATCTGTATGAAATCGTAACTGAGCATTTTCAATTAACTGTGCGGAATGAACCATGTATGAAGAATCAGAAATCACATTAATTGACATATCAAAAGCAGTCAATACCTCAATTACAGCTACAAGCTCTGCTTTTTGAGCTGAAGTATAGGGCGTCTGGAAAACTTTACTTTTCGAGCCAGAATAAGAAGCTTTTCCATTACTAGATCCATCTGTAAAACAATGAAAACGCTTAGCAGGCTGCAGGTTGTTTACTGCAGGAATTGTAAATGCAAGCCATTTACAGTCTTGCTCAGCTAAAGGGATAGCAAACAAACAGTCTTTTAAATCTATGACTAATTATTAAAGGCCAATTTTTTGGAATTGTAGCAGGAGAAGGCAGTCCTGGCTGTAATGCTCCCATAGGTTGTATAACTGAATTGATAGCTCTTAAGTCAGTTAACATTCTCCATTTACCTGATTTTTTCTTAATTATGAAAACTAGAGAATTCCAAGGGGAAATGTTGGAGCTCTGTGCCCATTTTCTAATTGTTCAGTAACTAATTTATCTAAAGCCTCCAGTTCCTCTTTACTTAGTGGCCATTGTTCTATCCAAATTGGCTTATCTGTTAACCATTTTAAAGGTATAGGTTCTGGAGGCTTAACAACGGCCGCCATCAAAAATTATTTCCTAATTTTTGGCAGGAACTTTGTTTTTCCACTTGAAGCGGTTTTTTCAAACCTTGCAAATTTTTTTTTAGTCCCATACCAGGGACATACCTCGTTTCATGCATTGTATGTTGATTCTGAGGGCTATATAATTGTTCTGGAATTAGAACTTGTGCTCCCCATTGTTGTAATAAATCTCTTCCCCATAAATTTATAGGTGCAGAAGTTATAATTGGTTGAATAGTCCCAGGTTGTCCATCGGGCCCTTCACTATGCAAAATATAGCTACTTTTATATATTTCAGGGGCTTTACCAACTCCAACTATGTTAAATTGAGCGGGTTGAATTGGCCAATCGGACGGCCAGTGCTGTAGAGAAATGATGGAAATGTCTGCTCCTGTATCTACCAAACCTTTAAATTTCTTTCCCTGAATAGTTATTTCACAAGTAGGACGTTTATCAGCAATTTGATTTACCCAATAAGCTGCTTTGCCTTGTTTGTTTGTGCTTCCAAATCCTCCTGTTCATTTAATTTCACTTTTTCCCATTCCCACATATGGCACAATCAGGAGCTGTGCTTTGTGCTTCCCTGGCTCTGCTTTCCAGGGAACAAAAGTAGATAAAACAACTTGAATTTCCCCATTGTAATCTGAATCAATGACTCCTGTATGTATTTGTACCTGTTTTAAACTTAAACTAGACTTTCCTAAAAGTAATCCTATTGTACCCGCTGGCAAGGGTCCACAGGCTCCTGTTGGGACCTTTTGTGGGGGTTCCCCAGGCAGAAGGCTCGCAGCTTTTCTGCAGCATAAATCTACTGCGGCACTACCGGCTGTGGCAGGAGACAGACATTGTACAGGGGTGAGGGAATGGCCTGAGCTGGAAATGCCCCGGTTTAGAATGGGGCCCGGGACGGGTCCCTCATGGCATTTCCCAAAATCGGGTTCCCATTTTTATCAAACTTAGAGTGACACTGAGTAGCCCATTGTTTTCCTTTTTTACATTTTGGACATATTTCAGGCTCAGCAGTTTTCTTTTTTCCCCTATCTGGCGGCCTGACTCGCTGATTTTTTTCTACATTCTTTTTTAGTATGAGCATGCTTCCCACAGTTAAAGCAAGCTCCAGGAAACGTAGTATTTCCTTTATCCACTCTCAGTCCTGCCATTGCCTGTGCTAGCAGAGTAGCTTTATGCAGATTACCTCCGATACCATCACAGGCCTTGATATAATCAACTAAGTGTGCTTTCCCTCTGATAGGTCACAGAGCAGCCTGGCAATGAGGATTAGCATTGTCAAAAGCTAATAACTGCAGTACTATATCCTGAGCAGCCAAATCTGCAATCATTATCTATATTATATATATATATATATCTATCATTATCTATCTATCTGTCTGTCTGTCTGTCTGTCTGTCTGTCTGTCTGTCTATCTATCTATCTATCTATCTATCTATCTATCTAATGCATTAGAAGCATTGACAGCAGTGTGATATAGCTTCAACTCTTGGATTTTAAATGCCATTTTCTACTAAGGGGAACTGGGATTTCTTTGAATTAGAAATGGCTGATTCAAGGGCTGGCAAAGTATGTGACAAAAAGGTAAGGAAGTGTTGAAGGAATCATTAGGACGTGTGAAAAGCATATAGGAGCTATCTTGAAGGGGTTTCTGCTTGCCAAATCTGGGCCAACTTGAGCATCAAATTAAATGACAGTAATAGCGGATCAAGATAAGTCTTTGATCTCATGTTCACATGGAGGAAGTCAGGGAGGCAGCCAGGCATGCTCACTCTTCTTCGGATTATGGCTTTCTAGCTTCATCACTTCATTGTTTCGCTGAAAATAATTCTGAACCTCAATCTGATATTTAGAAAACATCAGACAAATCAAAATTGGCCTATATTCTTCAAAAGTATCAAGTTCAGGAAACACAAGACGGGCTGAGGGAACTGTTGTACGTTGAAAGATGCTGAAGAAATGTGATGCCTAAATAGCATATGTGATCTGGGATTTGAACTTAGACGGGTGGGGGGTCATAATCCTTTATAGGACATTTTTGGGACAACAGGTGAACTGTGAATGTGGGTTTTTATTTAGCTAATATTGCTGTAGAAACGTTAAATTTTCTGATCATGGTAACTGTATTTAACTTGTAAGGGAATGTTCTTTTACTTGGGAAATGCACACTGAAGTGTCTAGGAATAAAGGGGCACACCAACTTGCTCTTAAAATATTAAAACATATTTATAAAACGTGTGTGTGTGTGTGAGTGTGTGTGTGTGTGCGTGCGCCTGTCCATGTGTGGAGAGAAAGATTGATAGATACAATTTACTGATAGAATGCTAAGGCAAATAAGAAAAATGGAATTACTGGTAAACCTTAGTGTCCTGGTTTAGCTGCTGTCACAAAGTCCCATAGACTGGTGGCGTAATAAACATCAGAAATTACAACTCTGGAAGCTGTGAAGTTCAAGATCAAGGTGATGGCACATTCGGGGTCTGCTGAGGACCCTCTTCCTGATAAAAGGCAGCTGTCTTCTTGCCGTGTCCTCACAGGGTGGAAGTGTCCTGTCCCTAATCCCATTCATGAGGGCTCTATTCTCCTGACCTAATCACTCCCCTGAAGCTCCCACCTCCTGATTGCATCACAGTGGGGGTTAAGATTTCAGCGTAGGAATTTTAGGGGGAGACAGAGATACAGTCTATAGCTCTGGGTAAAAGGTATACAAGGTGTTTCTTGTACTATTCTTGTAATATCGAAATTTTTCTGTAAGATCGAAATTATGTCAAAATAAAACATTATAAACAATATAAAAAGGAACAAAGGAATAATATAAAAAATGATGAGAAGATATTTTTCCAATATTGAAGTTTATATTAGAAACTGAGGAGCTCCTTTTTATGCTGTTAAATATTTATCCAATTTAACATTTGTCTCATTATGGCTTCTTGTTTATTGTTGGCCTTCTGGATATGTTGGTGCCACCTCATACAATCACAGACTCTCGGGACTAACAGAGGTCACAGTTTCCATGTGATTACTGAATTGCCTCTAAACTTTTTTGGCTAAGTAGCTGTCTAATGCATGTTTACATAACTAATTCATTTTAGCAGTCATGGGAACATTTGTCCTCCCGGTGAAACTAGCTTTTACTTTTCTTTCTGAACCAACAATTAACACTGATTTGTTCATTACCATTTTATTTTGTAAAATATTATTTCCCCCTAGGCAAGAGAGTGGCTTTCCCCTGGTTCCCAAACTGTGTTCCAAATGCCCTGAGGCACCACAGCAAATGTACAAGAGTAACTCAGGATATATTAAAATGTCATGGGAAACACAGTGGCATATGTTGGACAGAACCTGATGTAGCTTGACGTATGTTATATATATACATATATATACATATAGCTTGACAATGTTAGCTTGACATAGTTCAGTTTTAATATTAGATCACTACAGTTCTATCGTTCAGGTCTTATCTTTGTGAAGCTGTGTTTTTGGTGGTTGCTCAAATAAAACGCAAGTACTACATGAAATCAGCGTGGAACAGAATATGAAGATGGTGGTATCCAATTTGATTTGGGAAAAATGTGTAGCTCCCAGCTTAACTCTACTTTGGAATTTTAACTCGTCTCGAATTACGAATGCTGCAGTGATGCCCAGTATAAACTTGTTGTAGTTTCTCTTAGGAAAGTCATGAAGGGACTTTATGAAGTTAAAAATGCTGTAAAAATACAAGTTCTTAACATCTTTATTAGTATACTTATTGTAATTGTTATTAGTCAAGCCATAGAATTCATGTTTATTCAGTTAAATAGAAATTGATTCCTTTATCATGGGGTTTCCATAGAAGTGTCTTACAAGTATGTGATTTGACATTCACGTAATTTGTCTCCTCAGCTTTGCCTTTCATAACAGTCCTGATAAACAACAGAATGACCAGAAGGCTAACAACCAAATAACAATTTTGCTTATTCTTGTAGTACATTTGCATGTAATTTTACATTTTACAGTATATTATGGTTTGAGTGATTTGTTAACTATGTAGATAGACCTTTAATATTTGAGTTAATATGTCAATATAGAAATTATAGTAAAAACATTTTGCTGTCATAATACTTTTGCAGTTATAATGAGCAACAAAAGGAAACAGGATGTGCTAACATTCTATTAGATGAAATATTAGAATTTGAAGCTTAATATAAACAAGAAAAAATTTTAAAACCTAGGTCATAGCTTATCTCAGAAATTTAGTCTTGGAAAGGGAAAGCATTTTACAGACAGTATAATTCAGCCTTCTTATTATACAAATGAGAAAACTAAAGCCCAGAGACGTGAAATGAAACCTCATGATAAACTGTCCACATCCCAGCATGTCTTCTTGTTCTCACTTATTTGTAACAACCCATTTCCTGTCCAAAAGAGATGGAGAACAGCTGGTTATTGATCTCAGCACTGCACACAGGTCATTATTAAAGAGCCTGTTCTCAGAATTATATGCTAAGAGGAAGGAGTCAGCCGTGTATCATTTGTGTGGAGCCTGAATGACTGAAAACTCCCCTTAAGCTGGCTAATGCTTCTTTCTTCCACGTGGAAAATGAAGAATTCAGAGAATGTATTGGTTTATTTAAAAGAAATATCTAGTGATTTTTACACATGAAGCTTTTGCTTGGCTGGATCTAGGTGTTCAAAGTTGATAGACTTAGGTCTCTCACTATTGTTTGGCTCAGCTTTCTTTTAGGCTAGCTTCATTCTCATAGAAGCTCCTTTTAAAGACTGTGGGGTAAAGAAAATACAGAACTAGTGGTTGGAATAAGTGGAATAAGTAAGGAAGAGAGAGGGTATGATAGAGTAGCATATTTTATCTGAAGTTATTCAGAACTTGAAATAGCTCGAATAGGATCTGGTTACAGATGATAAAGAAAATAACCTAAGTTTTGGTGACCTCAAACAATGCTGTCATATTTTAGAGTCATTAGAATTTCAAGTGTTCATGATTTTTATGTAAATTCTGTAATTATGTAAATACCTATCAACAGGTACTTGGGTAAGAACAAGACTTGGACAAAAATCTGGAGCTAGAAAATAACTGAGAAGTTTTGGCTGTTAAGATTACATTTTAGCAATAAAAAGTCACAAAACTGAGTTGGAGACCAATGACTTACTATGGTCAAGTGTGCAACAAAGCAAGTAGGGCCCACAAGGCTAATGGGAGGGGGAATCAGCCCTTAGAAATGTTAGGCACCGCCCAGGAAGGCAGCAGACCTGAGAAGGGAATACACACAACCTAAGAGAACCTCTTCTACAGCCGAGGCTCTCAGTGCTTGGGAAGAGAGCAGGGAGTGGCTACCACAGGTAAAAGCCTAATAGTAGCAGTTAGTAGTTTTTGAAGTTTGAAATGCAGCCTAAGAATTGCTTGGCAGGTTTCTATTTTGCCGCTTTTGGTCATAGTAATTAATTGATTTATCCTGTTCTCTTTACTTGGGAAGCTCTTCCCTCAGATTTCTCCAAGTCTCACTTCTTCTGTCCCTTCCTACGTGGGGATCCTTCAGTGCGGAGTTCTGTCTGCTGCTGAGTATGTCTGTTCCAGAAGTGTATTCCCAAACTGCAGTCACCAGAGGGTGTGTTGGAGACCCCAGTGTGGCTCATTTTTGAGACAAACCTTGAGCTAAAACTTCATTGATCACCTGATCTCCATGAACCCCTTTTGATTGGTACTCCTCAGTGGAGTTTGGGTCTCTTAATAGTTAGTGCTGCATTCCAGCCTGGGCAACAGAGCTAGACCCTGTCTCAAGATAATAATAATAATAAAGAATTAATGTCAGGGTGGAGCTGACGTCCAGTAGTCCCCCAAATCTAGTAATTCTGCCTGCCCCCGTGATATTCAGTCACCCAGGCAAATGGCTGCCGACCTCTTTGGGAAAGGCAGGAGGAAGATCTGTGCTATACATTTTTGGTGGCATAGTAGGATTCTTCTCCAAGGGGACCTGCTTTCTCTTTCCTTATTTAAGGAGTTCTGGGCCTGTGAATTGGCTCATGTCTGGGAATTCAGTGAAATATTCTGACTTTCTCTTGTGGTCATCAAGTCAGATTTTTGTTCATTTAAGCCACAACTTTTCTGTTTAGACAAATGAAAAAAAATATGTCAATAGTCTGCGCCGTTCAGTTCCAGGGACACTGTTATCTTTGTTTTGTGTTGCTATACCGGAATACTACAGACTAGGAAATTTATAAATAAAATAAATTTATTTCTTACAGTTCTGGAGACAGAGAAGCCCAAGGTCAAGGTGCCTGCATCTGGCAAGGACCTTCCTGCTGCATCATCCCATGGCAGAAGGTGGAAGGGCAAGAGATCACGCTTTAGAGAGAGAGGAAGGTGGCCAAACTCATCCTTTTATTCAGAAACCCACTGCTGAGATAACTAATTCACTCCCCCAGTAATGGTATTAACCTATTTATGAAGACGGGGCCATCATGACCTAATCATCTCTTAAGGTCCCACCTCTCCGTACTGTTGCGTTGGGGATCAAATTTTTAACGCAAACTTTGGGAGGTACATTTAAACCATAGCACTCCACCCCTGGCCACCAAAATTCATGTCCTTTTAACATGTAGTGTACACATTTCAGTGGCCTCAAAGTTCTTAAGTTGTACAGCATCAGTCCAGGGTCTCATCTAAATCAGGTATGAGTGAGACTCAAGGGACAATTCGTCCTGAAACAAACCTTCTTCAGCTTTGAGCCTGTGAAATCAAAACAAGTCATCTACTTCCAAAATTCAGTGGTAGAAGAGGCATAGGATTGATATTCCCATTCCAAAAAGGAGAAATAGACAAGAAAGGGGGTAACTGGTCCCAAAAGTCCAAAACTCAACAGAGGAAACAACATTAAGTTTTAAAGCTGGAGAATAATCTTCTTTGACTCAATTTGTCCCATTCTGGGCACACTGGAGTTGGGGTTAGGCTCCCTAGGCCTTGAGTATCCTTGCCCTTATGATTTTTGCTGGGGCCAGCCCACACTTCAGCTCTCACAGGTTGGTGTCTCATGCCTGAGCTTCTCCAGAGTTGTGGAGTTGGTAACTCTACATTTTGGAGTCTCTGAGATGGCCTTGCTCCCAGGGCTTCTCTAGGTATTGGCCTACTGGGGGCTGTCTGTGCGGGCTCCACTGCTGTAACAAGTTTGTCCGTGGGCCCCAGGCTGACTACTACATCCTTTGAAATCTAGGTAGAGGCTGCTGTGGCACCACAGCTCATGAAGCCTGCAAGTTTGCAGTTAGTATTATGTGGATACCACTATGACTTACTGTTTGTGCCCTCTGAAGGTGTGGCAGGAGCTGCACTTGAACTCACTTGAACCGTGGCTGGGGCTCACATTGTGAAGGAATGCAGGGAGTAGAGTCCTTAAGTTGCCTGGGCAGCAAAAGCTGAGGTTCCATGGACACCTTCTGGAAACCTTGCCCTCAAGGCCCTGCTCTGAGCCTGTGGTGGGAGGGATGGCCTCCAAGATCTCTGAAGCAGCTTTATGGTCTTTCTCCCATTGTCTTGATGAATAGCACCCTGCTACTTTCTGTCTCTACTTAGGTTTTTAGAAAATGGTCAGTTGCCCATAAACCCTTGGTTTGTTCTGCTAAACATGTCTTTTCACACTTAACGTATCTAGGCTGCAAATTTTCCAAATCTTTCCATTCTGCTTCCCTTTTAATTACAAATTCCACCTTTAATTTCTCTCTACTCACATCTTACTATGTGCAGTTAAGAGTAGTCATGAAGATCCTTCATTATTTTGCTTAGAAATTTCTGCCACCAGATACTTGAGTTCATTGCCCTTAAGTTCTGCTTTCTATATAGCCCTGGGACATGGCTACAGATCAGTCAAGTTCTTTGTGACTTCATAAGGATGGCTTTTACTCCAGTTGCGAGTATCTTGTTCATTTCCATCTGATACCTCATCAGAATAGCCTTTATTGTCCATGTTTCTATCAGTATTCTGATTGTGACCACTTAAGTAATTCCTAAGAAAGGTAAAGCCCTTCCTACAGCTGTTTTTTTTTTTTCTAAACCCTCACCAGAATTTCCCTTGATGCTTCCTTTATTGCAGTCTAGGTTCTTTACAGCCATTTCCTTCAAGTTCTTTTGTCCTCTACTCATTTCCCAGTTCCAAAGCTGCTTCCACATTTTTAGATATTTGTTATTGCCACAGCCCCACTTCCTGGTACCAGTTTTCTGTTTTAGTCCATTTTGTGCTGCTGTAATAGAGTATCTGAGACTAGGTAATTTATAAAGAACAGAAATTTATTTCTTACAATTTTGGAGGCTGGGAGGTCCTGGGATGAGGGGCCTTCATTTGGTGAGGGCCTTACTGCTGTGTCATCCCATGGCAGAAAGGAGAAGAGCAAGAGAGAATGTACAAGAGAGAGAAGGGAAGGGGACCAAAGATATCTTTTATCAGGACCCCACTCCCGTGATAACTAATTCACTCCCCCAATAACATCATTATTCCATTCACAAGGGCTCTGCCTTTTAAAGGTCCCACCTCTCAACACTTGCATTCAGGGTTAAGTTTTCAAAACATGAACTTTGGAGGAAATGTTCAAACCATAGCAGTTGTGATCAAGCAGCCATGCTGAATATTTCTGTGACCAAATTCCTCTGCAGCTTTGCTTCTGTTGGTTGTGCTGACAATACCCACCTTGTCTCTGGATGTTAAGTGCTCCCACTTGTCCTCTACCACATCAATATCCCATCTTCTGGGTGAATTCAAGGAACCCAGCCATATGGCAGCAGTTTCCTCATTAATTCCTGGCCTGCACCAGAGCCAGGTATATATTCACATATGCCAGGGCTCCCCCTGTAAATGTGTTTCTCATGGCCTTGGTGAAGGGGGGCATCCCTAGGACATAGCCAGGGGATTGCGAAACTAGTCTCCCATCATCAGCCAAATCTAGCATTCCAATCTTGCTAAGCCTTTGAATATATACCAGGGAAGTTCTGAGGTTTCAACTTCATTGAGCATTGGCCACTTTTGGGAACAGATTTCAGCCAACCTAGCACTAGCATACTGAACCCAAGTAGGTGCTCTCATATAAAAACCTGCCTTATTTACGTATTGATTCTCTTCCAACTAGAATGTGAGCTCATTGAAGATAATATCTTTAATGGTTTGTTCCACTGTTCTAGGGTCTCTGATGACTAGAAGAGAGCCTCCTCTAGTGCATTGTCAGGATGGTCAGTGGTATTTGTCCAATCATTGGTTGGTTACTTACTTGTTCATTCAACAGATATTTATTGAGTATAGTGCTCAAGAAAACAGCAAGTAATAGACCTTTAGAAGTGGAGGTTATCTGAATGATCAAGAAGCAGAAAGATGGCCAGGGTTGTGACAGTGAGGGTAGACAGAGTGGGGTGTGAGACGCAGTTTTGAGCTGGATAGTAACCATGCTTTGCAGCACATGGTGTGTTACTGTGCGAGGCGTTTTTGTTTATTATTCCAAGTGCAGTAGGAAGCCCCAGGAGTGTTTGAAGCCATGGAGAGACAGAATTTTATATTTCGAGTTTACAGTGCCTGTTGTTTTGAGACTAGGTTTAGTAAGACAAGTTTGGGAGCAGGGAGATTAGTTGGAGGACTGTTTTTTATTCCTTTAGAGAAGACACATTATAGCTTGAACTGGAGCAGGGTGGGGGTTGACATCTCCCTGTCCACCTGCTGTTTCCACTGGTGCCATGATGAAGCCTTGTGCTGTGGACATGCTGTGGGGCTGCTGCTGTGGGGACAGTGGCTGCAGTGCAAGCGCCTAACTCTTGCTATGGTGGCAGGGATGAGAGCAGACCAAGGTGGAGCCATATAGATGGAAAGGAATGGAAAGTTAGAGTGGCACAGAGGGCACTTGTTTCACCCAGTGCAGCGACTGCAGCAGACTTTCCTAGCATCTTACAGAGGTGCACTCAGCAAGCTCTTGTATGATATTATTTTTACTAATCAAGTTACCTAATATATATAAAACTTTAGAAACAAAGTTAAAATTTGTAACACCTACTATTTTAATATATATAGGCTGCATAGACGCAGTCTATGGATAATTCTAAATAAGAAGTCGGCCGGGTGCAGTGGCTCATGCCTTCAATCCCAGCACTTTGAGAGTCTGAGGCAGAGGGATCACTTGAGCTCAGGAGTTTTCGAGACCAGCCTGGGCAACATGGTGAAAGCCTGTCACTACAAAAAATACAAAAATTAGCCAGGCATGGTGTGGTGGTGTGTGCCTGTAGTCTCAGCTGCTTGGGAGGCTGAGGTGGGAGGATGGGCCCAGGAGGTGGAGGTTGCAGTGAGCTGAGATAGTGCCACTGCATTCCAGCCTGGGTAACAGAGACAGACCCTGTCTCAAAATAAATAAATAAATAAATAGTCATAGCAATTTTAATTTTCAATCTACTTGTTTTATAAAATAGATTATAATATTTAAATCATGTGCTATAAAAGCATAATGAATAACTTAGTATATTAAGTCACATATATTAATAGTATGTCTTACAGACTAAGGAATTTTTGTTATATTTTATTTAAACTCTGTTTTTATTTTTGTTATTTTTAATCCAAAGTACCAAGATACGAATATGCAGGGAGTTGTATATGAACTAAACAGCTATATAGAACAACGGTTGGACACAGGAGGAGACAACCAGCTACTCCTCTATGAACTGAGCAGCATCATTAAAATAGGTAAGAAGCATTTTGTGTTCCTGTTAGAAAAAATGGGCAAAGATTCTTTTACAAAAAGCAGCAAAAACTACTTACTAAGAGGCAGATGAAAGTCATTTATATTTACTTCTATTTCTGGACTAAATTTCAAGTGAAAATATTTTATTATGAAACTACCAGAGGTGAGTCAAACCTAAAACTTTCTAAATTGTCTAATCCCAAATAAGTATCTGCCTGATATATACAGGTAATATACTATGCCTTCTAATTAACACCTAGTTTCCTTTGGAAAGCATAGTTTTATTGAATTAAATCACATCTTTATAAAATATATTAATTTTAAAGAGAGACTAAGCATTTTAAATGTATTTGGGTAAATGACAATTTTATATACCATTTAAGAAATGGTTTATGTTGTGAATAGAATGGGGAAAGTTAGAAAAGTACTATTTTAGAAGGATACACTTGTTTTTAGGACATGATTTTTCAGAAGGATACCCACTATGACAATTGTATCTTTTGTTTTTTAATTTGAAAATAAAAATATAAATGATACCAACCATAATAACATTTATTTTGTATTTAACCATATGCTAGGCACCTGTCTATGCATATTATATGCATTAACTGACTTATTTTTATTACGGTCTCAGGAGGTTGTTTTTATTATTGCCACCATTTTACTGATGAGGAAGCTATAGAACAGAGAGGTTAAACATCTTACCCAAAGTCACACAGGTAAAAAGGAGTTAAGTAGGGGTTTAATTGAGGCAGTCCCTCCAAGACTTATGCTATTAACTATTATAGTTGCCTTCAGATGACCCTGAGGCAATTTTAGGTAAGTTAAATTATGTTTGCTTCAGTGACAATTATAGATGAATACATCAGCTTTTTGGGTTGATACTTACTTTGGTTATTTAATATTATAAATATCACTTGTGGTATTTTAAAAACTTAAAAAATTAAACACAATTCTCAAATTTAAAAAATATTCAATAATTCTGAATAAAGTTCAACAAATATGTTACTATGTGGTACGTTGACTGCTATATGCATTTGAGCATATCGTCTTAAATTTTATACTCACTGATGAAAAATGTAGAGGATATTTTAATTATGCTATTAAGTAAAGCCATAAGTGATTTTGTTCCATTTACTGCATGACCATTGATTCTGTTAACAAATCAATTTGAAAGACTCACATCTGCCTCTCACCCTGGAGGATGCATACATGTTAGATTCTCCCACTGAGCTCAGTTTCTTCCTTTTCTTATTACTTTGGCAGCCACAAAAGCCGATGGATTTGCACTGTATTTCCTTGGAGAGTGCAATAATGTAAGTATCTAAATTTAGATTTTGGTGCTCTAGATAAGAAAATATCATAAGCTCCTTTAAAAAAGTTATAAACAACCGACATTTCATGATTAAGTACTTTTCATTTAAATCATTTTGTGTTTTGTTTCTATATTTGGTTATTACCAGTCAAGAATTTTACTGACATGGCAACATTTAGGCATAAAATCGTGTGTGTGTGTGTGTGTGTGTGTGTGTGTTTCCTTTGGCTTTGGTTTGTGGTACCCTATGTTATAAATGGCATTTCTAGATTTAGTGTTGTGTACAAAAGGTATTTGGCACTGTGAGCTGGGATGTTGTAGAGGAATGCCTGTACCCTCTCTACACATGATCTACAGTAGAATTAAATGAGAACAGAAAGTTGAACATTTTCTGGGTGATTTTTAAAGTTTTTTGCAGATGACTCTAAAAGTCCTAGGGCTTTGTGTCTAGATCCCTAAGCTGCCTTACTGTAGTAGGCTCAGGCCAGTCAAGGAATGGGGATTCTCAGCTGTGGCTGTTCCAGTCTTCTGCCACCAGGCCGGATCCTGCGTTTCTGGTCTAACTTACCTGGAGCACAGCCCGCCGGAAAATGCAACATAGAAAGGCACTTTCAAAAGTATTTCAAGATGTTCAATTACTGGCATTTGATTTTTGATACAGTATTAAAAAGTATACATATTTTAGCATAATCTGAGCCAATAATGCTAATATTCATAAGTTTAATGTATAAATTCCCTCATAAGTTTATTTCACACATTTTTGCTTCACATTTCTTATGTGTTAGGCATTGCTATCTTAGATTTGGAATGTATTTTTGCAATATGCTACCTGTATTCTTGAGTAATCAAAATATGTATTATGTACATTATATACAATGTTACTAGGAATAGAGACAAAAGCATTCTGAGATTTTTAATAGGACTCTTAAATATAACAGTTTTGCAAAGTGCGAAAATAGTTGCACAAAAATATTTATTGGCTGATTTAATTAACTTACAGCTTCTTATTCATTTCCATGGCCACTGTTTTCCCTTGTATTGTAACAAATTACGCTTGTTACCTCAAAAATGAAAGGCTTATTTAGGGCAAAGACATTTTCTTGTTCATTCTTGTATTTCCCAAGCCCCTCTCCTAGTGCCTTTCATATAAACCGTCAGATAAGAATGTTTATTAATTTGCATTATTCAGATATTACTACCACTTCTAAATAAACTATATTTCAGACACTGGTAGTATTCTAAAATGGCTAAGCTACGAAAATAACAAATGGATATTACTTCTTTTCGGTGCATTAAAAATTATTTTTAAAGTGTCAAAGTTTTTATTAAAAGTAATTTCTTTTAGAAAAATATTCTACAGTTTGCCATTATTTTTTAATTGGCTGATACGTGTGGAATGCAGTCTGTTGTGGTCCACGTCACATTACTCCTTCTGAGCCGCCTCCAGCAGCCCCCCAGTTGGCCACGCAGCTGTGCTCACCTCCAACCCCTTATCCTCGGGTCTCTAGTTCAGATCGGGGTGGACATGTGGCCCATGAGGGCCCCAGCAGATTCTTTGCTAAAACCTGTATCTTGGACTCAGCAATTCTAGCCGTTCACCTGAACAAAAGTGGTAACAATCCTGAAGTTGAGGCTGCCTCTACAGGCTGGTCTCTCCTGCCCTGTGGAAAGAGAATAGAGACAGCTGCGGGCAGAGACTGAGAGGTGCAGGCAGCAGGAACCCTATGGCTACAGTGGACGGGAGCCCAAAATGCTGACTTTGCGGGCTTGGATTTAGGTTACAAAACCCACATTCTTAATCACTTGGCTTAAAAAATTTTATTTTTTTTTTTTGCTTTATTTGCAGACTTCTTTATACACTGGCCTCAATGAAGTAGTTCCTCTTAGGATTCAGCAAAACGCTTTTCTATCTACAATATCTAAATTGTAATTTTATGTATCAATTTGAATTATTTAATCTTTACTTATCTTTTACTTTAGTAACTTAAAGGACTGGTACAATATCCTCTTAGTTTTATTCTGGCTCCTTATTCTAAACTCCTAAGGTCAGTCCATTTACTGGGCATGCTTCTCTCTAGGGGCACTGATTCCCTGTTCCTTCTTTCTTTCCCGCATCTCAGGGACTGAGTCTGTCTTCTTCAACTTAATATCCCTATGAACAGCAGGGTACATAGCAAAATTGTAGCTGTCTCTGAGCTTCCCAAGTCAGATCCCACTGTACACTGTATTTTGCTTTCTCAACATTATATAAGTCTCCTTCATGGAACATAGCTGAGTCTGTGATTACATGTTTATCTGTGATTTGAGTGGTTATTTGTTTATCTGGCTTTCTTGCTAGAATGTCAGCTTTATGAAGACAGATACCTTATCTGCCTGGGAGGATAATTCTTGGGGATAATTACTGTGTTTTGCTCACTCTATTTTGCCCTTTATGCATTCCACCTAGATAGCTAAGGCCTTGTTATTTCCTTGACCCAGGGATTTCTGTGGGTAGGAAGAAGACTTTGGCTGAGAAATCTTAAGTTCACTCAAGTGTTTTTTTAGATGTATCTACATGATTACTACTTTCCTTGTTCTTCATTTCTTCTTGTATCTCAAGTCGTCCATCTGGGATCATTTTTCTTCCATCTGAAATGCATTCTCTAGAATTTCCCTTAGCGAGAGTCTGCTGATGGAAAGCACTCTCAGTTTGTGTTTGTGTGAATTTGTCTTCATTTCACCCGCTCCTTGGAATATATCTTTGGTAGATAAAGAGTTCAGGTTGATAAATTATCTCTCTGAATATTGACTAAAATAAAGATACTGTTTTTAAATTTATTTTGGTTTTCATTATGGTTTTTTATTTCCTGTACATATTTTCAAACTTGTCTTTTATTTCTTGAAATACATTAACTATACTTCTTCTATGTTCCTTTGAATTTACAGTTTCTTGGGCTTTGTTTCGTCCAACTCTGACAGATGGTGACTTTTTTGCTTATGTGTTTTATGGTTTTCTTTTTATTTTTCCTTTCTCTCTCTCTCTCTCTCTCTCTCTCTAACTGTGAATTCTATTCTTCCATGGGCCTCTTAAATGGATACTCTCGAGGCTTGTTAGAAGTGCCTTTCTAGTTTCTTTCTTGGAGATAGACATGCATTTGTTTCTGCTAGTCACTTAAGGTACTACCAATCCAAAACCATTTTAAACTAAATTATCTGGTTGAGATGAATTTTCAGGCTATAAAGTAGTATGGCTTCAAGAGTCCAATCCACATGATGCACAATTATGACTTCTCAGAGGAGATTGTTATTTTCCCTCCAGTACTAATTTCAAAATAATCTGGTTTCCTTGCAGCCTCTTTGCTGGGGTAAGTGTATTTGTCCTTCAACCCAAGATGAATGTTTGGCCTGTTGCCTGTCCTGGCCCTCTAAAGGGGTCTCTATTTAGACTTCCTCACAGAAAGGCCCCAACTTTTCTCTCCTGTCTCTCAATCTCCGTGTGGCTTTCCTGGGAGAAGATCAGTCTATTCAGTCATTAGTAATTCCCTCAAGAGAAAGACAGCTTTGGGATCTGGTTACCTCCCACAGTTCCTTTATTTACTTCCTTTTAGATTTCTGTGGATTCCTTCCATTCTTCTCAGCCCAGCAAAGCAATATAAAAGATGGGTAAAATATATTTTATGCAGCCTTTAAATAAATTTCAAATTGTTTTTTCAAAAGTGTCAGCCAAATGATCTAATCTGCTGTATCGCTGGCAATAGAAGATACACTTCTAAAATATAACCATATTAAATTAAATGAAACATCTTTTGCACAGGTAAGCAGATACATGTATATATTTTTGTATTTCGCCTTTTGCACATGAAAGACAGCATAGTCTACATAATTGTCAATCTTTAAAAAATTGTCTCGATTTGGAATCATAGCAAGAAAGTCTTAAATAACTCAATTTCACAACAAAAATTATATACTATAGTGACAAAATTATAATAAAACACAAATAGACTGAGAAAATTTTCTGTCCCTATCAACAAATACTAAGGGTTAAAAAAAGAAAGAATTATACAGTTTTTATACTTATTAAAGTATGAATTTCTTCGCAGTAGAAATAATTAAATTTCTGAAATTGATGTAATGAGAAATATAACAAATAACATTTAAATATGTCAGAAGTTCTAATAGAATTTAAAAACGTGCATTCATATAAGCAAGGAGGAAAAAAGTTCTATGTGTTTTTTTCACATAGAACATTTAGCAGAAGATAAAAACAAAACTAAATACTAAAAAGCACTAAAATTAAAACATAAAATATTATTATGGAAATCATTATGTGATTATAACAAAATTACTTGTAAAGAAGATCCAACTGTTAAAAGAAAAAAAACTTAGATCAGGTTAAAAAACCAAACTGTCTTTTATTCTGGTACATTGAAGTTTCTGAAGCAAAATGGAGAAAATGGACAGAAAAATAGTAGTATTTTTAATTATTGAGAGATCAAGAAAACAGCTTAGAAGAGGTTATCAATACATTATTATTTATCCAAATAATACACATACTAAACTCAGTATATTAGGTTAGGATTTACCAACTTGTGATTCCTTTTCTTTTCTGGGCTAGACCCTAACTTTAATGTATTTAATTTCTGTCTAAGAATTCTTCATGGGATTCCTATAATGACTAAAAACAAAGGAAACTGGAGGGCTCAAAAGACAGGAAGATGAAGGAAAGTTTGAAACTTCCAAGAGACTTGTTGAATGGTTGTGACGAAAATGCTGACAGTGATACGGATAGTGAAGTCCAGGCTGATGTGGTCTCAGATGGAGATGAGGCCTGGCTGCTCCTAGCCTTGCACAGTCATATGTGTTCATGAAGAGAAGGTTTTGTGTTTAAAAGGGAAGCAGAACGTAAAAGTTTAGAATATTTGTAGCCTGACCGTGTTGTAGAAAGGACAAACCGATTTTCTGTGGAGAAATTCAAGCCACTGGCTGCAGAAATTTGCATACGAGGAGCCGAATATTAATCACCAAGACAATAGGGAAAATGTCTCCAGGACATTTCAGAGATCTTCACAGCAGCCCCTCCCATCACAGGTCCAGAGGCCTAGGAAAAATGGTTTCATGGACCAAGCCCAAGGCCTTGCTGCTCCAAACATGGTGTCCTGTGTCCCAGTCACTTCAGCTCTAGCCGTGGTACACAGAAGGCAAGAGTGTGGGAGCCTCCACCCAGATTTCAGAGGATGATAGAAATGCCTGGATATCCAGGCAGAAGTCTGCTGCAGGGGCAGAGCCCTCACGGAGAACCTCTGCTAGTGCAGTGCAGAGGAGAAATGTGGGATTTGGTCCCCCACACAGAGTCCCCACTGGGGTACTGTCTAGTGGAGCTGTGAGAAGAGGGCCACTGTCCTGCGGACCTTAGAATGGTAGATCCACCAACAGCTTCCACCATGCGCCTGGATTAGTAGCAGGCATTGAACACCAGCCCATGAAAGCAGCCACAGGGGCCATACCCTGCAGAACCACAGGGGCAGAGCTGTGGCTGTGGACTTGGGAGCCCACCCCTTGCATCAGCATGCACTGGATGTGAGACATGGAGTCAAAGGAGATTATTTTGGGGCCTTAATATTTAATGACTGTCCTACTGGGTTCTGGACTTGTACAGGGCCTGTACCCCATTTGTTTGGGCCAGTTTCTTCCTTTTGGAATGGGAGCATTTACCCAATGCCTGTACCCCAAACAAGTAACTAACTTGTTTGTGATTTTAGAGGCTCACAGGTGGAAGGGCCTTGCATTGTCTCAGATGAGACTTTAGACTTGGACATTTTTTTTTTTTTTTTTTTTTTTGAGACAGAGCCTTGCTCTGTCACCCAGGCTGGAGCACAGTGGTATGGTCTCGGCTCACTGCAACCTCCACCTCCTGGGTTCAAGCAGTTCTCCTGTCTCAACCTCCTGAGTAGCTGGGACTACAGGTACATATCACCATGTTCGACTATTTTTTTCTGTATTTTTAGTAGAGATGGGGTATTGGCATGTTGGCCAGGCTGGTCTCAAACCCCTGACCTCAGTCGATCCACCCGCCTTAGCCTCCCCATTACAAGCGTGAGCCACCATGCCTGGCCTAGACTTGGACTTTCAAGTTAATGCTGCAGTGAATTAAGACTTTGAAGGACTGTGGGGAAGACCTGATTGGTCTTGAAATATGAGAAGGACATGATATTTGGGAGAGGCCAGAGGTAGAATGATATGGTTTGACTCTGTTGCCCCACCAAAATCTCATGTCAAATTGTAATCATCACATATCAAGGGAAGGACCTGGTGGGAGGTGATTGGATCATGGGGGCGGATTTCCCCATTGCTTTTCTCATGATAGTAAATGTGTTCTCGTGAGGTCTGATGGTAGGTAAAAAGTGTGTGGCACTTCCCGCCTTGCACTCCCTCTTCTGCCACCATGGGAAGAAGTTCCTTGCTTCCCGTTTCCCTTCCGCTGTGATTATAAGTTTCCTGAGGCCTCACAGTCATGCTTCCTGTTAAGCCTGTGGAACTGTGAGTCAATTAAACCAAACACCGCATGTTCTCACTCATAGGTGGGAACTGAACAATGAGGACACATGGACACAGGGTGGGGAACATCACACACTGGGGCCTGTTGTGGGGTGGGGGGAGCGGGGAGGGATAGCATTAGGAGATATACCTAATGCTAAATGACGAGTTGATGGGTGCAGCACACCAACATGGCACATGTATACATATGTAACTAACCTGCACGTTGTGCACATGTACCCTACAACTTAAAGTATAATAATAAAAAAAATTAAACCTCTTTTATTCATAAATGACCCAGTCTGAGGTAGTTCTTTCTAGCAGTGTGAGAACAGACTAATACACAAACCATTTACTAAACTGACAAAAAAGAAATATATATGTTTAATAATCTAAAAACAAATAATAGATATAATGAAAATTAGAAATTATGAGGGATTATGTTTACTAACAAATGTGAAAACCTAGATAAAAATGAACAGTTTTCAAGGAAAATATAAATTATCCTATTAAATACAAATGATAATAGAAAACTTATTAGTCCAGTAGCCAAGGAGGAAATTGAAGACACTGTTGAAATATTACCTTTCTGCAAACCAGTAGGGCATTGATTCATCTGACTGTTCTTGAGCCCCAGTCATCACCAGGCACCATGTTAAACCCGGGGAGACAGTGATGAGCCCGACAGCCTGGGCTCCTGTACCCGCATTGTTCATTTGCTACTGAGGCAGCCCTTTAAGAAGGAGAATTCCTGTGCTCGTTATACTTTTTCAGAACTTGGGAAAAAAGGAAAACTTCCTAGTAAGTAGTTTAGCATTGAAATAATTTTGGATCTGGAGTTAGATTGTGTGAGTTCTGTTTTACCACTTAGTAATTGTGTAATTAATAATTGTGTGACTTGACAAGATTCTTAAACTTTCTAAACCTTAATTTACCATTTACCCTCCATTAGTTAAATGTTACACCATAAATGCTGTTTGTTTAACAAACCGTTTAAAACATCTGCTAAGTACCAAAAAACTGTGCTAAATTGCTGAGCATACAAAAACAAAATTATTTCTCACATCAAAGAATGTATAAGCAGTAGGGGAGATAGAAAAATCAGCAGCTAGTTACAGCACATGATTTTTATGTGCTAACAGAGAGGAGCTCAAAGGCTCTGTGACCATGAATTCGATGGGGCTGCAGCACATAAAAACAGATTGGATGATGAGAAGACAATATTTCAGTGGGGATTTAAGACCTCTCAGTAGATGAGAGGGGAAAGTAAAGGATGTCTCTTGGGCAGAAGAAGCAATTTCTGAGAAATCTGGGGTTAGCAAAGAAAACAACTTATGTTGTATCCTGGCCCATAGCAATGTCTGCTATAGACAAAGTGCTCTTGAGATGTTTTTGGGAAAAAATAATTTTTTCATGACTGAATTTTTGCTTAATTCAACTTTTATTGTTTGTATGGCTATGCTTAGTTACATGTATAACATACCTGATGATAGTATCTTTATAGTTTTTCCACTGTTATCTATCAGAGTTGTTTGTGAAAGCTGAAAACCTTATGTACTTTATACTTTAAAATTTTTAATTCAAAAGTAAATTTATTGTATATATATATATAGGTTATTTTAAAAACAACCTTTCCATAATTTACAGGTTTGATAAGTTAGTTAAACAGTTGTTTTGTTATTTTTATTTATAAACATGAGCAACTAGATGACTCTAGAGTCCTAGATTCATAGAGTGTTAAAGCTAAAAGAGACACTTCCAAATTATTTAATCTAATCTTTTCATTTTAGTGATGAGGTAGCCAAGGTCTCTTATGGGTAATGACTGTCCGAGTTCACACAGCTAGTCAACAACTAAAGGCTAGGCTCCCATTCCAAAGTTACTGTGCTTTCTACAAAGAGCAGCTATGCTCTTTCCACCGTAATACAACACGTCTTTTAAGAACATAGCTTCCCCCTGCCCCTTTGTTACTTGATTTTTATTACCCACATACTGGGAAGAACACATTTTAGTTTTGTTACTTGGGATACAATTGGGAAAAATGGAAGAGCAGAAGAATCTTAAGTTTTACCTTCAGTATGTATACATTAAACATTCACCAGAAATACTGCATTCTTCATATCCAGAGCTGGTAGTTTATAGTAATTGTTTGCCTTCTTCAAGTGCACAGTGAACTTCAGCAGATTTATTTTTAAGAATTATGGAAACAAAGTTAGTCATCCATATATCAAGTTCCAGGTAAATGTGGGAGCTATTTACTTACGGCCGTCTACATAGATGTAAATTTGTTTACTATCCAGTGCCATCTAGTGTCTAAAAGGATAATAGCTTATTGGTAAACCTAAATACTTTTTTTTTCTTCTTAAGAAGTGTTTCCAAAATTTAACTGGTTGTAAGTTGAAGTCTTAACATTGAAATGAAGTCTCATGAATAAAGTGATGTTTGAATTGTGCATGGAAAGAAAGATGAAAGCAAATGTTAACCAAGTGAGGTAAACATCTATTTGGCTGATATCAATGAATTGGATTTTTCTATTTCATTAAAAGATGGTGTTTTTATAAATTGTACTAGTCTATTCTCTTGTTCATTTTCCACCAAATCTATTTATTTCCCAAAATTTACATTTTTGTAATTTGAATGCTTTTTAAGTCCTTTACTGAACCAACCTATTGATTATGACTTGTGCGCCCAATCTTTTCTAGTTTAAATTATCTCACTTTAGAAATAGATATAAAAATTTGCTGTTACCACAAAAATATTAGCTACTTCATAATGAGTTTCTTAGAAAAATTTAAAAGCTGATTCCTCCCCTAGGACTTCCTGGCCTCTGATAGGATTGATTTTCTGCTCTTTGGGCAATCTCATCGATGCTAGTTGAGAGGTGGAGGGACTAGTGGTCACCATCACCTCTGGAACTCTCAAGTGCTAAAGAACTGCAGCGGCCTTTGGTCGAGTAGATATCCTGAAGGCAGTTACTTTCTTCTTTGGAAATGATAGAGGTGGCTAATGTTTGAAACTTTAAAGTTTTTCCTTGTTTTTTAGTTGTGGTTTTTATCTCTAGCCTCTAAAAGATGCTTGTCCTAATTAAAGTTTTTATATATTTATACAGTAGTAGAGCAGGAATTAATCTTAGAGACTCAGTTCAACACTGGATATTATAGATAAATTTGATATTGTAAACATATGTATAAGAGCCTTAATACTTCTTAAAATAATGTCTGGTGTTTCCATTCATCCTTCTATGAAAATAGCATAAGGTTTTTTATCTTATTAATCTGAATATCCCAGTTAAATCTTTAAGTCAACAGTTATATTGATTTTGAAAAATGAAGTCCCTATTTCCTGTGTAAATGTCTTTAGAACTTATTTACGTTAATCATTTATTAATGATTAATGCCTTCATGTAGATACTTCACCAATGAGAAATGCAAAGTATATATCTTTTTTTTTTTTTTTTTTAAGCAGGGTCTCACTCTGTCACCCAAGCTGGAGTACGGTGGCACAATATCAGCTCACTGTAACCTCAAACTCCTGGCTTCAAGTGATCCTCCCACCTCGGCCTCCTGAGTAGCTAGTGCTACAGGCATGCACCACCTCACCCAGCTAATGTTTTTATTTTTTGTAGAGGTCAGATCTCGCTATGTTGCCCAGGCTGATCTTGAACTCCTGGTTTCAAGCTGTCCTCCTGCCACAGCCTCCAAAAGCCCTGGGATTATAAGCATGAGTTACTGCGCCCAGGCCAAAGTGTATAGCTTATAAAATAAATCATGATTATTTTGAAATACTAAGAACTAAGTCAGGATTTGCCTTGCCAAGTCATAAAATGTACTGTAAACCTTTTATAATAATTAAAACAGTGTGGTATACAAGTAAACCTAAAGATACAGAATTGGGAATTCGGAAACAGACCCAAGTATATTTAAGGATAGGCCAGGCACAGTGGCTCACGCCTGTAATCCCAGCACTTTGGGAGGCTGAGGCGGGTGGATCACCTGAGGTCGGGAGTCCGAGACCAGCCTGACCAACATGGAGAAATCCCATCTCTACTAAAAATACAAAATTAGCTGGGCGTGGTGGCACATGCCTGTAATCCCAGCTACTCGGGAGGCTGAGGCAGGAGAATCGCTTGAACCTGGGAGGCGGAGGTTGCAGTGAGCCAAGATTGCACCATTGCACTCCAGCCTGGGCAACAAGAGTGAAACTCCGTCTCAAAAAAAAATTAAAAATTAAAAATTAAAAAAAGCGTCTTTGAGGATGAAGTGTATGATGAAGGTGGCAGTTCAATGAGTGGAAAAGTGATAATGATTCAGCCCATGACATCCTACTTGACAGTATCTGTGGAATAAATGGAATGTAAATTAACGTTTCCCTAGCGCTGAGTATGTGTAAACTTCAACCTCTATTTTAGACTTTTTATATTTATAACAGGTAGCTACCTATCAATGCATTCAACTGCCAAAATCATTTAAAAATATGCTTCTGCAAAACATGTGATTCTAACCAGTGACTGATCCTCAATTAGAAATGGATATTAAAAAGGAGCTTTTGCAGGTAAATTGTTTGGAGGCAAACAAAACAAAAACAACACAGAAGGGAACCACTAATATAAAGGAGGGAAAGTGTAGCCATGAAAACATGTCAGAAACAACAAACAAGTGTGTGTTGTGAGGTTAGGCTTCATTTTCCCTTCTGCTGGAGTTTTGGGCCTTCATATCACAATGTATTCAATGTTTGGTTAGCATTTATCCTCAGCTCTCATTGGAAACATTTCTGTTGGGTTAATGTGAACAAAAATCATGAGCTAATTAGGAAAATAAGTATAAAGTTTCCACTATAAAGTATTACTCAATTTTTGATAATTTTTTTTAACTACATAGAGAAGTTTTTCATATTCTAGCAAGTAGTTGAAAGACTTCTAAACCTTTTATTTTCAGCAAGCGTAATAAATAGAAGAGCTTTCCATACACTCTTGGGTACAGTATTTGCTTATCTGTTACTTGTGTATTGTATGAAACCTACACAGAAGCAATACATATTTTATAATACTGACTATATGATCATCTAATAATGTAGGAATGTATAAGATAGTCTGTTATTATTGGATTATGAAGCTATGTATAACTTAAACATGTGATTAAATTCAGCCTTGAAGGGCCTATGGCTAAGTCATAAAAAAAAAAGATGTGCGTTTTACATTTTCAAACAAACAAATGCAGCCAAAAACTATGACTCCCTCCACACCCCCCGCAAAAAATACAGAGTTACTGTTGGAAGCTTGCTCCAGAGTTCACCTTCTGTTTTTATTATGACATGTTCTTCTTTAAGAGTTATCTAAACCACTCAGTTCAATTTATGTTCACTTCCTGCAGTTCCGTCTTTGGTACAGAAAAGGGACAGTTGCTTCCTTATAGTTTGAGAAAATCGTTGTCAATTCCAATTTTTCTTCATTCTAAATATACCACATTTTAAATTTTTTTTCTTGCATTTATCTATTCTTTTTGTTCTTGAATTACCTTTCTACTCTTTCTGTCTTAAGAAAGGGTGACAAACTGAATTGTATTTGGACAATGATAGATACTGAATCTAATGATAGTCTTACTCTATGCCATGTGTATGTTGGTGCCTAATGTAATTATAGTAACTAGAAAATGGTTTTTCCAGCCTTTTAAGGAATAACTAAGTTGAAACTGTCTTTCATCATATATGTAATTTTTTAATCCATAAGTGTATACTTTCTATTTAAACATATTAAATAGCTTAGTTCTTTTTAAAATAATTACTTAAATTTTTCACATGCATCGTACTTAATAGCAAATACAATTTAAGCACAGCCCTATGTGGATATACTTGGAAATACAAGTATTTTGAACTTAGCTTCTAATCATTTATAATTGTTATTAATTTCAAGTACCCAAGGTTAAAGCAAAGCTTTGCTTTTCTCTCCCTTCCTCCTTGTTCATTTAACCAAGTTTATGGGGTTTATTAGTCAAGTTAATGGGGTTCATTCTCTTTTAAGATGTTTAAAGAAAGAGTTCTGTAATTTTACAAGGCTTAAAAACCACATACCTGATAAGTTAATAAATAATACCTGTCTCATCCTTAGAACTACCTTAGTAATAACAAGTATTGTAGAAAGGTGCTTAGGTTAAGAGGGCTGTCTAATACTTATTGCTTCAAGTAGTCTTCATTCTTTGTTAGAGTAATCCAACATAAGATAAAAATAAAGTGAAGTCTGTGGGAAATTTATATTTTCAAATTTTGTAGATAATCATGATACAATTATGTCAAAATATTGCCCCCAATTTCTACATGATTAAAGTAGCAATTCTTATTTAGTAGAAAGTAATTTTAAAATATGTTTGGATTTCGTCAAAATAACTGATGCTATTTTTAAAAAACAATTTATTTTAAAATAGTTTCAGGACATTACCTTCCCACCCAGTCATTTGAAAGGGAAAGATCCCTCAGATTTTTCAAGATTTTTGCTCAGAGAACAGCAAATTTTTCATCTAGAGTATTCTGAATCTGCAATTTTATAAACTAGCCAGTCGAAGTAATGTGAGTGAGTCTTAGAAGGTTCTCAGAAGGGAAGATTTCTAATGAAAATGAAAAATGTAACCAAATCACTTGACTTGCAGCTACTGATTCTGTCTTCAGGTAACATGTGTCAAGTCTGTAGGGAGGTTGGACCCTGTGTGTGTTTGTGGTCTGATAGAATCTTGATCCCAATGACAGGATGCATTTTGTCTCATTTCATTATTTTCTGTGTATCAAAATAGGAGGCTATTTGAAGAGTGTTTCTGTGCCTGTACATTCATTTAAGTTTTAAATTTGAGTGTGTATTTTTTGTGAAGTGGAAATGTGAGATAGTTTCACTTTAGGTAATCTGGTTTGATCATGGCAAAGCACCTTTCCTCATTTTATGACTCTTCTTTTAATTGGCTCACAGATTTATTATGACTGTTAGGATTCACGTGTGTCTTTTTGTACTATGCACATGTACAGGAAAGTCTGTAAAACATCTTTTCTTCTCCCTAGAGCCTGTGTATATTCACGCCACCTGGGATAAAGGAAGGAAAACCCCGCCTCATCCCTGCTGGGCCCATCACTCAGGGCACCACCGTCTCTGCTTATGTGGCCAAGTCCAGGAAAACACTGCTAGTAGAAGACATCCTTGGAGTAAGTGGCTTTTTGATTCTTTGTGACACTTTTGACCTAAAGTATTTAATTAAGAAAGATGGCATATCATTTTGATGTTATAATTTAAATAGTTTCATTTTAAAAAGCATTAAAGCTAGTTACAGATCAATATATTAATGTGTAAGTTAATTTTTTGTACTCAGAAAATTCCCTTTACCCACTAACAGCTAAATGTGCACAGTTCTTATTTCAACACATGCCAGTACAGTTAAACACAAATATACTGTGTATATTCATATGAATGTAAACTAAATAATTACTGTTTTATGATTCATATTTTGCTGGGATGCATATGAATGAGTTAGCTATTGCTGTATGACAAACTACCTCAAGTTTTACTGGTATCATACAGTAGCCACGTGTGATTTCTTATGAATCTAAGGACTGGGTTATTCTGCTGGTCTGGACTGCTGTCAGTTGGATTTGCCTATGCGTCTGAGGTCAGCTGGCCATGAGTTAGGTGCTGGCTGGCCTCTTATGCCATCGCTTTCCCTGTGTCTCTCACCCGCTTCCAGTAAGGCTATCCTGGTGTGTTTTTGTGAGGTAACAGGAGTCTGAGAGAAGTAGTGGGAAACATACAAGTGAGTTTTCAAGCCACTGCTTACATCAAATTTACTACCCTCCCATTAGCCAGAGCAAATCACGTAGACAGGCCCAGACTCAGTATAGATCACTAACCATGCACATAGATACAGAGAAACTAGACAAAGTGGAGCCCTCAGTCTAGTCCTCCACAGTACATGTGGACATTTTAATGAAATTTTATGACATGGAATATAGACTTCAAAGGTAACAAGTACACAGGTGTAAAAAAATTGCTCTAAGTGCTAATAGGAGCCATGAAACCTGGGTTTTAATTTTGGTTTTTCCACCATTATTTGTATAACCTTGAATAAATTTGGTAGCTAGAGGAAGGAAGGAAGAGATAGAAGGACAGAAGGGAAGGAAGGGAGGAAGGGAGGGAAGGAGAGAAGGAGGGCCCATGCTGTATAAGTTCTCATTTGAAAATGTTCTGTTGTGTATGTAAGCTTTCAAAAGATCTGTACATTACAAGTACAGAGTTACACTATTTCATGAAGTTCTAATTCATCCTGATAGCTTCTTACAGACAGTAGAAATTGAAGAAATAGAATTGATGCTTTTGATATTAATTCATTCAATTTCCCTGTACTACTTCTTTTTTTTTTTTTTTTTTTTTTGAGACGGAGTCTCGCTGTGTCGCCCAGGCTGGAGTGCAGTGGCTTGATCTCGGCTCACTGCAAGCTCCGCCTCCCGGGTTCACGCCATTCTCCTGCCTCAGGCTCCCGAATAGCTGGGACTACAGGCGCCTGCCACCGCGCCCGGCTAATTTGTTTTGTATTTTTAGTAGAGATGGTGTTTCACTGTGTTAGCCAGGATGGTCTCGATCTCCTGACCTCGTGATCCGCCCACCTCGGCCTCCCAAAGTGCTGGGATTACAGGCTTGAGCCACTGCGCCCGGCCCCCTGTACTTCTTTTGAGTAAATTTGCCAAGCTAGAAAATTTTAAAATCAAAGAACCAATTTCATTTCTTATGATAAGTAATTGATCATTATTAGTTGATTCAAATACTTAATATGGGCCTTTGAGATTCAGTTAGAATGACTGTTATTAACGTACACTTTTGTGTTACTCTAGGCTTAAAAATAGAAAAAAAGTTTATAAATAATTTTCTTCACATAGTGTTTACATTTTGAGTAATTTTCCCTGCGGCATTGTACCTGTAAACACCCTAAGACTGTTCCGGCACATAGAAGACGATGAATAAGTGCCAGCATTTATGATTACTTTTTTTATTGTCATATGAAATTAACATATGTCATTCGTTCATTAAATTTATGCTGCATAAGGATAAAGAAATATTAAAGCAGTATTTGGGTATAAGTTCCATGAAAAAGTAAGCATTTTCTTACCTAAGATTTATGGTGGCTATCATCATTTAGTTTTCCTTTGAAAAGTACTGCTTATTATTGATTACAAGTATCATGGCAATTTCTGATAGAAATAAGAATCATCACTTAATGATCATTTCACTGAATTTATGTCTTTTTGTCTTTTTGTTTTTCAGGATGAACGATTTCCAAGAGGTACTGGACTGGAATCAGGGACTCGTATCCAGTCTGTTCTTTGCTTACCAATTGTCACTGCAATTGGTGACTTGATTGGTATTCTCGAGCTGTATCGGCACTGGGGCAAAGAAGCCTTCTGTCTTAGTCACCAGGAGGTAAGGCCTTTAAATGCTGCATGTTAGAATTTTTAGTTGTACCTAGCTCATTGAAGGTGCTTGTTAGTATTGCTAAGTAATACTAAACTGAAAATACATGAATTAATATTTAAAATCACAATTTGCTTAACAGTGTTTTGATACTAATGATAATGATTTTAAAACCTGTTTCTGTTTAGAGAGGAAACAGGTTACATAAGAGATATGGTCCTTTTGTTAAGTAAAATCCAGTGTAACAATAAAAGGTATGCTGTACTCTGAGTCATAGAAAGTAGTAGAAGGACTTTGGAGACTTTTCACACTCTGGTTGTCTTTATGTCTTCTTTAAAATGTCTTTTTCTTAGCTTGTGTCCTGCATAAAAGACTCTAGTGTCAAATACATTTGAATTCCATTCACTATTCACTCAATAGGCTCATTACTACTAAAAGCAAATATTAAAATGATACATTTATCACATCCAGTATAAACCAGTTTCCTTCAGTGGCCTCACTCCTGTTCACTTGCCTGAATGAACCCATCTCCTGCGACCCCACCTGTCCCTCACTCGCTCCAGCCACGCTGGATCCTCAGGCAAGGCTGACAGGCTACTTAACTGAGGCCTTTGCATTTTTTCTTCTCTCCACTTATCCCCCTCACAGCCACATCCTTCAGAATTTCCTTAAATGTTGCCTTCTCTATAAGGCCCTCCCTGAACACTTCATGTACATTTGAATGGCTCCTATCCAATGTTTCTTTCTCTCTTCTTCTGCTTTTTCTCTATAGCACCTGTCACTATCTAATATATTATATGCTACACTTATTTCATTTCTTGTCCTTCTCCCTGAAGTACACTGAAGGCCACTCCATTTCTGTTATTTACTACAGTATCTCCAGCACCTAGAATAGTGCCTGGTACATAATAGACACTCATGAATATTTGTTGAATGAGTGAATAATAAAAGAAGTAGAAAAGCTAGTAATTTTGAGGAACTTGTTAGCTTGTGTATAAATATATGTGTATGATTTTTACATTTTAGAAATATTTCATTATTTAAAGTGGTCATTAGATTGCTTTTCAATAGTATTTTTGTTAAACCGAAAAGTAGTAATTTTGTGAAAATCATTGGGCTACAGCTCTCTTAACAATCAGTTTGTTTTCCATTTTATCCAAAATTAAGATGAACAAGAGAACATTAAAGTCAGTTAAATAGATGGGGAAAATATAAAAGAAAAACCTTGTAAATATTTGGTGCTTTGTGTTTGGAAAATGTTCAAAAGCTCAGTGATGTCAGAAAATTCTTCATATACATGTATCCCCGAGTCCTTTGTTGAGATGACTACAAGTAGTGTGTGTGTGTATATATATATATATGTTATGTATGATATATATTATATATAGTATACTATATATAGTATATATATGTTATGTATTATACATATGATATATAGTATATTATATATAGTATATATATATACGTTATGTATTATTACTTATAGGTATGTATTTCTTGTTTTTTTTAGGTTGCAACAGCAAATCTTGCCTGGGCTTCAGTAGCAATACATCAGGTGCAGGTGAGTCTTTGGGGTGTTTTTGCAGGGGCTTCCTAAGGGAGAAGAGGTTTTTGGAGTGAGGCATTGAAGACCGGAATAGAGGTTAAGTCACCCAATGCCTTATTTTGGGATATTACAATTTTCTGTTATTTCTAGAAATTTTAACTTAATCAGTTATATTTACTTACTCCCTGCCTTAAATATTTTGCAATATATGTGTGTCCATTCACATACATATATATCTATATATAAAATAAATACATATATAATTAATGCAATAAATGGCATATGTCCTGCTGTAGTATTTGTTTTCCACTGAAAACCTAGGAACAATCTCCTACTGGAGTTGCATTGATATTTTTATGATTCCATTTCCTAAATTAAATTTTCCTCTAAGTGATCTATGAAACATTCTAACTTTAAGATATCTGGTTCTTTTGAAGATATCTAATTTAAAAATCACCAACTACTTATAGTTTTACTGGTGGTTAGACTTTAAAGTTCAAGAACATGGTAGCAATATAGCGTTCTTTGTATCTTCTCCTTCTCTCTTTTTATTTTTTTTGGTGGTGGTTTTATTTTTCTACTTCTGTTTCAGCAAATTGAGGTTGATGAGGGAAGAACTGTATGCTAGGAAGAAAAATCGAGCTGTAGGATAATAGAAGGAGTAGAAAGGACTCGAATTATCAGGTGTAGGTGGAATATGTGCTCAACTACAGTTTTTAGAAATACAGTGTAAAGTAGTTCTAAAGAGAGACTTGGGTCGACTATCCAGACCTGAATGCTGCTTCTATCACTTATTAATTCTGAAGCCTCAGTAAGGTTCTTAACATCTTTATAAGTCCATTATGAAATGTAAATTCCAAACCTATAATGTTTTGTGGTGCTTGAGACAATAAATAGAAAGTGCTTAAAACAATGTTTAGCACATTTAAGTATTCAGTAAATATTAATGGTTATTGATATTATTATTACATTATAACCCAAGTGATTGTGTTAGGCCTTCTTTCAATAAATAAGGTAATTAGTATTCTGGAAGTTTTATTTTGAAATAAGCAGAAATCTCTTGTAATTGTACCTATTATTTTATATGGTAGGTATGCAGAGGCCTTGCCAAACAGACAGAATTGAATGACTTCCTACTCGACGTATCAAAGTAAGTGTTCATTTCTAGGGATAGTAGCTCTTATTAATCAATGGTTTAAATTAAGGGCAGCCTGTGGCAGAAATAGACCATTGTCTATTGCAGCTGATAACTGAAGATCCGTCTTTACAAGTAGTCTGGGAACGGTTAATCATATTATGGATTGTAGAGTTATATTCTCATTCACGTTCACTCTAAAGTGAAGGATTGCAGATATATATGTGATGATGTTAATTTTCCATTTGATGTATGTTTTCTAAATAGACTGAGAATATGTTAAAGACACTAAATATCTCTATTTATGCAGGAGAATACTGGCTACAGTAGGAGGGAAAATATTCTGGTTTATTTTCTTCCAAAAAGTCCTATTTGGTTTTTCTAACAATGTCAGTAAATTAAGCATCATTATTATTATTATTTAAATTTTCCCATGTATAGTATCTCAGTTATCATTTCTGAGAAAATGTTTTATTTCGCTGGTTTGGCCTAGAAAAAATCCCTTTGGCTGGCAGTGGAAGCAATTATATAATAGATATTTATTAAATCACATATTTTTATTGGTTTTATTTACTACAGGAGTCTGCATCTATATATCTGACCCATGTAATTAATCACTGAAATCTAAAATATGCGCCGGGATGTGGTAACTTTAGGGTCATGTCCTCCTACAAGTTCACTAAAGGAATAATGTAGTTTTTCCTCTGTGGCCTCCAGCAACAACGATGACATGTTATGTTTCACATGTCACTGTATATGCACCTAACAGTTTACCCATCAGTAATTATTCTTGATGCTCATTAATTAGTTTGAAGTTACTAGTTTATGTTACATTTAGTTTTTGAAATAATAAAATTAAAGAAGTATGGGACTGAAAAAGCTCCCCTTGGATACCTGAGCCAACTAGGTTAAACACTACCTAGCCAGTGCAGTCTATCTTAAGAGTCCTTCTTTACATTTTCCATACGTTACATGCATATCGATTTATCTTTTTTCAGATTGACATTTTAGTATATGCACTATTTGCCTCTGAAACATTTACTCGCTGTTCATAACAATGAATATATACTCATATAAAGTCATTAGATCCATAGCATTACTTGTATTCTGACATTTCTTCTCAAATTAATTACATTACTTTCTCAGTACACTTTAAATGCTAACTTTCTCCAGTTTTCAGTGATAATTTATATTTAACTATTGATGAGATTTAGCACATTTAAATATTTGTATTTTAGATCAGAGTTATTAATGAAAATATTAAATATGGTGGATGCAATTTTATTTCTGCATACTTTGTTAAATGCAACAGACTTTCTCTCTACACTGATACTTATCAATAAAATAAATACTGATTGCATTCTCTGGAATTATAGAGCCCTCATGCTGAGGTCAATCATAAAGTTTCATTTATCTCTTTAAAATAATATTACAGTACTGATTTTTTTTTTTGCCAAAGCAGAAAAATCAAATGACATTTATCTTTATGGTTTTTTATTTAAATGTAGACAAAACCAGGAAATGAATTCAAAGTGTAATATGTACTGTGAACTAATGAAATTACTTACAGGATTTATGTTTCTTTTTTTCAGAACATATTTTGATAACATAGTTGCAATAGATTCTCTACTTGAACACATAATGGTAGGTTGTTTTTGTTCTGAGTATGATTCTGTTTAACCCTTAGGCCCATGGTGCTAATATATGGCATAACATTTAAACTTATTCATCCACAGGCACTTTCAATATTATGAAAATGTGGTGGCTTAGGAATTCACCTTGATCTGTTTGTCACTTGCGTTAATTTTGGGGGAGTAAGTTTGAATAACATTTTTAAAAATCTCAGAGCTTTTCTTTATTAATGGAGAGCTATACTTAGAAAAGACATTTGGTTTCTTTTTATGTTCTTCAAAACACCTCTTACATATGGGACATGTGGGGAATTCTCGATTGATTTTTTCCTGATCTTCAAGTTCATTCTACTTAGTTCTAGTCTTAATTATTCCTCTCTCCTAGATGGCTGTCAGGCACTTTTGAGCCTAAAGCTGTATGACGTAGAGTTATAGGCATATTTCCCTATGCTACTGAGTACTTTTAGGTCTCTAGTGAGACTTCTTTCAGAAGTGGCTTCTAGTTGTCAGAATGTATGGGTGGATGCCATGCATGCCCAGGCCTTCTTGTTACCATTTGTGCCCTGTTATGTGCTTTAATAAATGTTCTTTCTACAGTACTCTTCTGCAATAAAGAGTTTTCTCATCTAGAGATTTTATGATGCATACTGATAAGTTTTTTTTTTATTTAACATAGTAAAAGACAAATATGAAGTGTGCTTTGTGCAACATCTTGTAGAGACAGGAAGTTTACTAAAGGTAATTAGAGAATAACATAGGTTATTAACTTCAGCACATTCTTTATGTGATAAGTTATTTCTATGGTTTTATCTAGACAAAAATAAAATAATTGTACATTAAAATAACTTCTCTTGTTATGAAACAACTGAAGGAATTTGTAAATCAGTGAGTAGCTTTAAGAAAAATATAAAGTTATAATGTAGACTGACACTGAGCTTATGCTAGGGGTACAAGGAGCACTTACTGCTCGTTCTTTGTATTATTAATATGTTCTTTTAAAAACAGCTTTATTGAAGTGTAATTTACATACTATACAGTTCATCCATTTAAAGTGTGCGATTCAGTGGTTTTTACTATATTCACGGATATGTGCAACTATCATCAATCAATTTTAGAACATTTTCATTACCTCATAAAGCAACTTGATACCCTTTTAGCTATCATCTCCTTAGCTTATCACTTCCTTACGCCCCTATTTCCACTTGCCTCACCAGCCCTAAGCAATCATTGTCTACGTTCTTTCTCCATGGGTTTACCAATTCTGGGCATTTTATCTGAAAAGAATCACATAATATGTAGCGTTTTGTGCCTGGCTTCTTTCACCTAGCATACTGTTTTCAAAATCATACATATTATGCATGGGTCAGTACCTCATTCATTTTTATGACCAAATAATATTCCATTTTGTGGATATACGTACCAGATTTTAAAAAATCCATTCATCAGTTGATAGACATTTGCATTGTTTCCATATCTTAGCTCTTGTAAATAGTGCTGCTGTGGACATGCCTCTACACGTTTTTGTTTGAATGCCTGTTTTCCATTGTTTGGGGTATATATCTAGGAGTGGAATTGCTGGGTCATGTAGTAGTTCTATGTTTCACTTTTTGAGGAACTGCCAAACTTTCCATGGCAGTTGCACCACTTTTCATTCCCAGCAGCTGTGCACAAGGGTTCTGATTTCTCCACATCCTCACCAACACTTACTATTATCTGACTTTTTCATTATAGTGGGTGTAAAGTGCTATCTCAGTGTGGTTTTGATTAGTATTTCTCTAGTGACTAATGATGTTGAGTATCTTTTCATGTGCTTATTGGCTGCATGTATATTGTCTTAGGGGAGATGTCTATTCAGAGCCATAGACCACTTTTTAATTGAATTCTTCGTATTTTTATTATTGACTTGTTAAGAGTTCTTCATATATTCTAGCTGTAACTCCCTTGTCTCATAATTGCTTTGCTAATATTTTCTCCCTTTTTGGTAGGTTGCCTTTTCACTTTCTTGATAGTGTCATTTGAGGCACAAAAGATTTTAATTTTGATGAAATCCAATTTAGCTATTGTTTTCTTTTGCTGTTTATGCTTTTGGTTTTATATCTAAGCCAAATTAGAGATCATGAGAATTTACTCAGATATTTTCTTCTAAGAGTTGTAGGGTTTTTAACTCTTATATTTAGGTCTTTGATCTGTTTTGAGTTAACTTTTGTATATGATGTTTGGTAAAGGTCCAGTTTCATTCTTTTCCATGTAGCTATCAAGTTTTCCCCAGCACATCAGTTGAACATAAAATGCCATTTTCTTTCTGGACGCTGGATGCTGTTCTGTTGCTCTATATGTCTGTGGTAATGCCAGTACACTTCCTTGATTACTGTGGTTTTGTAGTAAGTTTTGAAATTAAGAAGTGTGAGTTCCCTAACTTTTCAAGATTCTTTTAGCTCTTCTGGGTACCTAACAAATACATTTAAATTTTAGAAGTAGCAGGTCAATTTCTACAAAGAAATCAGGTGGAATGCTGATAGGAATTATGTTGAATCTGTAGAGCAATTTGAAGTATTGCCATCTTAACAACTGTAACACAATTAAGACTTCTAATACACGAACGTGAGGTATTTTTCCATTTATCTAGATCTTAATTTTTTTCAATGGTGTTTTGTGTTTTTTGAGAACAAGTATTGCTTTTATTTTGGCCAATTTATTCCTATTTTTTTAATGCTATTATAAATGGAATTGTTTTCTTTATTTTTTGATTTTATACTGCAAATGTGTAGAAACAACATTGGTTTTTATACCTTGATTATGTATCCTGCAAGCTTGATGAACTCATATATTAGTTCCAATAGTTTCTTAGTTTCTTAGTGGATTACATACATACACACACACACACACACACACACACACACGATCATGCCTTCTATAATTAGAGACAGTTTTACTCCCTACTTTCTAATCCAGATGTGTTTTCTTTCTTTTTCTGGCATGATTACCCTGGCTAGAACCTACAGCACAATACTGAAAAGAAGTGGCAAAGTGTGGACTTTCTTGTCTCATTCCTGATCTCAAGGAAGAAGCATTTAGTTTTTTGCCGTTAAATATGATTTTTTTGTGGGTTTTTCATAGAGGGCCTTTATCAGGTTGAGGAAATTCCCTTTTTTCCTACTTTATTGCGTGTTTTTATCATGCAGGTATGTTACAGTTTGTCAATTTTTGTGCATCAGTGTAGATGATCATATGGTTTTTATTTTGAATTCTATTGATAGTGTATATTACATCAATTGATTCTTGGATGTTAAAGTAACCTTGCACTCCTGTGATGAATCTCAGTTCATTATGGTGTGTAATTTATATTGGAATTGTCCTAAATTTATAGAAAACTTGAATTGATATCTTCAGCATATGGCGTCTTCCTAGCCAAAGACATTTTCTTATTTTCAGTTTTTTTTAAAAAATTGTTGACTGAATGTATTGATTATGGTCCCCCATAGTTAACTTATTTTTCCAGTTTATAGTCTTTAGTTTTCAAGATAGTGATTTATAATGCACAATAGTAGAGATTCTAGTGGTTCTTCTTTTCCAGTTTTTACAGTACTTATTTCTTTGTGTTTGTTAATGTATTAGCTGGAACCTAATGAACACTGTTGAATGGAAACAACAGATATCAACAGGAGAATATATTTATTTTCCTTGATGTGTGTACTTCTCACATTTCATTGCTATGTATATTTGTTGTGGGTCCACAACAGATATAATTTATCAATTTTAAAACATTTCCTTCTATTCCTAATTTTCTGTGAGTTTGCATCTGATTTGGTGTTGGGTATTATCAAATTTTTATAAGCTATTTCAAAATGATTGGAGTAGACAATTGTATTATTACTCAATGTTGAACCACTCTTACATTCCTGGTATAAAGGCTATTTAATTGTAATATTTTCTTTATTCCTGGATTGGTTGTTAATATTTATTTCCAAGTTTGCATCTATATTCATACATCGGATTGCTCAATGGTTCTTTTTTTCTATCTTTGGATAGTACTGGTATTGGGTTATGCTACACTTATAAAATGAGCTCAGAAATGTTCCATTCTTTTCTATGGACTAAAGTGGTTTAAATAATGTACATATTATTTGTTCACCTGATGTTTGATATAAATCAGCTAAGACCCCATTAGAGTCTTATTGGGGTAGATCTCTGATTCTCTTTTCAATTTCTTCTATGACATTGGATCCTTCAAGTTTTCATTCACCCTTTTCTTTTATAATGTTTCTTGGGAATCTGTTATATTCCTATAATACATAGTAACTGGAGTTATCAAATGGTGAGCAAAACCCTTCACAGCCTCTGTCCTCATTGAGGTTCTAATCTGTGGGGAGACAGACATGAGCCAAATATCAACATAACTATGAAACTAGTCAGAGTCAGGCCTATTAAGGAGCATAACAGTGCCCTGAAAGCTTGTGATGGGATCTAACGTAGCTGGGGAGGCTGTGGCAAGCTTTCCTGATGCTGTGACTTTGGTCTGGTGGATGTGTGGAAGTTACACAGGCAAAGAGGAAAGAGGGTTCTACTTTGGGGGATGGGGGAACAGTGTGCTCCTGTGTAGAAAGGTCCTGGAAGGGCCAAGTCACCCAGGCCTGGGAGGGAGTTTTTAATTAAGGCTTGTAAGCTAGAGGTGCAAGATCAGATATGTGTTTTGAAAAGATAACCCTGGATTAGAGGAAACAAGTGGGGAATGAGGTTAGACTTTTTTGAGGATCTTTTTTATAATACGGAAGATTTATTATTTTCAGACAAGCAAATCTGGGTAATTTTTTTTTTTTTTCCTGAGACATAGTCTCGCTCTGTCAGGAGGCTGGAGTACAGTGGCATGATCTCGGCTCACTGCTACCTCTGCCATTCTCCTGCCTCAGCCTCCCGAGTAGCTGGGACTACAGGCACGCGCCACCACACCTGCTTAATTTTTGTATTTTAGTAGAAACGGGGTTTCACCATGTTGGCCAGGATGGTCTCAATCTCTTGACCTCGTGATCCACCCACCTCAGCCTCCCAAAGTGTTGGGATTACAGGCGTCAGCCACCGCGCCCGGCCTAATCTGGGTAATTCTTAAATTACTAGGTGATCAGTTCATCTAGGTCAGTGCTTCTCAATAGGTTGATGCTGACATTTAGGCAGAGCAGTTCCCTCTGGCACAGTGTTATCCTGGGCACCGCAGACCTGCAGCGTCTTTAGCTTGTGAGAACTCGTAACCAACAAACATACCTGCACTCATTTCCAGACGCCCTGCGGCCAGGTGGCTCAGCTGCTGGTTGGGAATCAATGAATTAGATTTTCAAATCAATTTTTATAAATTTGTAGGTACTTTATATTTCCTTTCTGATCTGAAAACATCAACTACTTAACTCAAATTAGTGTGAGATAATAAAAGAGAGGATTTACTGGCTCAGACTGCTGAAAAGCCATTGAATGTTCAGGCTTATATAATTAGCGGACATGGGGGCTCAAATAATCTTTTCATGAATATGTCTTTCTCTGTTTCTCAGTTCAACTTACTTTTGTGTAGTCCTTAGTCTCAAGCAATTTCTCTTTACATGATGGCAGCAATAGCCCTGACAGCTGTCGTCTTATGTTTAAAATGAAGTTTTATATCAAAATCAATAAATAATCAGTGTTTATATCATATCACTCACTTCACCAACAAGATAATAAATGAAGCACATTTGTTTCCTAATTTTTTTTACTCTTCTTACCTACTACCCTTACATAGTTTTAGATATATAAATATTTTTATATATTTCATGTTTCTTAAATTAATTTTTCATGATGATGCCTGTAATTTCTTAGATATCATTTACTAACAAGTGTTACAGTTTTAGTATAGTTTTAATGATTTCTTTGCTCCTCACTTTTTCTTGAACCCCGAGTCTTCCCATGTGTCCTTGAATTTATCTATTTCTTCATTTTTGCTTGAGCCCATCTCCTTTTCTAAAATAGTTCAAAGATAGTACATTTCTGAGTACTGTACCCTTCTTAAATATCTTTATTTTCCTTTATGCTAGTTTGACTTGGTAAATACATTTAGGCTTAAAGTAAGTTTTCCTTAGAAATTTGAAGATACATTTTAACTGAATTTAAAATCTACTGTTGCTATAAAGAGTGTTGTTTCACTTATAGGTAAACGTATGCATAGGTGTGTATGCGTATGTGTGTATGCCTGTGTGTGTATATGCGTATGTGTGTATGCGTATGTGTGTATGCATATGTGTGTATGCGTATGTGTGTATGCGTGTGTGTATGCCTGTGTGTGTATATGCGTATGTGTGTATGCATATGTGTGTGTGTATGCCTGTGTGTGTATATGCGTATGTGTGTATGCGTATGTGTGTATGCGTGTGTGTGTATGCGTATGTGTGTGTATAAGGGAGTAGGGGTGGCTTTTAGATTGACCTGATGTTTGGACTTTATAAATATTACCAAAATTTTAGATATTTTTAACTCCTTTTCAGCATCTGAGGGTCATTTCAAAGTTAAACATTAATATTTGGGGAGAGTGAAAAGGTGAACATATGTTTAGAAATGCTCATCTTAAAACAGAAGCCTCTTTTTCTTTCTTTAGACAGGGTCTGGCACTGTCACCCTGGCTGGAGTGCAGTGGCACAATCTCTGCTCACTGCAACCTCTGCCTCCCTGGCTCAAGCCATCCTCCTACCTCAGCCTTCCAAAAGTAGCTGGGACAACAGACGCATGCCACCATGCGCAGCTAATTTTTGTATTTTTAGTAGAGACAGGGTTTTGCCATGTTGCCCAAGCTGGTCTCAAACTCCTGAGCTCAAGCAGTCCAAGGGGCTTGGCCTCCCAAGGTGCTGGAAGTACAGCGTGAGCCCCTGCACCCAGCCACAGAAGCCCTCTTACTGCCTATAATTGTTTGTCAGTTGATTTTTTTGACATATGAAATAACATTATCCTCAAACAAGAAAAATTTTATCTCTTCAAATATGTATACCTCACATGTTCTTCTTGCCTACTAGCATGCTAATGATTGTGATAACATACCTTTGTCTTGTTCTTAACTTTAATATCTTAAGGCAGCGATTTTGTTATTTTACCGTTTGGTATAATATGGACTGTTGTTTTGAGGAAAACATTATTACGTTTTCTATATATTCTTTTATTCCATTTTACTAAAGTTTTTATCATTAATGATTGCTGAATGGCATCACATGTTTTTGTTTTTGAGACGGGGTCTTGCTCTGTCGCCCAGGCTGGAATACAGTGGCTCAGTCATGGCTCACTGCAGCCTTTGCCTCCTGGGCTTATGAAATCCTCCCACCTCAGCCTCCTGAGTGTTTGGGACTTCAGATGCATGCTGCCATGCCTGACTAATTTTTATATTGTTTTGTAGAGAAGGGGTCTCGCCATGTTGCCTAGGCTGGTCTCAAACTCCTGGGCTCAAGAGATCTGCCCATCTCAGTCTCCCAAAGTGCTGGGATTACAGGCATGAGCCACCACACCCAGGCTCATCATATGCTTTTTGACAACCATGACGATAATCTCGCAGATTTTTCTCCTTTGTCTTATTGCTATTATGAATTATGATAATAGACTTTATGCTACTGGACAGTTCAGAATAAACTCTGTTTTTAATATTGTCATATTTGTTTAATTATTGCTAAATTTGATTGGGTTGAATTTTTATTTATAACTTTTCTTCTGTTTCAAAAGTAAATCTGTGATTTTCTTTTTTATAGTTTCTTTGTCAGTTTTCAGTATCAGTGACGCAGCATACATTGTAAAAACAACTGGAAAAAATTGTTCTTTTCTGAATGTAGATCAGTATAAATTGTACGGGAATTTGTTGAAGATTTTTAAAGAATTAATATTTGAAGCCATTTTAGGCTGGTGCCTTTTTTGCTAATATTTTTTGATAGTTTTTGAATTATCTTTATGATTCTGGTTGGATTTATATTTTTCAGCACTTTCTAAGCTTATTTTATTTTCTGAAACATTGTCCATTTGATCCAGATTTTAAACAAATATTAACATATTTATGCCAAAATATTAAGCAACTGACATTACCTCAAACACTGCAGATACAGATTTCACTGAATATAATTTAATGTTTAATAATGCAGGATCATTCTTGTTACTTAATAATTTAAAATCTCATGGGTTTGTGAATTAGATGAGTGATTCTTCTGTATTTGCCAACGACTCAGCCCCATCACTCTCGCTGTGCCTTTATGTCATTCATTTTTCCTCAAATATTTATTGAGAGTTTTGGGTTATGGAGATCCTATATGTTCTAAGCCAGGGGTTTGTTGGCAAACTTTTTTTTGTAAAGGGCCAGATAGTAAATTGTTATGCTTTGTGGGCCATACTCTCTTGCAGCTACTCAACTCTGCTGTTGTAGCAGCCATAAAAATAAAGAAATGAATGAACGCGGCTATGTCCCAATAAAAATGTTATTTACATTAACAAGCAGGGAGCAGGGTTTGGACCACAAAATTTCGCTGGCCCTAACTCAGCCTTGTTCTGAGCATTTGGAATACTGTGGGAAAAGAGAAGTGGTTTCTGCTGTTTCTGTAGCTCACAGGCTAAGGGAGGTGAGAAGTAACCTAGAGGTCCTGATACTAGGCAGTATACTCAGTCCCTGCGTAGTGGGCACAGCCAGTATTTGTTTGGTGTATAGTAGCAGTGAGTACAAACATGTAATAGTGTAATAGTTCTATAGTAGTAGTGAGCACAAACGTGTAATAGGATGAAGACAGTTACCTAACTTAGACTTATTTCTATTAAATCTATACATTTTATATGAGATGCTATATTTTGCCCTGGCTGCAAGGTTCCTCTTGCAGAGACTTTGTGATGGCTGTTTTACTGTAAGGATGAATTCTTTTTCTCCGAGGAATAATTTCATGGCTATGATCTGGATAGTTGAAGTTACCAGAATTCTCAATAGAGGTAAATACTGTATTAATGGTGCAGCTGTAGCCCCAACCCACTCAGGACAGTAGGATATGTTAGGCATTGAAGACATATTTGTTGAAGGAAATGGAAGAACAAATGAGTAATGAAATGAATACATGGTTTCCATTTAGAAATGGAAAAGCATATTTGTTATAAAAGCATGGGCCATGGGAACAGCTAGTATCAGTTCAAATACTGCTACCATTTACTATTCATGTAATAATGGGGCAAGTTACTTCTCAGTGCCTCAATTTTCCTAATACGTACAATGGGAAAAGATTTTCCTGCGTTAATATTGTTATTGTGAGGAGCAGGCAAATCAATTCATATAAATTGTATAAATGTTCCTGGCACATAGTAAACACTTAATAATCTGTACAAATTTTTATTAGACAGTACATCAAATAAAACTCAGCTAATGCAAATATGAAAGCCATGTATCTCCTTAGAGGTTATATTTCATAGCTTTTACACCTGCTGCATCACAGACTTCAACTAATCAGAATGAGTGGTGGTCGTAGTGCTGACAGAGGCTCAGATCTAGGCACCAGGGAAGGCCTGAGAGGTTCTGGAAGAGGGCCTTGGATGGCAGAAGGGCACTGGGAAGTTAGGCCAGCAGCTGCTTACCAACTAAAACAGAAGTGTCAGTTGGTGTCAGAATACACGACTGATATGCTTCCCTCCAGCACAGCAGTATGGATGCATATCCGCTGTGTATTCTGTTGGGATCTGTTAGTATTAGCATGTAACAGTGACTTTTATATCATATATATGAAATATTTATATACTTGTATATTTATTTACTTATAATGCTAATACCAACCAATTAGAGTATAGGACAGCTGAAATTAATACTTATTTTATGATAAAGTTTACCTGCAAGTTCTTTGAATGTCTCATTGTCTTCCTCTTATTTTGTCATTTGTCTTTAGATATATGCAAAAAACCTGGTGAATGCCGATCGTTGTGCGCTTTTCCAGGTGGACCATAAGAACAAGGAGTTATATTCAGACCTTTTTGATATTGGAGAGGAAAAGGAAGGAAAACCTGTCTTCAAGAAGACCAAAGAGATAAGGTACAGCTAGAAGTAGAATGTCCTATCCTCTTACGGTAGATGTGCAGGCGTTCCGTTACCCATTTTTCTGTGCCTATTCACAGGTATGCTGACAATACTTGTCATACTGTGATATCATTCCCACCAGGACCCGCCTCCTGAAGGTAGTACTTCTGGGAATGACATTGCAGGCAGTGCCCGAGAAACCGCGCCTAGGAAGCCTTAGCGTCACTCCTGGAAATGCCGTCTTCCGGAGGCGGTCCTTTTGGAAATCATGTTGGAAAAACTTTCTAGTGCTCCCAGGTAGGTAAAGGTACACTCCACCTGGAATCTGCAGGTTTTCCCATGTCCAAGAGAAAAGGTGTGCTTATGCAATTCGGCCCCTACTTCTTCCCAACCGGTGGCCTGTCTCGCAGTCCAGACAGTAGTAGAAATTGATCTGGTATATTTGATGACTTAAATACACTCTGTGACTGACCAGCTGTTTTAATCAATCACATAGCACACCTGTGTTGCATCTTGAAACTGAAGTCTTTGTTTTTTTAAGTGGCAGCCGTTGTCACTTAAATGAACAGAATGGAGTTTATTTTGTTGATGGAGGCATGGGGGCTTGCTCATATCGCACCTGGAAACCTACACAAGGAGCACTCTGACAAAACGTTTAAGAATCGAGCTTAACATTCAGAAGCTGAGAAAATAATTTTAGACATTTGCATTTCTTTTGCTGTATGTGTCTCGTTTAACTCATCTTCTGTATAACACCGTAAAGTTCTCTGGTAATAACACCATTCTGGCAAAACACTGTGTCTTCTTAATTAAGGATTGCTGTTTATTTGGGCGTTCTATCATAAAAGGAGACTGATGTCAGGGAAACTCAAGGTGTGCCTCACCGTGGGGCCCCACCACTGTCTGCCCCTCAGCGCTTCCTGTGTATTCCATGTCCATTAACTCTGATTTATAGGCACTATATTGGTACTTGGGTTTTAAAATTTTTTTGTCTGTTTGTTGTTGGTTTTTTTTGTTGTTGCTGTTAGACCTCAGTATAGCATCTGGATATAGTCATTTAGATAAGTCATTTCTCTTGCTGAAGATTTGAGTGTTTCCTAACACTGTTGGCATTGATTTAATTTTGAAAATAACAACTTTAAAGCCTGTGTTTATAAGCGTAAGAAAAACAGAGTGTGATTTACTGTAACTCTCAGATGACTGGTTAATGGCAGCCATTTATGTAAGGGCGGCTTCTTAATTATGGCTTCCATTGACCACAGATAGCAAACCACAGAGAGCATGAACAAAAGTTATAGTTCAGACTGCTCTCAGACCAACGCAAAGAAGCATAAATCATCAAATGGATTCTGATACCCTTTGCTCATGGCAATCTAATTCATTGTGTTTATGTTGTTCAAAGCACAAGAAAACCAGGAAAAAGACAACCATGAGTTTTATGCAGTGTTTGGTTCACTCTTTGGTGTTTTAAGTAGATTCTCTTTTGTGTGAACTATCTTTTGAGTTTTTCTGATAGTCCTCTAGCTTTATTTCAATAATGGTGATTTCCTATAATGTTGACAATGTAATAATATGGAAATTATTTTTGAACTATGTAAAATGTAGATATTGTGACTTGTAGACATCTTTGTTAATTAAGGAAGTTTTGAAATGAGTGCCTGTGTGATGATGGTATAGTAATGAGAAAAATATAAGTATGAAAATATTTTTGCAAAGGAAAAATACTGATATTAGATATAAAAAACAGACAATCCTTGTATTTTGATTATTTTAAAATTTAACAAATTAGGTAAAAATACTAGAAGTTGTACATTGCGTTATTTCTGTATAGTGCTTGAATTGCAAACACCATAAAATTCAGTTCTGTATAATATCTCAAGCTCACGTGTAACCTGTGAGTTTGGTTATATGTGTGGTAGAAAGCACGATGGTAGAGACCAGCATTCTAGTGTTCCTTGTGCCACTGATATTTTATGAATGTTGGCAAATTACTGAACCCATATAGGCCTTCGTTCACACCTCATTGAGAATCCACTAAAAAAATTTATGTTGAAGCGTCTTGTAAATTATAAGGTGCTTCGCAAATAGAAGGGATTATTATTGTTCAGAGCAGGAGGATACTAGTTGATTGTTTGATCTCAGTTTGTGAGTTAATATTTTAAGGTTCTCAGGTGATTACTGTGTAATGGTTTTCTGCTTTATTTTTACGTACTTCATAAGGTGATTTAGAATATGTAAACGTAAAAGTAATACACGCATTTAAGTAAAACAGTGCTTTTAATTCAATATTATTAACAATGGAATATTTTTGAATTATTCTACAGAGTCCATATTTTAATTAGCATGTCCTTCTCTTTTACATATGCAGATTTTCAATTGAGAAAGGAATTGCTGGCCAAGTAGCAAGAACAGGGGAAGTCCTGAACATTCCAGATGCCTATGCAGACCCACGCTTTAACAGGTAAGAAATAGCTGATGTCGACACTCCATTGATTTCTTCTGTGATGTCCCACTCAGCTGAAACCTCTTCCGTGGAGCCTGAGTTCTCCACGTCCCAATTCAGTTCTTTCTTCCTTAGTTTTCTTCTCTGAACCAACTCTGCTATCAATAGTCAGTATATTCAGATATTTATAAAATGATGGATTCTAATCCACTAATGTATCATGATATCTAGATACAGGAGTTTAGAATGTTATAAAAACAACTGATAGGCGGTAGTTTTAATTTATAGAGCTACTGTGGGATTTTTTTTCCATTATAGTGTCATGATTTTGTAACAAACATGTTCTCCGTCAAATCATATGCTCAAAGGCTGCAACACATAGTAAGAAATTTGCATGCTTTTGAGATGAGTAGGTCTAGCTTTGAAGCACGGTTCTGTCATTTCTTAGCTCTCAACTGACCTAGCATAAGTTACTTAATCTCTCTGAGCCTCAGTTTCCTCATCTTTAAGATGAGTATGATAATGCCAATTTTGTTGCTGTTGTTTTAAGATCACAGATAATATTCATGAAAGGTCTGGAAAATTTACCTGACCCAAAGTAACTAAATAAGTTACATCTTTTATTGGATATTATTAAAGATGGATATTAGGAAGGCTTATAAAGATTTTTTGTTTTGTTTTGACTTTCTTTGGAGAGTTGCAAACCCAATTATGTAATTTGATTTTAATAAATCGCTAGAAATGGAAAGTCTCAGGATTGATGCTGTGACTGTTAGAGAATAATATTTACAGTAGTTTGACAGCAGTGTTTAGTTAATTCCAACTCGTGGTTTACTTTAAGAGACAAATAACATAAGCAATAGGAAGTTTATTCAGTTATTTGATCAATTGATGTCAAATATACACAACTCCTATAAAAACATAGGAATATTCTAGTAATGTATATTGTCAATAAATTAAGGGTACACTGAAAGTTTTTTTCCAAAAGTCCAAACTCATCATTTAGTACTTAAAAATTAAATATATTTGCTCATCCTTATGTCCAATCTTTATGTAAAAATGTATGAGTCAGACTATTAAGAAAATGAAAATGCAAGCACCAGATTAGGAGAAAATATTTGTAAAACATGTATCTGACAAAATACTTATATCTAATATATAAAAACTCTTCCAGCATAACAATGAGAAGATAACCCAATTTAATACAAAGGGCAGGTGATTTTAACAGACAGTCCACAAAAGGAGATATACAACTGATCACCAAACACATGAAAAATGCTCGAAGTGAGGGGAATATAGATGTAGTTGACATGAGACCTCACTGTACAGCAGCTTGAATGGCTGGGACTTTAAAACATTGGCATTAGCAAACATTGGCCAGGATGTGGAGAAACGAGTACCCTCATACATTGTTGGTGGGAATATGAAATGGTACAACCGCTTGGGAAAACAGGTTTGCAGTTTCTTGAAAAGTTAAACATACACTTACTGTGCAGTCCACTAATCAGCTCCGCTTCTAGATAGTACTACAAGCAAAATGAAAACATATGGTGCTACAGTAGGACTTGTATGCAAACCTTCAAAGCAGAATTATTTATAATTGCCCAAACTGGCTATTAAAAATAATATTGTCCATTAACTGGGAATGAATGAACAAAATACGATATGTCCATTCAATAGAGGTATAACTCAGCAATAAAAAGGACTTAACCACTAAGACATGCAACAACATGGATGAATCTCAAAAACCTTTATGCTAAATGAGAGAAGCCAGGCTCTGAAGACTCCCATGTAACTACCTACCGTTAGCTATGTCACTGTTTCTATGCACCTTAGTCCTGTTTTCCAAAAACATGTCCTCACAATAGGAGTCAGCAAGCCTTTTCTATTAAGGATCATATGGTCAGTATATTTGCATTTATAAGCACTAATGTCCTTGTCACAAGTCCACAGCTCAGCCTTGTGGGGTGATGGCAGAATCAGACAATATGTGAATGAATGGTGTGGCTGTGTTCCAATACAACTTTACTTATAAACAGGAGAGGGCTGATTTGGCCCCTGGGTGCGGTTTGCTGACCACTGCTCTAAGTTTTTAAAGTGGAAACACTATAAGTTGGTTTAGCAAGTTATATCTCTCATAAACACGATCAACTTCAAAGGATTATGTTATTTTACCAAATTTAATTGTATTTCTCCTCTGAATCCACGTTTTTTTTTGGTCTGTTTACTTAGTAATGCTGGATACTTCAAATGATAAGCTGAAAGCCTCTTAGAGACTATCCTAGAAAACTCACTTGGAGACAAAAGAACCAACAGATTAGAATATTTTTGGAAAGGTTTTAATAAAACTCTGTGGAATGTTACTGTCCCTGAATGTAGAAGCTAAAAGTGCCATTAGTCATATGCAATAGAAGCATATGTAAATTGCAAAGATTGAGGGGAGATTTATGACTGACTGTGTCCTTTATTTCTTCTGCCCTTTTGTTGTTGTTGTTATTTTTGGTTCTGTCACCCCACAGAGAAGTAGACTTGTACACAGGCTACACCACGCGGAACATCCTGTGCATGCCCATCGTCAGCCGAGGCAGCGTGATAGGTGTGGTGCAGATGGTCAACAAAATCAGTGGCAGTGCCTTCTCTAAAACAGATGAAAACAACTTCAAAATGTTTGCCGTCTTTTGTGCTTTAGCCTTACACTGTGCTAATGTAAGTACTATTTATTAAATACCATTTTTTACTACTCAATATTAATTTGGAATCTTTTTCATAAAGCAGCTTAAGGGCTTTTTTTTTTTCATTTATATTTCCTTTACAAACCAGGAAAAGTAAGTGATTCCTGATTGTACATGTTTTAGAAAATGTCATAAAATGCCCTGGAAGGAAAAATAACAGTCTCCTAATAGTTTGCGTTTATTTCAAGGTGGGAATTTGTTAAGAAGAAAAATGAAGTTACTGTAAAGGTAACATGTCCAGGCATCAGTCTTATATTTAATGGTATCTACTGAAATGAAGAAAGAAAATGCTACCTAAACCTTGACTGTTTGTCAAATGCATTCATTTGAGATCCTTACACAAAAGTATAGTCATAGCTCATGTTTGGACACCCACCAGGAAAGTTCTGTTTGTGACAAAAAGTGAGGCACCAGGTTGTCCATGTCACATGCATTCTCGGTGTTAACTCAGTCCTCGTGAAAGTTGTACCGTGTTCACTGAAGGGTAAAATGAAGTTCAATGTGCATTCTCAAGTCTCACTTTAAAAATAGTGGAATTTATTGTCTGTCTTTTACATTGTTATATTTTAGATGAATGGAACATTTAGTATTCTGTAAACTCTAGTAATCCTTTAATAATATTACTAGAATTCTGAGGTTAGGGAAAATTTTAGTATGGTGATCTTTTCATAGAGCTAAATCAACATACATTCAGTTGCCCCCTTAATCAATTAGAGAAACTGCTTTTTTGGGAGTAGGACTGGATTCCATAGGAGTAACCGTGTAACTCATAGGACAAGCGGAGACATACCTAGGGACAAGCATTGGTAAAACTTAACTTCTGGTGACCGAGGGTAACCGTTTTTAATTCAGTTTGTGCTATTTAGTGAGAGTACCCGTCCTCTCTCCTCACGCATTCCTGGTGCCCTTTTGGGGGACAGTTTCTGTTACATAGCTCCTCAGAAATAAACTAGGAATGCTGTCAAACACTTTTGCTTCAAACATTTTTAGTATCTATGTGTCTCTCATAAATAATGTTGACAGCTTATGCTTGTCTCATTTAGTTTAAAAGTCGCAAAGATTGTAATTTCTAGTTTATTCTGAATATTGACTGTTTTATCATTTTTAAATGTAGCCAATGGAATTTAAGTATCATAGAAGCTTGATACATATTATAATATATTAAAAAACACAATAGCAAGATCTTAGGATGGGAAAATTTGGCATTATGTTTACTCTCTGAATATGTATTTGTTATCCAACAAAAGTTGAATATATTTTATGCTTTATTTTATTAATTACCCTAAGATAATTTCTATTTATAAGATAATACATGGGTATGTCTAAAACATGTATAATAAGTGTTAAAATTCATTTTGGATTGTGGTGGTATTATGTATTATCACATATGTGATCAAGTCAACTATTATAACATTTTGATAGATGTCAAAAAATAAAAAAAAAATTGAAAACTTTTTTCTTAGATACCTATGGCTTAAAACAGCAATAGTTAATATAACTGTTCGTGAATTTTTCTTACTGTTAAATGAAACTAGATTTAGCATAATTTTTATACTTTTCATTTTGAAATAATTTCAGACAAAAGCAAAAGTTGCAAAAATAAAGTTCCCTGTATACCTTTATCCATATTCCCCAAATGTTAATATATTTGCCATTTTTGCTTTGATATACTTTCTCTGTCTCTCTCTTTCTCTGTTAAATAGATACTATCTTTCTCCAATCTATATGAGAGTATGTTTCAGATGTAATGTCTCATAACTCCTAAATGATTCAGTTTGTATTTTCTCTAAAAACAAGGACATTATCTTATTTTTTCACTGCATAATTTAAAAATCAAGAAATTAACATTGGTACTGTATTAGCTTGCTAGGGCCACTGTAATAAACATCACAGACTGTGTGGCTTAAACAACAGGAAATTTTTTTCTCACAGTTTTGGAGGCTGGAAGTCCAAGATCAAGGTGTGTTTCTCCTGAAGCCTGTTTTCCTTGGTTTGCAGATGGCCGCCTTCTCCCTGTGTCCTCACATGGTTTCTGCTGTCTCTGTGTACATGCCTGTGTCCTAGACTCTTCTTATGAAGACACTAGTCATATGAGATTAGGACCCACGCTTTAAATCTCCTCTTACCATAGTTACCTCTTTAAAGGCCCTATCTCTAAATACAGCTGCATTCTAAGGTACTGGGGCTTAGGCTTTAATACATGAATTTTAAGGGGGCCACAATCTAACCCATCACAAGTACTGTGTTGTTATCTCATCTGCAGACCTCTTGAGTCTCCTTTCATCTGGAACTATTCCTTAGTGTTGTCTCTCATGACCTGGGTATTTTTAAAGCGTATACACCTGTTGTTTTTTAAGGATATTTCTTTTTTTTTTTTTTTTTTTTTTTGAGGCGGAGTCTCGCTCTGTTGCCCAGGCTGGAGGGCAGTGGCGCTGTCTCGGCTCACTGCAAGCTCCGCCTCCCGGGTTCACGCCATTCTCCTGCCTCAGCCTCCCGAGTAGCTGGGACTACAGGCACCGCCACCACGCCCGGCTATTTTTTTGTATTTTTAGTAGAGACGGGGTTTCACCGTGTTAGCCAGGATGGTCTCGATCTCCTGACCTCGTGATCCGCCCGCCTCGGCCTCCCAAAGTGCTGGGATTACAGGCGTGAGCCACCGCGCCCGGCCAAGGATATTTCTTAATTTGGATTTGTCTGGTGTTTCCTCACAATTATATGAAGGTCTTATTTGTGACAATGAGTTCACGTGCGGATGTGTCCTCAGTGCATCCTGTTAGCAGGCATGTGCTTCGTCACTGAGCCTATTAACCGTCTGCACTTGAAAGGTCCTGTCTGCAGGTTTCTCCACAGGAACTTACCCCCACTTTCTCACTGACTTCTTTAGAAGAGAGTTTATACATAAATCTCTACGTCCGTTCATTCTGTCTGTCTCTTTCTGTCTCTACGATACCTAACCTCCAGTCTAATACCACAGAATGCTCTAGCCATCTCATTTTCATCTTCGGAACTTTTTTTGTTACAGTGAGAAATTTGGCTCTCCCTATTCAGCATCAATCTTATTCCAACTTGTCCCTCTTATTTTTTAAGGAAGCTGTAAGAATTGCTTCCATTAATAAAGTTTTATTATCACAATTTCTCTTAATTCTACCTGAGCTAAGATGCCAAAAAGTACTGATAATTCTGACACCAAAAATTATTTTAATGAGCTATCAGTTGAGAATTTACTGAAGTTCACCTTTAATATTTTAGGAAAGTTTCAGAAACCTTTATTAGCCCTCATTAATACCAGCATTTTATATTGCCGCTTTGTATTACAGCAATTTGATAACAGGGCTGTTTCAAAATGGGATGTGGGAAAAAGTCATTTTGAGTAAGAATATGTGTGAAAGTTAAGAATATGGAAATTGATCATCTTAAAATTTATTCATTTGTCCATGTATCCCTTGAAATATTGTTGTATACTTTCAAGAATACATAAATTAAGAACTAGACTAGCAGGTTCAAATGCTTTTCTAAGTCACTAATTGTGGTATCATAATACCTGGATTTAATCATGATTAAACCACACAGAAAAAAAAAAAAAAAACTTCTGAAAAGTTTTAATAGGCATTCCATTTTTACATTGATTATTTAGTTAAATTATTTAGGGTAAAATTTTGGTAAAATAACTAGTATTAGTTGATATTGGAAATGATTATAATTTTTCTAAACACTTCAAACCCCATCACAACAGTGGTTTTCTCCAACAGTGACAAGTAGTATATGGAGCAGCAGTTCTGTCGAGTAGTCACCCGCACTGGACCAAAGCTGGTTACCTTTTCTTTCTCCCATCCAAGTACTAACCAGGCCCGACCCTGCTTAGCTTCCGAGATCAGACGAGATCGGGCGCGTTCAGGGTGGTATGGCTGTAGACACCTTTTCTTTCTGAGATGGAGTTTCACTCTTTGTCACCCAGGCTGTAGCGCAATTACGTGATCTTGGCTCACTGCAACCTCCGCCTCCCGCGTTTAAACGATTCTCCAGCCTCAGGCTCCCCAGTAGCTGGGATTACAGGCATGCGTTACCATGTCTGGCTAATTTTTGTATTTTTAGTAGAGATGGGGTTTCACCACGTTGGCCAGGCTATTCTCGAACTCCTGAGGTCAGGTGATCCGCCTGCCTCGGCCTCCCAAAGTGCTGGGATTACAGGCGTGAGCCACCTCGCCCAGCCAAAGCTGATTACCTTTAAGGTATACATTGAAAATATATTCAGTGCAGCTGCAAGCTCTCTGTGGAATTTATTACCTTTTTTCTTTTTTTTTTTTTTTTTTGAGATGGAGTCTCACCCTGTCGCCCAGGCTGGAGTGCAGTGGTGCCATCTCGGCTTGTTGCAAGCTCCTCCTCCCAGGTTCACGCCATTCTCCTGCCTCAGCCTCCCGAGTAGCTGGGACTACAGGCACCCGCCACTACACCCAGCTAATTTTTTGTATTTTTAGTAGAGATGGGGTTTCGCCGTGTTAGCCAGGGTGGTCTCGATCTCCTGACCTCGTGATCCGCCCGCCTCGGCCTCCCAAAGTGCTGGGATTATAGGTGTGAGCCACCGCGCCCTGCCCCATTTTTTAACTGCAGTATATTTTTCTCCTTACTAAAGCTCATAAAAATTATATTATTTTTGAAGTTTTTCCAACTCAAAAGGAATAAGAGATTTGAGTCCACAGCTTCATAATGATTCCTTCTTCCCTCTTCTCCCTGGCCTTCCAGTCTGATGAAGACTGGTGGCTGGGTTTATTTCAAAACTTTGTTCCAATTCAGAAAGACCAGTTCACATGTCTTCTTTACAATGATATTTTTTGCCTTGTTGAAGAAAGCATCCATGTAAATAAAAAAATAAAAGAAAATAGCTCCAAATGTATGCTGGTTTCAATAAGATAGCATCGCGTTTCTTTATAGTGGGATCCCTAGAACCTTACCCACTTGAAAAGGTTGATGCCACGAACTACTGCCAATGACCAAGACCCAAATTCTGGTCATCACTGTGGCACCGAGATGCTTGCGGTTGTTCTTGAGCAATTTTGCTTTGCTGTTTTGAGCATTTTTTTCCCAAGCATCATATGAAAATTAGGAAAAACACCTTGTATTATGCGTTGTCCCAAACAATCACATCTGCGGGTTCCCTACCTTTTCCTGAATGTTCTACTTTCTAGAGAACATACATTAGTAATGATCAAGATCATAAATATGAAAAATCTTTGTGCAGCATGAAGTGCTTTTTAATTGTTGACCGTTATTGTCATTTTAATTGTGTTGATCTTGGGGAATTCAGAGTATTTCTGCTGTTGAACAAATTATTGTGTCCGTAATAGAAGCATGTTTTGTACATGAAAATTCTTGTTTCTAATACTGAACATGATAATGTAATGGCATATTTTATTGTGGTCTTGTTTGATTAAGAGCCTATCTAAGAAGCAGGGCACATAGGCCATGTTAATGCTTATTATGTTTTTATTTTCCTTTATTTCATCTTTAGAAATACTTGAATACATTCCTTTTATTTAATTAAAGGGGAACGTCTCTGATTGGCAGCATCTCTCTTTCATTTATTGAGCTAACATACTGGGAAGTACTATCAACAGAAAACATCTTTTAAATCCAAGTCAATTAATTTACTCATTTATACTGTGATTTTAAAGAAACCATTTAATATGCCTTAGAAAAGCTAATAGGACAGTAGTATCAGTTACATCTTTTGCTTAGAAAAATAAATCTTTTAAAACAGATTAGCTCTGTACATTTTGGATAGAAAGACATTTAACATGAAAGGGGCATGAACAAAATTTGCTATTAAAATGAAATTAGTTGGTTAGGGACAAATTGAATAAGTGGTTGAACCTTTATTCGTTCCAGAATTCAACCACCAAGTATTGCCTATCTTTTTTATACCAGATGGTGGATATAAAGATGACTATGATAAGAACAACTCTTATTTGATATAAGGCTTTATTGTGTGACAGGAATTGTTCTAGACACTTTACATACGAAATCTCTTTTTGTATGTTCTCCCAACAATACCATGAGTGTGGTTATTATTATCTCCACGTTTTATAAGAAAAAAAATGGATGTATAGAATTTAAATAATTTCCCCAAGGGCACATAGCAAGTATGTGATAGAGCCAGGGTTTGAATGCATGCAGACTGGTCCCCGTGCTCGCTAAGTGTGCTGGCTTCTCTCTGACATCGTTCTTCCCTAAGGTCCTAAGGTTGCCTACAGGGAAGACAATTACTACGAAGTGTTTTTACATTTTATATATAAAATATGGATTAGGGTGCATTAGGGTTCTCCAGAGAAACAGAACCAACAGGATACATATATAGATGAATAGATACACGAGCGAGGACTTAGGAGGGAAATTGGTTCATATGATTATGGAAGCTAAAAAGTCCCCCAATAGGCCATCTGCAAGCTGGAGAACCAGGAAAGCCAGTAGCATAGCTCAGTCCAAGTCTGAAAGCCTCACAACCAGGGAAGCTGATGGTGTAACCCTGAGTCAGAGGCCAAAGGCTTGAGAAGCTGGGGTGCAGCTGGTGCAAGTTAAACTCCAAAGGCCAGAGATCCTGGAGATCTGATGTTCAAGGACAGGGTAGGTGTCCCAGCTTTAGAACAGAGAGACACTTTGCCTTCCCTTTGCCTTTCTGTTCTGTCTGGGTCCTCAGCCAGTTGCATGGTGCCCTACTGCATTGGATAAGGGCAGGTCTTCCCTACTCAGTGCACTGATTCCAGTACCAGTCTCCCAGAAATACCCTCACTGAAACACCCAGAAATCATGCTCTACCTGCTATCCGAGCATCCTCTAACCCAGTCAAGTTGACACTTAGAATTAACCATCAAAGACGGTGAGGTTAATTTTGTCAGAAATGAAGGGGGAAAGTTTAGGAAAAAAACCCAAAACTTCATCGATAAAGTAATATAGATGGTAGAGCAAGGATAGGGTTCATGAAAGAGTTTGGAATCGATTAACAGAAAGTTTAACACTTGGGACATACTTCCAAGGAGAATTATGTAAATTAAATTTGTAATTATAGATGATGAACTATTGCCTTAAGAGTATTGTATATTCCCAAGAAAAGTTTTCTAAGAAATATCAAAAATACATCTTATACCAGTGCATTGAGTCACAAAGTTATCTCCTAAAATTCAACTATCTCCTGTTAGTGGTGACATGATCACACACAGAAACACACACACACACACACACACACACACACACATCCTTTTCCCTCATCTTGAATTTGAATACTCTTAGATACTAATGAATAACAATTCTTAAACTGAATTATTTTTGGGGTTACATGAAAATAAAAGTTTAATACTTCTCCAAGTCTACAAGTTTATAGATAACTAATTTCAGCCGAGTTCAGTCTTTTTTTTTCTTCTTTTGGTTATAAGGTTATAAAATTTATAACTGACATGGACATTTGTTCGTTCCACACATAAGCATTAATCACTCCTAGATGCTAGGTACAGATTAAGAATTAATGGACCCTACATCCTAGGTGGTTTCATGTCCTGTGTTTATATATTTGAAATATTCCTTGGCACAGACTACAGGACAATTTTCCAGTTTTATTTGACCTTAAAGGTATCATTTCCAAAAGCGCCTGCTCTGCAGTAGATGCAGCTCTCCTTCAGCTATGACACTAGGCCCTCCACCCTTCCAAATCATTCTTTCCCTACTTTTTGAGTTCTCAATGTGTGTGTAGTAGGATTCAAAACTTAAAATCAAGCAGACATGCATTTTACAACCTGATCTATTACTTTCCAACATTCTGACCTTGGGGAAGTCAGCTTATGTTCTTGAGCCTTAGTTCCCTCAACAGATAAACGGAAACAATACTTATTCCCCAGGATTATTGTCAGGACAAAATGAGATATGTGAATAAAGTCTTAGAACAGTGCGTAGTCCATATGAATAAACTCTTAGAACAGTGCATAGTCCATAGTAGACAGTCAGTGTTGCATCCTTTGTTTTCACATTAGTCATTATATTTTATGAATTATCATTGCAGCCAATTTTATAAAATTTCAATTCATTGTTAAATATATAGCTGGTTTGTTGTTTCCACAGGCCAAGTTGCTTTTCATTAAAATTTGATTTGCTTCATTTATTTACTGGAAAATAGCAAGGAAGAGCCTATAGAGGTACCTTTTATGTCTGCCCTAAGATGGAACTTCTGAGCTTACAGAGGAAGAGAGAAGTCAGTATTCCTACCTTAGGACACCAGTTGTCTTCTATACGCTGAGGTGCATTTGGGGCACACAGCTAGAGAGTCATTTTTCCAATGCCCCTACTTTCTCCTGAATTCAGCTGTCTCTTATTTCACAGGAACATAATACACACACATTTTTTTTTTAATTTGTTCCCAGTGCTTTCAAATCCACTGAAACACGTTAGAGGAAACTATTGTCACCTTTGCAGTCCTCAGCATGAAAGAACTCTCTATGGTGCCATAGACAGTAGGTGCTTGGGCCTGTCTTTAAGAAAGTGTTTTAAATACTTCCACCCACGATTAGGTCAAAGATACAACTCTACTGAGAAAGAAACAGAAAGAAATCCTTGTGGTTTTTGTTTTGTTTTGTTTTGTTTTTGCATTTTGGTACTGTGGTTTCCATAAACTAGAATAGTTGTGCAAGCATGGTAAGTCACATACCAAATGCTGTATTTTTGCAACAGTGTATTTTAAATCTCTCAGTAAGTGTTTTTCATTAGCTCAATTTGTAGAGGGTACTAATATCTATTCATCTTTCCATTCTTAGATTTTTTTTCAGGTCATCGTTTACTTGTTTACCTACTCAAATTTCTCTCAAATTATCTCCCTTGTGAGAGACCCTCATGCTCAGATATATGTAATGTTTTCCATGTGCCCCAGGCTTTCAGTGATCTGGGTCCAGGTTTTTGTTTCTGTTAAGTTTTTAGCTTGAAATTCCTGCAATATGTTAGGATAAATTTGGAAACTACAACTACATATGGTTCAGGCTTGATTTCCATATTCTCAATGGATGGAGACTATTTATTTTCTACCCATAGCCCCAAGTAGAGACAAGGCTTCTTTTTTGCTTATGGAGTTCTCAGTTCAGCTCCTCTCCTCATGCAGCCACAGGGAAGTCTCATCCTGCATGGACCTTCCCTTCACATCCGGGAGCCTCAAGCCACACCCTGCGATGGGTCTGTTATTTCTTTAGTCGGCTGCAGCACTGCTCTATGCTATGAAATAAACAGCACAGCATTTCCTTTTTATTGATTTATAATAGTTGTACATATTTTGGGAGTATGTAGAATAGTTGGATACCTGTGACTGTGGTAATCATATCGGTGTGACTGAGGTATCTGTCACCTCAGATATTTATATTTTCTTTGTTTTGAGACCATTATGAATCTTCTAGCTATTTTGAAATACACAATAAATTATTAAGTGTAATTTTCCTAGTGTACTATCAAACAATAGAACATATTCCTTTTATCCAACTGTATTTTTGTACCCCTTAACCAACATTATACACAATGGAACATTATTCAGCCGTAAAAAGGAATGAAATCGCGTAACTTGCAGCAGCATGGATGAAACTGAAGGTCGTTAGGTTAAATAAAATTATCCAGGCACAAAAAGGCAAATATCACACGTCTGACTCACTTATGGGAGCTAAAAAGTAGATCTCATGACAGTGTAGAGTAGAAGGGTGGTTACAGGTCTCTTATTCAGTGTTCCCCGTATGTATGTGGAGTATGTATTTGATTTTAGGACTTGCTTAGAGAATCAATTTAATTTGACTAATGATATTATTTAATGCTATTGACAAACATATAGAAAATATGTAGTTTAATAAGTATTTTGTCAATTCGATTTTAAATGTAAATTAAATAGGGGAAAAGAGTGCACAATTTATAATAGTAGAACAATTATTATATCTCAAGTGTTCCCAAAGTCAAACTACTTGTATCTTAAAGAATACCAGTTGGTGTGCAGTAAATGTTTAACAGCAACCTCTCTAAAAACAGAAGGGTCCTGATTTGTGTGTTTCCCTGTTTCTCTGGCGTACATTCCCTCAATATGGACAATTTCAAGCTACCCATGCGCCATAATGAATGCAGAGTTGGGAAGAAATGTGCATAATTGGCTCTTGCAAGCCAGTTCGGTGCACCACTGCCACAACAGAAAAGTAGACTCTCTTGTTGATTATCACCAAAATCAAACAAAAGAGCCAAATGATGTGGCAACACAGTGCTGATACCCATCTAAGATAACGGTTGCTGATAGCGCTGAGAGCTTCACAGTCACTGGCCAGTGCTTTTCCTTAGCCTTTCCCCGTGTTATTCCATTGAACGTTACATTCTTGGCTAAGTACTACAGTGTCCTTAGGCTACAGATGAGATCCTGGGGAACAGAGAATTAAGTGATTTGCCTAAATGTATACAATTAGTAAATGATGGACAAGAGATTTGTTCCAAGTAGATGATTCCAGAGTTTAGATTTCTAAGAGTTGCCCGACCCTAAAGTGACTCTAGGTTTACTATGAACATTAATTACAAATATTAGGGTGTCTCATAGACACAGTCATTTCTAAGTGTAATGAGGGTTATTGTGTAAATAGGCCCCAATAACAACATTCTAAATAATCACTAATTAAATATTTTTGTATGCCAGTTGAGTAGGAATGCCATTTTATAAAATGTGAATGGATGTATTTTTAATGTGTGGTAGACATGCTCTTACAGTCCTGTTTCCAGGTTGTCTTTATCGTTTTGTTTTTTGAGCACATATACCTTTTCAATATCCTCGTGCCTAAGACTGATAGGCCATCAAAATATATTTCAGTTTTAGACAAACAGCAGTTTTTTCTGCTAGAATTCTCTTCTACTTGGACAGTGACTCCAAGATTATTTACGCAGTGTTATAGGCAAATAATTTATACAAAATGCACCTAAAAAGACAACATAGTTTTCTACCTTCATCAGTAGTTTGCATGAGTATGATAAAATCATCTACTAATAATCCTAGATTATATTATTTTCTACTATTCATATTAAAGGTCATTTAGAAAATGGGAAGTAATATAAATTTTCTAAAACTAATTATTTTGTGCTGTGATTTTAATTAATTTTATTTTGTAATTAGTGTTATTTACCTACACTGATTACAAATATAAAAATAAATGACTAAAAATTTTAATTTAAATTTTTACGTATTTTCAATATATTAATATCAAAAATTGTAAAAATAATAGAAATAAAATTTATTCTAATTTTAGGTCATAAACATATAAAATGACAATAAAAGGAATAACTATCTTGTAGAAGTTTTGTGAGACATGAAGTAATGCATACAAAACACTTAGCATACTTCCTGGCGCAAGTGCTCAATAGAATTAGTGACTATAGTAGCAGTTAGTTTACTGCCTAGTATAGTTACTCTTACTAACATCTTTACCATAGAATTGCACTGTATTACAGGTAATACCAATTTACAGTAAATACTGAGTAAATCCTGTGGATTGTTCACTTTCCTAGCAGAATCTACGCTATCATCTCTAAAGTGGAAAGCAAGTGACATTCCATTAAGGTATATGAGGACAATGTGAAAACTTGGGTCTTGATATGTTTTTGGGTAAATGATATTAAATAATTTTTTATTGATTGTTAATACATGGATGGAGCTTTCAGAAAGTTCATGCACTAGAAGGTCATGTCTTGTCCAGGAAGCAGTCTCCTCTCACAGAGTGGGCCTTGCGCAGCTAGGAAAAGGTGACAGCAGTGTCCAGCCTATGCTTCTAAACCTATCTGTGCTCTTTCTCAACTTTACTAAGGAAGATTATTTTATCAGTTAGAAAAAAAATCACGGTTATGAAGATGATTTCAGAATGTTCATGCGTTTTCGTTTGTGCTACCCACAGATTTGCCGTTTGCAGCAAAATGCTTGGTACAGTTGTTCAGTTAATAAATTAGGTATACATGCTTCTTTCACAAAAAGACAAAGATTCCAAATTTGCTAACTTCTTCTAATGACAAATGAAAGTATTTAGAAGATATATTCAGAGAAATAACATTTAATCTGAACCCTCAAGTTGCCAGTGACATTAACACTGAATGAAAAAATAATTGGTTTCCAAAGAAATTCATGCTGTGAAGAGAGCACTTTGAAAACAGATCTTTGCCAGTATTTTCATTGTCACGTGACTTTTTTGCTGAAATTTATATGTCATGTATACAAATTATGACATCTATACCCTTAAAAAGACAGAGCAGAAACTTTTAAAATAGTTTCACTGAGGTTTATTGATACACAATAACGTACAACTGTTTAAAGTGTACAACTTAGTATACACACATACCCATGAAACCATCAACATAATCAGTATAATAAATATAGCCTTAGTAATCCCTTTCTTTTGACCCTTCTCATCTTCAGGTGACCATTGATTTGCTTTCTGTCACTATAAATTGCAGTTTCTAAAATTCTTTTGTATAAAGGGAATTATATAATCTGTATTATTTGGCTTTTTTCACTTAACATAATTTTGTGATTCATTGCTGGTGTTGTGTACGTAAACAGTTAATTCCTCTTTATTACTTAGTAGTAGTTTATTGTATGGATATACCATAACTAATTTATTTACTTGTTGATAGATTTTTGAGTGATTTCCAGTTTTTGGCTATTACACTAAAGCTACAAACAAACAGTTGGTCTGTGTACAAGCCTTTAAGTGGCCATAGACTTTCATCTCGCTTGGGTAAAGATTTATGTGTGCAGTGGTGGGTAACATGGGAGGGGTCTGTAACTGTTTAAGAGACTGCCAAACTGTTTACCAAAGTGACTGTACTCTTTTACATTCCATAAATCACAGCATGTGTTCCAGTTCTTCTACATTTGTCATCTGTACACCATCTTTGGTGAAGTGTCTTTTCACATCTTTTGTCCATCTTTTGTTTGTGGTGGTTTGTTTTCTTATTGATTTTTAGTAGCTCTTTATATATTCTGGATACAGGTCATTTTCATTTATCAGATAGATTATTTGTAAATATTTGCTCGCAGTCTTTGGCTTGTCTTTTCATTCTCTTAATGGTTTCTTTCTAAGAGCAAAAGTTTTAAACTCTGAAGAAGTCCAGTTGATCAATTTATCCTTTTATTATGATGTTTAACATTGTATTGAAGAAATACTTGCCTAACCTAAGGTCGTTAAGACATTTCTCCTCTGTTTTTTTTTTCTAGAAGTTTTATAGTTTTAGGTTCTATAGTTAAGTCTATATTCATTTTAAGTAAATATTTGTATATGGTACAAGGTAAGGGTCAAAGTTTTTATTTATTTGTTTATATATTGCTCTTGGATATTTGGTTGTTGCAGCACCACTTGCTGAATCGACTATCCTTTCCTTATGGCCTCGCCTTTGCAGCCTTGCTGAAAATCAGCTGACCGTCTGTGTGGTCCTATTTCTGTATTTAGTTCCACTGATCCGTTTGTGCCCCTTGATGCCACTACCACACTGCTTTAACAATCCCATTACTGGGTATATACCCAAAGGATTATAAATCATGCTGCTATAAAGACACATGCACATGTATGTTTATTGCGGCACTATTAACAATAGCAGAGACTTGGAACCAAGCCACATGTCCAACAGTGATAGACTAGATTAAGAAAATGTGGCACATATACACCATGGAATACTATGCAGCCATAAAAAATGATGAGTTCATGTCCTTTGTAGGGACATGGATGAAGCTGGAAACCATCATTCTCCGCAAACTATCGCAAGGACAGAAAACCAAACACCACATGTTCTCACTCATAGGTGGGAATTGAACAATGAGAACACATGGACACAGGAAGGGGAACATCACACACTGGGGCCTGTTGTGGGGAGGGGGGAGGGATAGCATTAGGAGATATACCTAATGTTAAATGACGGGTTGATGGGTGCAGCACACCAACATGGCACATGTATACATATGTAACAAACCTGCACGTTGTGCACATGTACCCTAAAACTTAAAGTATAATAAAAAAACCTTTATAATAAGTATTGGATTTGGGCAGTATAATTTCTTTACCTTTATTCTTTGTTTTCAGAGTTATTTTGGCTATTCTAGGTCCTTTGAATTTCCATATAAATTATAGAATCAGCTTTTAATTTCCTATAGAAAAGCCTACTGGGATTTTGATTGGGTTGATGTATGAGTAGTTCAGTTGAAAGGGTGGTGTGAAATCTCTAACTATAATTGTGGATTTTTCTATTTGTCTATTTTATTTGCAGTTCTGTCGTTGTTTGCTTCATGTATACCAAAACTATCTTATTAGGTAGTGTAATACTTAGGGTTGTTATATCCTTGTGATGACCTGACCCTTTTGTTATTTGAAATGATTTTCTTTATTTCTAGTAATAATCTTTGTTCTGAAATCAACCTAGCCTGTTATTATTAATAAAGTCGTAACTTTCTTTTGACTGGTATTAAACAGTATATCTTTTCCATCATTTTAATTTTACTCTATGTCTTTATAGTTCGAGTAGAATTCTTGTAAGCAGTATATAGTTGGCTGATACTTTTTTATTCAATCTGACAGTCTTTGACTTCTAGTCATGATGTTTAGACCATTCACATTTTACGTTTAGGTGTAAATCTACCATCTTGCCATTTGTTTTCTATGTGTTTAATCTGTTCTTTATTCCCCCTTTTTTTCTCTCTACCTTTAAAATTGAATTTTAATGATTTTGTTATATGAAGCAGGTTTTAACTGATAGAAATCTTCTCCACAAAGAGTTTTCATTGATTTTGAACCCATATTGGTAATATATAAAAATGTGGCTGATTAGTTTGCAGGGTCAACTGATTGACATAAAGAACAAAGGAAATGCATTTGAATTTCAACCAAACATATTAGTAGTTAGGAAACAAAAATATAAGTGTAATGTTTAAGAACAGCCAATACAACCTTTTTTTTTTTTTTGAGAGAGAGAGAGAGAGAGAGTCTTGCTCTATCGCCCAGGCTGAAGTGTAGTAGTGCAATCTTTGCTCACTGAAACCTCCACCTCTTGCCTCCCTGGTTCAAATGATTCTCATGCCTCAGCCTCCCCAGTAGCTAGGATTACAGGTGTGTGCCACCGTGCCTGGCTAATTTTTCTGTGTTTTTAGTAGAGACAGGGTTTCGCCATGTTGGCCAGCCTAGTCTTGCTGCCTGCCTCTGCCTCCCAAAGTGCTGGGATTACAGGCATTAGCCACAGCCAATACAAACTTTATTCCATTTGGATCGACATACTTCTTAAGGAATATGTTTCTCAAACAGTATAACTGAAAATCTAAATACTGAAATAAATTAAAGTGAACCATCCCTTAGATCATTATCTCCAAAAGTATTAAATAAAGCATTTGATGATTAATAACATTTAAATATAGTACTTTCATTTAAAAATATGTAATTTTTTAGTAAGAACAAAGACTTATTTAGTAAGTAAAATATTTAAAAATATACCCACTTAATTTTAATGTTTCTGATTTCTATGTATGTAAATAATACATGAACACAGTTTGTGTGCACATAATTACTGTGTATTCATTCATTGGGTTTGCATTGCCACAATTTGTTTACTGATAAGGTTTTCACAATCAAACATTTTAGTAACCTCTAGACCAAGAGGACTTTGAGATCACCAAGAAGGAAGCTAAATATTTTTAAATTGTGAAATAAAGAAAGTATCTTTACTCTTGACCCATTTAGCTTCATTCTTTTTTTTTTTTTTTTTTTTTGAGATGGAGTTTCACCGTTGTCGCCCAGGCTAGAGTGCAATGGCGCCATCTTGGCTCACTGCAATCACTACCTCCCAGGTTCAAGCGATTCTCCTGTCTCAGCCTCCCAAGTAGCTGAGATACAGGCGTGCACCCAGCTGATTTTTCTATTTTTTAGTAGAGACAGGGTTTTGCCATGTTGGCCAGGCTGGTCTTGAACTCCTGACCTCAGATGATCCACCTACCTGGGTGTCCAAAAGTGCTGGGATTACAAGGGTGAGTGACCTTGCCCAGCCTTCATTTATATTTTTATGTAGACTGGATAGTCTTACCTATAGATGGTGAACTATCCTTTAGAAAATGTTATTTTAAAAATGCAAAATGTTACAAAAGCTACTCTAGCTTGTCACCACGTTTTCAGTATTAATTTACTTTAGACAGTTCCTAATTAATCTCACCTATTTAATAATTCACAAGTATAAATATTGATCCATTCCTTTGGCTCCACTGCATGTTTTTGTTTTATCTCACATATTAATTTATAATTATTTGTAAAACATTTGCACACAGATACAGATACACAAGATTTCAACTTAACAGGATGGCAAAATGTACCTATCCATTTTCGATTAATGTAATTACCAATTTATATACTTACTCTGTAGACACAGTCTATGACTGACGAATGCAAACCTGTGTTACTCATTTGAGTTCATTGCTGGAACACCAATAACACCCCAAATTCAGTCCTGTTAAGAACAGTAACAATATACAGTCAAGACTAAAAACCAGAGAAGGTAATGATGATAAAACCTTCCCAAGGAAGATGAATTTGATGTGCAGGTGAAATGCAATAATTAAAGGTTTTGTTGTAACAGATTGAGAAATACCTTAGATCTTACGATGATCTTTAAAAGTACAAATATTCATTTTCTGATAATAAAATGTGTTTAATTTTTATTTAAAAATGCGGAAATACAGAGCATTTTAAGGAAGACAAATGCCAAGTAATCTCATCACCCAGAGATAATGTCTGATAAAAATTTGTAAAGCAGAGATACCATTTTTTAAAAAAAGCATTTCTTTTGAATCTGCAAAGTCATGTCTGCACATCCCAGTGCATATGGAAATACGGATAATAATAAATCCACTTTGGTTTTAATTCTAGTTCTGATTCTTTAATACCAAATTCTGAACTTCCGTGACAAAACAGTTTAAATATTCTTTTAATTTTGGGGGTTTTTTTTTTGGATTTGCCTTCTAGATGTATCATAGAATTCGCCACTCAGAGTGCATTTACCGGGTAACGATGGAAAAGCTGTCCTACCATAGCATTTGTACTTCAGAAGAGTGGCAAGGTCTCATGCAATTCACCCTTCCCGTGCGTCTCTGCAAAGAAATTGAATTGTAAGTATGTTGCTCTGTCAGTTTCTTCAGGAACCATTTTTAATTGAATTGAACTTAAAGTGAGACAGATTATAGAATTAGAGTCACAATTATTATACACATATTACATGTGGAGTTTCATGTGTTGCCATTGTCTGCTTCTGAAGTGATTCCAGATATTATGATAGGATTTGGAAATAAAGGCCAGATCTCATTACCTTAAAAAAGAAAATCTGAACTCAGTTTTGAAATGAGTTAACCTAAATGTTAGCATTTCTCATTAGTCTGTTGCATACTTTATACCATTTAATATTTAACACTCAAAATGGCATTTAACAGAAGATATCAAACAGTTCTCATTTCCATATAAATTTAAACTTCCAAATTAAATTCAAGAATTTTGTCATAGTTTGACTCTCATACTGTATTTTTTAACCCTATGTTAATATATTTAAGTTACTAGAGGGTAGGGCCTATGATAATTTGTATGTTTATTGTAAGTGTAAGCCAACACTATCTACATAGGAAACCTTCAGAAGTGACTTAGAGCTAATATTTACCTTACAATTGAAATTATAGTATATATTATACCATACTGTTTATTCAAGTCTAATGTTGGTAACTAAATTAGCAAATGAAAAATAGGTAATAACTCTGGTGTTTATATTAGTGAAATTGTTATCTCAGTTAAAATAGGAGATAGAACAGTTTCAACTCCAAAAATACTTCTGAAAAGGCTTTTCCCCCCTTTTCTATGATTGTATATTTATCTAATATTTGTAATATACCTTTTTGTACTTTTTATTTCTCTGACAACAAATGAAGCATCATTTTCAAACAGATTAATAGAAAATCAATAACTCAAATATTGGACTAGATTTCTAAGGCAATATGTTTAGTTTCTTCCTGGAAATCTTTCAGTAACAGCTATGTGGCTAAGAAGGCAGGAAAAGGGATGGCTGAGCTCCCAGTGTCTTTTTAGCTCCTTGGTACAAACAAGTTAAATGCTTTTCTTTACTTACTGTGTTTATTCTAATCACGTTTAGTGATAAACTGCCCTTTTAAAATTTCAGATTCCACTTTGACATTGGTCCTTTTGAAAACATGTGGCCTGGAATTTTTGTCTACATGGTTCATCGGTCCTGTGGGACATCCTGGTATGAATGACTTTAAAATTTACTTTTTGAAATATTGGGTGACATAACCTCTTCCTCCTTCTACATATATGCCTCACCACGATCTTTGTTTGTAATTATTTTTAAATACTGCATGTATAAATTACTTTTTTTCCTAAATATTCCAATAAAAAAGGGCTGAGATTATTATACAAATATGCAGCCTTTTCAGATTCTCTGTAGGGGCTCTAGCAACATGGTTGTAGCCTGGTTAAAAAATCTGAAAAGCTTTCATAAAAACAGAGGCTAGAGTTTCTTTCAGCTGGGTAACTGAAAGAGACAGGGGTTACTACTGACAAGAATTTTATACAGCTAGTAAACATATGAAAAAAATCTCATCATCACTGGTCATTAGAGAAATGCAAATCAAAACCACAATGAGACACCATCTCACGCCAGTTAGAATGGCGATCATTAAAGAGTCAGGAAACAACAGATGCTGGAGAGGATGTGGAGAAATAGGAATGCTTTTACACTGTTGGTGGGAATGTAAATTAGTTCAACCATTGTAGAAAACGGTATGGTGATTCCTCAAGGATCTAGAACTAGAAATACCATTTGACCTAGCAATCCCATTACTAGGTATATACCCAAAGGATTATAAATCACTCTACTATAAAGACATGTGCACACATATGTTTATTGTGGCACTGTTCATAATAGCAAAGACTTGGAACCAACCCAAATGCCCATCAATGATAGACTGGATAAAGAAAATGTGGCACATACACACCATGGAATACTATGCAGCCATAAAAAAGGATGAGTTCATGTCCTTTGCAGGGACATGGATGAAGCTGGAAACCATCATTCTCAGCATATTAACACAAGAAGAGAAAACCAAACACAACATGTTCTCTCTTATAAGTGGAAGTTGAACAGTGAGAACATATGGACACAGGGAGGGGAACATCACACACTGGGGCCTGTTGGGGGATGGGAGGCTAAGGGAGGGATAGCATTAGGAGAAATAGCAAATGTAGATGAAGGGTTGATGGGTGCAGCAAGCCATCATGGCACGTGTATACCTATGTAACAAACCTGCACGTTCTGCACGTGGACCCCAGAACTTAAAGTATAATAATAATAATAATAATAATAAATGTTTAGAACACCACGTGTAAATTTAGCATCAACTTTCAACCTAACATCATATATCTATTAGAATAGATCGAAAAGAAACATGTCTTCTTATTCAAAGTGTGATACTTTGTCAGTAATTTGATTATGGCACCATTTCATTGCAGATCTTTTCCCCACCCACTTTGGCCTGTCCTAGAGGCCTTTCCTGACTTTATAACTGATCCTTTTCAGTGTAAACACACAATATTTAAATGCAAGGAATAGTTTTCTTTTGCTCTTTTTTACTCATTTAGGAATTAAATGTCTTATAGAGCCTCTTAGTTTCTCTAGAACTAAATTGTCATTCTTCTTGAAGCCTGTGTATTTTCTATCTGTGACTTTTTGTAAATTAGTGTTTCAAAAGGATGAGCATAGGATACCTAACTCCAGTTAATTCTCAGAATGCAGTTGAGAGTTTGACCAGTTGGAATTCTTAAAATGCCATACCTTATACTTCAAAGACATTTGAAAATTTTCAGTGGAGAAAAACACAGGTTACTTTTTTTTTTAAGTTTTTATGAATTCTTGACCTCCCTGGTATTTTAGAAAGCCTTGTTTTATATATGCTTTTGTTTTAAGCTGTCTCAAGTCTATTTTGAGAGTTTGTAGGGTCTTAAATAAGTACATAATATAAAAAATATAAAAATATAGTATAACTATATGTAATAAAATATACATCATATTATTTTATATACTATGTCAGTATTTGGATATGTTCATTTGTGACTTAATAATTTGAGTGTGTAATAAACCTTAATACTTTGGAATTACTTTGAAAGTATAGTAACTCTAGAAAAGTCTCATGATATACATATTTGCAGTTTGCAAGTCTGAATATTCTTTTTGGAAAATATTAGCTCAAAATACCCTTTAGCAAGATGGTGCTGTGTTGTTGTCTTTTGAGCACTGTGGGGTTTAGGAAATGAACGTAAAACTAAAGAAGATCATGAGGGCTGGTGACGGGTGACTGTGTACTAATACTGATATTTTTTCGCTGGTGGGACAGTTACTGTATCACAACAGATACCATAAAAGAGTCTTTATCCTCTTACTTCTTTTTGGCTAGAGAACTGGAAGGGAACTGGTGAATGAGTTTCCAGTGCTCATGGATTCAGTCAGGGTGGAAATCTTTAGAGTTGCAAATGTATAAGGGTACAGACATATATGTACCTAAACTAGGGAGTTCTCCTACAACATAGTGATTCTCTACTGGTTTCAGTCATAACAATTTCTTTTCCATGCAGCTTTGAGCTTGAAAAGTTGTGTCGTTTTATTATGTCTGTGAAGAAGAACTATCGGCGGGTTCCTTATCACAACTGGAAGCATGCGGTCACTGTAGCACACTGCATGTATGCCATACTTCAGAACAATCACACGCTTTTCACAGACCTTGAGGTGGGTGTGCACTCTTTACCTCTGTTTCTCGTAACCTCAGTGGATTTAATACTGTGTGTCAGGAGCACATTGATGACATGGATTTGTGACATGTTATTCCAAGACAAATTTTGGCTTAATAAATCAATAGTAGCCCATTTTTAGACTCTTGTACCCAAACATTTAGCATATTATTTTGTATAAGAAATGTAGATAAAAGAAATTTTAACTTCATCAAAATATCCCCCAAGGAAATACTAATTTTGTAGTCTGTCTTACCTGTTAAAGCTTAAATGTTCTGAAGGGATATAAACAGTGAATTTTATTCATTGCTTATATGCCCTGGATAATGTAGACGTATCCTGCCTATTTGAGAACCTAGAGCATTCAATACTGTGAAGACATAAGTGTTTTTGACCTCCTCTAGCATAAGGAAACTAAAGGATCTGAAATGTTTAATTAATTTGCCTGACTTTAAATACCCAGAGTTAGTGACATATCCAAAGCTTTCGTAATCTCAGAGTTAGAATTGGAGATGGCCACTTCCATTCATCAACCACAGTCAAAGTCCCTTACTTGAAAGCCAGGCTAAATGCTTAGTGACTCCTGGCCACAAAGGATGCTGATTCTACATCTGGACAATCCCGACTTTGAAGGATATCCCTCCCTCTGACCACATTGATCCTGGTAGTATCTACTGACACCTTAGAGGGAGTCCTCCTTTCTCTCCTCTGTAAAAACTGGTATCATCTTTTAGGGGACCTATGACTGTCCAGAGAAAGGAGCTGTCATCTTTGTGATAAATAAATTGTGCTTTTCTCAAATTCACATTTAAACTAGAATCTAGTACTTGTGAAGGTCCATCCTATCCTTTTCCATCCTATTGGACCAAATTCACAATCTGAGTGGAAAACTCAAAAGATGCATTCTAGGAAAAAAATAGTAGCATTTTAAGAAAGAATAAAAAATTATCCTCTAGTTTTTGTTGCTTTTTTTAAAACAATCTTTAGTTCAAGTGGAGTTTAGCCTGATCAGTAATTTATTATTTATCACCTCCCCGCGAAAGATCCACATGAAATCTCTCCTTTTTTCATTTGTTTGTCTTAACAAAGTCCTTTTCTATTGAACCCCATACTGTTGAGACTTTCAGCATTTTCTCCATTCTGTTCCTTTTAAGAAAGCAATTTCATTGTCTTGTTTTGCCATTTTGCCATACCTTGTGAGTTTAAGAACTGTAGAAATTATACTTTCAAGTTGCATTGTAATTTATATTCAAAAAAATTGAAAATTTAACAATAAGTGAGAAAAACTTTGTTGATACATATTGACTCTCATTTAAGTTCCTAATTCATTTTTGGAATTATATCATTACATTTTCCCAAAACATCAGATCGTTTTGGCTGAAAAATAATCCCCAAAATGACATGTAAATATTTAAAACATATTTTATAAAGAAGAAATTTAATCTCTAAAAGAACTGTTAGAAGTTACCATTTGATCTTGTTAAAGGGAAATGCTTAACAAGGGTGATTCTTTATACATTATTTTCAGATGTATGATTCTGGCACACCTTTAATAAAACTACTGAAAGTCACATGAATTTTAAAAATGAGTTTAGAAACTGGAAAGATGATAACTTTTACGTATTGTGCAAGATTGTAAAACTCTTGAGATTTCTTATCAGGTACATCATGATGACACAGCAGCATATAACATGGAAACCACCCCAAAACAAAATGATACTAACAACATAATTAATTCAGTTATCTTAAGAATGCCAGGCGAGTATGATTGTTAACATGATACTTCATGGGGTTAGGGGTTACTGGCGAGATTTCCCTTCCAATTATGTGGCGGGAAAAACCAGTTCAGCATTATCAGGACAAAGAAGCAGGCATATCGCTAAAAATGTACCTGTGAGAACTTCTGCTGACTCCCATCGCAGCACCCCCATCTGTCTGCATCTGCCCTCAGCAGGCTCTGCCTTGCACACTTCCTTAAACCTTCACACTCCTCTCCAGAGCTGACCCTTCTGCTTTATTGTATCTGTCGCCTCCACCTCTTGGAGAACACTGCCTACCAGTGCTTCCCACTCTTCTCTCTCCTCCATTATCATGCTTTCACCCCTCTTTTCTGGATCATTGCCATCTGCATGTACGCATGCAGTTTTTTACTTCCATCTTAGAATATGCTCCGATCTGCCGCTCTTCTCAGCTCCCTCCCTGTTACTTTGCTCTTCTTTGCAGTAAACCCCATGTAAGCATTACCCTATTGACTCTTTCAAAATCCTCTCCTCGCATTCTTTCTGAAAACAACTCTGATCAAGCTTCTGACCTTAACACCCCAGAAAATGCCCTGCTCCAGGTCACCAGTGACCCACACCTTGCGAGATCCAAGGGTTAGTGCTCAGTGTCTTCAATCGAATCCCGGGACATTCGGCACTCTTGGTTTTCCTGCGAATGCACCAGCTGTTCCTCCCTTGGGGTTTTTTGTTTGTTTGTTTTTGTTTTGTTGTTTTTTTCTTAATCCTTCTCTTTCCTCAGACTTAGACCATGCAGTCTGTTCCCCCTTTTCAGGTATAATTTGTCTTTCAAAATAAAAATTGTGATTGTGATTGTTACTAACACATTGAGTCAATATTCTTTAAACACTTCAGTCTTTTCAAGCAATGTTTGGCATAACCTGAATTCCACTCAAAATCCCTTCATGAAAGAATAGAAACTGTCATATGAAATGTGTTGTAATAGGATTTAACCTATAGAGTTCTTTCTTCCCTTCAATTTTTATCAAGTATTTAATTTATCAAGTATTTAATTGCTGGATGATTTATTTTAGAATTGGGAGTACTTGAGAGCTTAGACCTTGACCCTCCTCCAACCTCAAACTACAACCTTGGTGAGCTCAGCCAGTCATGTGGCCTTAAACGCCACATGGGCACTGACAGTTTCATTTCTCTAGCAAAGGCCTATCTCCAGGCCGTGAGGCTTCAGTAGCTGCTACCTGTCAAAACAAAATCTCCACTTGTCAAATCTCCACTTGACTATCAAGTAGACTCCTTCGCCTCAGTCTAAATGTGAGCTCCTGACCTCCCTCCTCAAACCCATTCCACCTGCAGTCCTTCCATATCAGTTGATGGTAATCATTATAGCTTCTAAGGCCAAAACATTTGAGGTCATACTTGACCCCTCCTCATGTCCTTTCTTTTCACACTCTGACAGTCAAAAAATCCTGTTGGTTCTGCCTGCAAAATGCATCCAGACTTTAATCACCCCATAGAAGCTTTCACTGTTATTATCCTGGTCTAAAGCTCTATTACATTTTGCCTCAATTACTTTAGAAACCTCCTCACTGATCTCTCATCCTCCTGGAGTCTGTTTTCCACACAGTTGCCAGAATAATCTTGTAAATATATAAGCAAGATGGTAACACTGCTCTGCTAAAAACCGTGTAATAATAGTTCCCCAGATCACTGAGAATATAAGCCTTTTATGATGACTGCTTCCCCTGCCCTCGACCCCACTGGCCACCGTCCTGATCCTCCGAGTCTCAGGGCACACTCGCCTTCAAGTTTATGTTGTTACTGCTCCCCTGCCCGGCGTGCTCTTCTCCCACACTGCGCTTGCCGCTCTCCTTACCCTGTTTCGGGTCTTTGCTCACACCTGGCCTTTTCATGAGGTGTGCCTGCCTAGTTTATTTCATACTCAGCCTGACTTTCTCTAATTTCCTTTAGCCTGCTCTGCCTTTTTTTCTATATATTTGCCATTTTTACATGCGATATGATTTACCTGTTATATTTATTGTTTATAATAGCAATAGCATTGTTAGAATTTAACATTGAATAGATTTTGCTGAAACTGACCTTTCTTTCCTTGTGCAGATTTGCTTTATCTGTACTTTTTTGGAACATTTGCTTTATACCTTTAAGTTGATACCTCCTGCACCTTTTCCTAGAGTTGAGAGAGAAACTCAAAAATAATTTGACTATCAGATTCCTAAGCAGAGAAACAAAGAAAGGGCCTACAAATGAGTTAGATTATCTGGAATTTCCAAGATTCCTAAGGGTTTGCTCTATTTGTATAGGATTCTTTATGCCAGAATGCTGTATTTGTGCTATATTAATGCCAGAAAGTAATGTGACATGAATGTAAGCGGTAAGTCTGCTCATGTGTGTTTCTGTGTTTTGAGCATCTCTGCATCATATTATTTTTTAAAGCGCAAAGGACTGCTGATTGCGTGTCTGTGTCATGACCTGGACCACAGGGGCTTCAGTAACAGCTACCTGCAGAAGTTCGACCACCCTCTGGCCGCTCTCTACTCCACTTCCACCATGGAGCAGCACCACTTCTCCCAGACTGTGTCCATCCTCCAGGTGAGTCACTGCACGCCGTCTCTCGCTTAGTCTGAAGGGCTGTCTGGGAGATAGGGATACTTCATAGGTGGAAAAGGAAGATCATTATGGCTTCCTTAAAAGCAACAGCTACTTTTTATTGTAGAACCTTATATTTATAGTCATCATTAAATAATAGTGTTTTTTGCATAAAGAATCCTTTACAAATAATTTGAATATATGTATTTTGCAATCACATTTGTTTTTTAAACATTATATCAGTAAGTACCTGTAACCCTAAAGCAATACTTATTTTACATAGTTTAAATCAATTAATTATATAGATTATCATATTCTTGAACAAGAAGATATTGAACAGCAAATCTTAAAAGTTAGCTAAATATAAGGTTTTAAATGCATTGTAGCCTTTCTTTTTTTACACTGTATGTTTTGTTTATTTATTTTATTGTCTTTAAGATGTTCTTGGTAATTGATGTAGACAATCACAGACATCACTTCAACATGGGATATATACGCTCCTTCTTTCTTAAATGATTTTTCTCAAACTCATCTTATCAAGGTAGCTATTACATCATAGTGACTTGATTCCTATCACAAACAATGTTTAAAAATATAATCTGGGTTTGGCTTAAGTATAGTGGGCCCTATATTTTCCTCTCACTGTCAGCACCTCTAAGTAGGAAGAGAAATCCTCGTTAGGTCTTCCAATGATGTGTCTAAGGGAAAAGGTTTTGAGTTTTTAGGATGTCACAGCAAAATGCCAGCAGTGACTCTGCCAGTAACTGGCCATAGGCAAGTTGCGAAGCAGAAAAGCTTTTGCCACTTGGTGCAGTTTTTCTCTGTTGAATAGGCCAGGCCTCCTCTAAATGCCAGGATTTTTTTTTCTCCCCTCAGTTTCCCAAAGGCTTCTCTTAGTGCCTCCTCATTTAACTGTCCACGTGATTGGTAGTGCTGCCTGCTCAGTCCTTTTTAAAACCCAGCAAAACTGACCTGTCCAGGTCTCATGTCCTCAGGCCTACGAAGGTAAATGATGAACTTACTCTATTGTGGGTGCTCTTCGAATTATCTTCTGGGTAGAAGTGAAAAGTGTTTCAGATATGGAGCTATTTGAGTCATTTTCAAGCCATCCCCAGTAGGTAGCTGATGTTGAGCTTGCTCATGGTTCAGTTTGGTCGTGAAAGCAACATGTAGTCATCATTCCTATCATTTGCTTGACACCAGCTCTTTCCTTTTTAAATGACATATGTTTACATAGATACATACATACCGGCATAAAACAAGCATACATAGAAATTTTTTTTTTGAGACAGAGTCTCGCTGTGTCGCCCAGGCTGGAGTGCAGTGGCGCGATCTGGGCTCACTGCACGCCCCGCCTCCTGGATTCACGCCATTCTCCTGCCTCAGCCTCCCAAGTAGCTGGAACTACAGGAGCCCACCACCATGCCCGGCTAATTTTTTTTTTTGTATTTTTTTTTTTTTTAGTAGAGCTGGGGTTTCATTGTGTTAGCCAGAATGGTCTCAATCTCCTGACCTTGTGATCCGCCCGCCTCAGCCTCCCAAAGTGCTGGGATTACAGGCGTGAGCCACCGCGCCTGGCTGCATACATAGAAATTTAAGCAGGATAAAAGGCTTGTGTGTATATGTATGTGTACATATATTTACACATATATGTAAAACATGCTTTTTTGTAAATGGATGAACATTCTAAAACTTTATGACAGCTAATGTCTACTTTGACCTCATTCATCATTGGAGACTATTTGTTTGTTTAAGAAGAATAAACGCCAGAAACAACATCAGGATGACTTCACTTAAAAATAATTAGGAGTCACTGAATTAGCATCCCATGCCCTAAATGAATTCATGCATTTGACAGTACAACATTGCTAGCAGTTTAATCACAGCTGAATTTTAATAGCCAATATAGAGTTTCTTTAGAAAGGCTGTATTAAATATAATAGGATTAGTTTTGAAGGAGGCCAGATTGCAAAGTTTATTGCCCCTGAGCAGAATAATAAATAAACCTTGTAATATAGCAGTCACATCAAGGCAGGTGGGGATGGTGAAGCTCCAGGTCCACCTAAACCCTAGGAAGACTTGGCCCAGTTGCTGCCATCAAAAATGGAGGTTTAGGGTGGTTTGCCTCCATTTTGGCAAACCCTCCGCGATGTGGGGCTTGCAGATTACTTAAGGCGGTGTTCCTAAAAACAGATCAGAACTAGTAACAGGAGCTCATGGCAGTAAGTTAAGTTCAGACAGGTAAGCTGTTGGCATTCAAAAAGGCATGGGAGAATAGGTTCAGATATTAGAGCTGGAATTTCAGTCATTGGTGAATTAATAATAATGACAAATTTGTTCTGCGTAGAGAAGATAAGGTGCTAGGTACATTGCAAAAACAGAAGCTGGGAATAAGGATTAGGGATTGCTGCGAATTCAGATGAAAAGCACTGCCA